>NC_000014.9:68399591-68702622 GCF_000001405.40 Homo sapiens
TTTATCTCTTGTATATTAGTTACCAATTTATTTTATAATATTGTTAACTTATTATAATTATCTTTGCTGAACCATCTGAGGGCAAGTTACAGATATCATATCCTTTCATCCCCAAATACTTCAGCATTTATCTCTTAAGAACAAGAACTTCTCTTACATAACCACAGTACAATGATCTCACCCAGGAAATTAGTATTGATACAATACTATTATATAATATACTGGCAATATTCAAACTTTGCCAGGTGTCCCAATAATGTACTCTATGGCAGTTTTTTCCAGGATGCAGTCCAGGATTAGACATGGCATTTTAGTTGAAATGTCTTTTTGCACTAATGGTTTTTAAAGCCATTGATGTTCTCCCAGAAAAATTTTTCTTCAAGAACATATTTCCTAATAAACAAATCATATTTCTTTTCTCTTCTGTTCTTACTGCTTGCAAAGAGCCAGTGATCCAAAGTGGGCCTGAAGCAACAGCAGGCTTACCCAGGCCTGATTCTTCACAAGCTAAGGCCTGGGCAAAGGACCCTCTCTCAGCCCTGGGTTTGCCTTGTGAGCTGATTTCCTGAAGGCAAACCACATGACTGCTGGTGTGTCCCCTTGCTGTTCAGTCAAGTGGGTGGCCACCTGGCTTTCTCCTTGTCCCAAAGTACTTCGTTGGATATGTAAAGCGACCAAATGTTACTTCACTGTAGTTTGAATCTTACCCAGAAAGAGTGACTGGTAAAGGACATGCCACTTTGCACCCTTCCCAGCTCTCTCCAAAGGCAGCTGGCTGAATGCACACTTCTGAGGGTGATGTTTTTTCCAGCACTCAGGGATATACCCAGTGTGAGATCAGAATCAGCAGCTGTATTCATTCTGCCTCAGCCAGTGCCATCTGAAACAAACATCAAGTGGTCAAAAAATGAGATGGTGACCATGTATAATACACAAGACTTATTAGAATTCAACTCTGGTATCCGCCTGCTGCCTCTGACTCTACAATGGGAGCAGGAAAGCAAAGCTCATACCAGGACAGCTGAAAGGTGTGGTCTGAGGATTTCATGGTGAACAGATAGAACACACTGTGGGGGAAAAAAAACATATTTTATGCAAGCATCTTTCTGGCTTGTCTTGAATGAAGCTAAATTTAAAGAGAAAGTGCCACAGATTTCTTTAAATGGTTAGGTTTTTGTTTTCTTTGTTTTATTTTGCTAGTATTTACTTAAGGGTAATATGTGTTTTCTGTAATGAGTGAATTTATTTTTAATTAAAAACTTATTTGCAAAGGTCAAGAGATTTCACTACAAGTCACCATTCAGGATTTTTTTTTTCCTTTCCTTAAGTAGAAGGTAGCAAGGGGAAAGCTGTATTGGAGAAAAGGTTCAGGGGCATGGCCTCCTGGAGAATGTTGGGAGTTGAGCTGATGGGAGGAGATTGCTTCTTTTTATTCAGACAATCTAGTTCTGTTCTTCTTATGCCTACTATTGTTTTCCTTGCCATCTTTGAGACCTTGATGATCGACACTGCAGACACAGCAGAGAATCCTAGTACAGACTGAAGCTTTTCGTATAAAGTGAGCATGCTCACTGTGATTCTGGACAGTTCCTACATAGTATCTCTGTAGGATAACATATGTCTTGGTTTTCTCAGGGCAAGCTCAGTTTATCTCTGTTATCCCAGTATAACTATTAAAATGTCCCCATTTCATTTTCAAAAATGTCCTGGTTGGATAAGAACTTAAAGTATTTTGTTAAGACTCTGGGAAACTGAAGGTATTTTCTCCCTGTCCATGAGCCAGTGGAGTTGTTGAGTGATTTGTGCTGGTGCATACCAGTCTCTAGCCTAGTGGATGGCTCACCCCCGCTTCTCCCCTACCTTGTGCTATGGAGGATCCATCCCTAACTCTTGCATTCCAGAGGTTCTGATTGCCTCACTTCTTCCTGTCTTCTGCTTCACATTTCTTACCTTTCTCAGTAACGAGTTTGCTGAGACTTGCATCAGCCTAGGTATGTTGTGCAAGTAAAGCCTCTGGACTGCATTCACTCCTTTCACCTCCAGCCAAGAGACATCAGGAATGAAATTTTCTGCTTTACTAAAGTGAAGCAGCCCATTCTTTACCAGCCAAATGCCTTCCTCGGTGGGTAAATGGTATTAGTTGAAGCAGTTATTACATAGTTTTATGCCTCAGATCCTGTATTTATAAATCTGAAAGACGACTAATAGCTTTAAAGTATTTTGAGAATCTCAAAGCTCAGAAGATTATAAATAACAAAAGATATATTTTTTCGTATCTAAAATGGTAGCACAAATACTGCGGTTGCTTACTTAATAGATAGCGTGTGGTCCCTGAGCCATTGCAGCTGATGGGTTTTTTCCAGTGCTCTATTTATAGAGCTAGGTCAGAAATATCACTTCCGTTGGAACCTGACCTATAGACCATTGTCAATTTTAGAGACCCAAGGAAGTAGAATGCACCCTAAATACAGCTGGTTCACAGATTCAGTTAGTGAACCACAAGCCCTCAAGGAAATTAATTTTGCTGGAAGATAAATGTCTGAGCCTATCCCAGTCTCTTTTCTTTGACACCTTTGTCCTGTGGTCTCACAGAGCTTGTAGGTCATCTTGAATCTTTATTCTAAAAATAACCTATTATAGGCAGTTTCCCAGCTTTAATAACTTACTCATCCTCTTCGCCTTTTGTTGCTAAAATTCTGCATTGAATGGAACAAGAACTGATGACCTGCCAAGAGAGGTAACCAAGATTCTCAGTCCCTTCCCCAGTTCAAATGGATGGTCCAATAAAGAACCATGCTCAGCAAGTGCCAGGGGCCTAGTTTTAAACAGGAGAAGCTGAATTGAATGGATGATGAATTGAATGAATGAATTGAATCCTTCTGATCCCTAGTCTCGCACTCAGACTCCCGTCTTTAAGCTTTGTTACTATGAAGTTGTGTTTGCTGGGACTTGGCCACTGGTCAGCACAGGTTTACCCATCATAAAGTCTTACTAAGTAGGGTAGACTAAGAAAATCTCTAGTCTGGAGAGAAATCTGCTATCAGCAAAAGAACCCATGCCTGTGCTCTTTTCAAGCACAAACGGGTGCTGGGTAGGGCACAGCGATTCAAAGACAGCGCATGGAGTGGTGCATTCTCAAACTTCCTGGAACAAGTGAGGTTCTCGATGAGGAACTCATTCATATCATCAAAATACCAAAGACTCAAAGTTTTTTAATAAGGCAGGAACTATTGAGGTCATTTACCCCTTCTTGTCATGGATGAGGAAACTGAGGCTCAGTGAGGTTAGGTAACTGCTCATTACCAAGGCCTACTCTGAGGTTCTTTGTTACACTACTCTCCTTCTCCCACCTGGTCTCATCAAAAGCCCAGACGGAGTCAGAAATAGAACTGCAGGGTCCTGCTTTCTAGCCAGCAGCTGGCCACAGGCTATCATGCATTACATGGAATGTGCTTCAGGACGTGAGGACAAGAGATATGAACGAGAATGCAGTTCCAGTGGTAACATACCATCTTCTTCCCTGGATTTATTTCAATCCTGAAAACATTTGTAGGTATTGTTATTCCTTTATTTTTTTAAATTTCCTCTTTCTACTCTAAATAAATGGGCTTTCATCTGCAGGGACTGGAGGGACCAAATATCCAGAATATCCAGTCCGCTAAGGCCATGAACTTTTCCTTCCCCTCTGTTCCTATTTTGGGAGTCATTGCTTTGTTTTTTTGACTTTTTTTTTTTTAACATGGAAAAGCATTCTTTTAAAGTTGACCCTTTTGCTGCAGGGCAAATGCTTTTCTGTTATGCACTAGAGATTCAGTTTGATCTCCTAGAAATGCTTAGCACAGGAGTCATAAATTGAAATGTTTTCAGAGAAGGAGCTTTCTCATTAAGAGCTTTCCAACAGGCCTCTTCTAAATACTGACACGGGTTGGTACCAGAAGCCCATCACCTTTTTGGAAATCAAGGCTACATAGCAACCTGGTTATCCTCCTCCAGTCTGATTGCACGAGGGCTACACCCCATGTATACAGAGCAGAGAGACAGCTCCTTGCCTTGTGAGAAATTCGTCTTCATAACCAACTCCCACACCAAATGAGTAAGGAATTGGATCCAAAAGATAGTCATGAAAGATATTCCAGAATCCAAATCATGTGTTTTAACCACTTTGCAACTAAGATTTACTATCTTGCCTCATTGTTAACAGAATAAAAAATGCAGGAGATAATGATTAAACTTCTTTCCTCCCTAGAATTTCATCTTCAGTGTTTGATCATCATTGTTCCTGTCACTTATACATATCAAGTATCTTCATCTAAGGGTCATCAAGAACCTCTGGTTGCCTGGAGGCCAGAATTATTATTCACATTTTACAGATGGGTTAGCAATCACAGAAAGAGAACATGCTTTGACTTACCTAAAAGAGTCTCTGAGAGAGTGGAGAATGAATGTTCCCACAGTCTTTTACAGAGCCCTGACTTCAGTGTGAGTAGATTAGATTTGCTCTATGTAGCTTACACAGAGACTTCTACAGGCTCAATCCCATAACAATGAAAATCCTCAAAAATGAAAATATTTTCAAAGCTCAGTTCACGTATTTGATTTTTGTATTTGCATTGGAATTAACCAAATTCCAGACAATGAAGTTATACTGCTTTGGCAGGTCTAAATATCACAATCATCAAAAAGGAGAGAGAGGGAGTGAGCACCTCAATTTTTAGAACTTCCTCTTAAAGTGAACATAGAGAAGGTTCACTTATCTGTTTCCTAACCAATTAGGTCATCTTGCAGGAAATCACCTTTTCTTAAAAGCCAGTAGGCAGATTCCTCCTACTTTAAATTTCCCATCAACAGCATTAACAATCATTTATGCCAGCCCTCTCACAGGAATGCTTGAAAGTCAAAAGACATAAGAGACCACTAAGTTTTCTAGTTTAAAATAAGGTCACAACTTTATAGTAACTTACAGTTTCCCTACCTCCCTCTCTCAAGTGATTCTATCACTGCAATCACCCTTCAATTGCTTTCCTATACTTGAGGCCCTATTAAGTAAACTATCTTTCCAATCCTTGCCAGATTTTTAATTCTACAACCAGAGAGGATCAGTTCCAGGCCACCTGACTTGCGTGAATCCAGCTGCTGGGCCAGTTGAGTGAGATTAAGTAACTTGCTGAGCCAGAGTATGTGCTGTCTTTCTGGAAACCCCTTGCCCTGGGTTATCACTGTACATCAGAACAGAGGAAGCCGAGTATGGAGCCTGAGTGACATGCAGAGCTCAGATGAGTGATAAGATCCTCATGACACACTTCCATCGGTATCCTCCCAGAGATGGGCCTTTGAGCTCTCAAGACTCTTGTGGGCTGGCAGAATAACACGTTATTTGACATGAGAGACATGATAAGCCCAGAGAAAGCTAATTGGAGTAGTGGTTAAAACTCAGTTGGCCTGGTTTCGAACCCTGGCTGTGTCAGTAACTAACCATGTGAACTGGAGTGACTTAGTTTCTCATAGCCTCATTCTGTCAATAGGGATGTTAATATTACTCACTTCATAGGATTGTTGTAAGGATCAAAAGAGATGTAGCTAAGATATGAAGCTCAGCAAGATTTAAGCTTACATAGTGCCTAGCACATAGTACCTTAAAAAATATTGCCTTTCCACCTTGGGCAACATAGTGAGACCCTGTCTCTACAGAAAAATAAAAATAAGTTAGCCAATCATTGTGGCATGTGCCTGTGGTCCCAGCTACTCGGTAGGCTGAGGTGGGAGGATTGCTTGAGCATGGGAATTCAAGGTTACAGTGGGCTATGATCATACTACTGCATTCCAGCCTGGGCAATAAGGGAGACCCTTTCTCTAAAAAAAAATTTAAAAATTGCCTTTCATTATCATTAACTTTCAAGGCCTTGCTGTTATTACTTTTATGGTGGATTAATATTTGTAAGAACTCCTAAAAATACAAATGGATATTTTTAAAGTCTATAGTAGACTACAGTCAAGCTTGCTCACTCAGGGTTTCCTTTGGAAACTTTTCTGTGGTCATCTGTACTCATGGCCCTTACTTAAGACTTGGGTTTACCTGTCCAGAAAACAACCAAATACATGGGTACTTTTTTATACTATTCTTATTGTTTTAGCGACGCGGAGTCCTTTAAATAGTTGCTCCTGGCCCAAATGTGGCTCCAATCTCTGAAGACATCCTGTGTCTTCCTTTAGACCCGAGAAACTCCTACAGTTTATCACCAAAAAAAAAAAAAAAAAAAAAAAGTTTGAGTGCTTAACTAGCAACTCCTAATTATTCACATGTAGCTTTTTCTTGACAAACTTTAGAGCTTAGCCTCCCTTGATCCCATCACTTAGCAGGCATCTAAGCAACTAATTTCTAGAGTTTACTTGAAAAATGTAAACCTGTTAATTTTAGCTAAGCAAGATAGAATTAAGGATGTAAATCTGCTGCCAAAACAAGGATACAATATGATTCAAAATTTAGTGGAAATAACTTTTTAATTAGTCATTTAGTCAGTATTATAAGCATCCTCTGTGTCTCAGACCTTGTGTTAAGTAACTCAGGCATGCTGACATACATCAGGCGTGGGTTTGGCCTCTTTATAATATACAGTCATATGTCACTTAACAATGAAGATGGGTTCTGAGAAATGCATCATTAAGCAATTTTGACATTGTGTGAACATCATAGAATGTATTTACACAAACTGAGATGGTATAGCCTACTACAAACCCAGGCTGTATAGTATAGCCCATTGCTCCTAGTCTACAGACCCATTCAGCATGTTGCTGTACTGAATACTATAGGCAATTGGAACACAGTAGTAAGTATTTGTGTATCTAAACACATCTAAACAGAAAAGGTACAATAAAAATGGTAAAAGGATTAAAAATGGTACACCTGTGTAGGGCACTTACTATGACTGCAGCTTATAGGACTGGAGTTGCTCTGGGTCCGTTGGTGAGTGCACCTACTGATGAATGAACATGAAGGCCTAGGACACTGCTGTACACTACTGTAGACTTCATAAACCCCGTATCCTTAGGCTATATTCATTGATAGAGACATTTTTCTTTCTTCAATAATAAATTAACCTTTGATTACTATCACTTTTTTACTTCATAAATGTTTTAATTTTTTAACTTTTTGATCTTGTAATAACATAACTGAAAATACAAACATTGCATAGCTGTTCAAAAACATTTTCTTTATATCCTTATTCTATAATCTTATTTCTGTTTTTTAGATTTTTTTACCTTTTTAAACTTTTTTGTTAAAAATTAAGACACAGACACACACATTAGCCTAGGACTACACAGGATCAATATCATCAATATCACTGTCTTCCACCCGCCCATCTTGTCTCACTGGAAAGTCTTCAGGGGCAATAACACGCATGAAGCTGTCATCTCCTATGATAACAATGCCTTCTTCTGCAATACCTCCTGAAGGATCTTCCTGAGGCTGTTTTACAGTTAACTTCTTAAAATAAGTAGAATATACTCTAAAATCATGATTAAAAAAAGTATAGTAAGTACATAGTACATAAAAGTATAGTAAATACATTAAAAGTATAGTAAATACATAAACTACATAAAAGTATATATAGTAAATACATCAATATAGATATGATAAAAAGTATAGTAAATACATAAAAGTGTAGTAACTACATAACTGGTTTTTGTATTTACTAAACTGGTTATTATAAGTAGAATAGACTCTAAAATATTGATAAAAAGTATAGTAAATACATATAATAAGATCAAGTATTATGTACTATGCATAACTGTATGTGCTATACTTTTATACAGCTGAGATTATAGTAGGTTTATTTACCCTGCATCACCACAAGCATGTGAGTATGCATTGTGCTATGATGTTACCATTGCTGTGACATCACTAGGTGATAGGAATTTATTAGCTGCATGATAATGTTATGGGGCCACTGTCATATTTGCAGTCTGTCATTTGCTGAAACATCATTGTGCAGAGCACGACTCTGTATTAAAGGTGATAAGAAAAGCACACAAATAATATACCACAGGTAGAAAATGATTGTAATATGAGACAGTAAAATAAAGTATTATAGAAGTTTACAGGAGGAAGACATTATTTCTGTGAAGATTAGAGAAATTGGCACATAGGAAGTAGCATTGAAGGCAGAGTAGATTTGGGACATGTGAACATAGGGGAGTTCCAGATGAGGGAGGGACATGGGAAATAAGTGATTAAGTAGGAACACAGTTGTGGGAAATGGAGCAGGGGGAAGAAGTCTGGAAGGGCAGGTGGGCGCAGGGTAGAAAGTCCTTGAATGCCAGTGTTAGGAATTTAGAATTCTCTGAAGACACTTGGGAGCCACTGAAAGGTTTTGAGCCTGCTGGTTGTAAATGGGAGGGTGGTGTGCTTAGGTGTGTGCTTGGAGGAGGTTAATCAGGTAGTAAAACAGAGGGTGGCTTTAGTAGGGAGAAAGCCACAGCAGCACAGACAACAGGCAACTAAAGCAGTCACACCAGGTGAAAGCTAATGTGGGTCTAAGGTTGATTTAGGAGGAATGGAGAGTCAGGAATGGATCTAAGGGTGAGGTAGGAGAAATGAATGGATGGATATAGGTAGGATTTTACAGTTAAATCAGTAAGACCTCTCAATTTATTGCAAGTGAGAAGCATGAGAGAAGGAAACATTTTGAAAATGGAGCTGAGGTTTTAAACCAGATTAACTGGAGGGTCAAAGGAAGGAACAGAGATGGAGTAGATTTATATGGGAAAATATGAGCTTGCTTTGATGATACTGAATTTGCAGTGCTAAAATTTATGATGTAGACTTGCAGTTCTTGTGGTTAAAAGTGGAAGACAAGTGTTGAGACAAGCCAAAGGTTGCGACAAAGGCGTAGAAACCATCCACCTTGTCAAATGGGCTCTCATCCTTTTCAAAGTGGAGCCATGCCATGTAGAGCAGACACTGCAAGCTTGATGGGAATGAGGCATATCTGGCTCAAAAGCATGTTTATTTGTGTGTTTTTAAAAGTGTAAATATTGAACCAACATTTTAAAATCAGGAAATTATACTTAAAAAGCATTGATTTCTGGCTTCCGTTTTAAAAATCAAAATTGCGCTTTAAAGTTAGCGCAATTAAAAAATCATATCACTATGATTTTTAAAAATCAAAAGATGTGATTATAAAAGTTTTTTACAATTTTAAAATAAATAAATAAGATGTGACTAACTATGAACTCACATTGCCACATGACAACAGCTAGAGCTGAACAGAGACTGCCCCCTTGAGATCCTGGATGAATTCTCGAACTCACCACAGTACTCACCACTTCCCCTCATCTCCTAAGGCTTTAATTGAAAGTCAGTTACTAAATCTATAGAGAAAAAAAAAATAGGTTAATGGTTGCCAAGAGCTGGAGGTGGGCAGGGAATGAGGTGTTGGGGACTGATGGCCAGTGGGTGTGGGATTTCTTTTTAGGGGTTTGAAATGTTCTAAAGTTAATTGTGGTAATGGCTGAACATCTCTGTGAATATAGAAAAAGCTGCTGAACTGTACACTTGAAATTGGAGGAGGTATGATAGCAAATTATCTCAATAGAGCTGTTTTTCTAAAATGCAAATATAGTTGCTATTGCCCTTGCAGTGTTGATTTTCTTATAGTAGAAAATATTTTTCTATAAGTCTATTTCTATCAAAAAGGGGAAAATGAAAAGTTAGACTGAGAGGGTTGTGAATTTCAAGAGAAATGGTAAAGACTATATCTCTTAGTGGGGGTGAAGAAGTTCTACATGTTAATATGCAAGCACTTGGCCTCTTTACTAATGTACATTATTTTCCTGGATACTGAAAGCATCTGGTATTAGACAAGAAAAAATGTGGTCATGCCCCACTCCCTAAGGTCCACCCACAACTAAGAAGAAAGAGAAAACAAAGGCAGAAAAAGGAAAGGAGTAATCAACATGGTAAAAGGAGAAGCAGAAGAGGCCAGTAGATTGGATGCCAAGGAAGGGGGAAGCTTTATCAACTGCTGACAAGAGGTCAAGGAGGATGAGGCCAGGGAAGTCAGGAGGTCATGGGAGACCATCCAGTGAGGAGGCTGAGAGAGGTGAAGCCAGAGAGAGATGCAGAGGCAGCTGACAAAGTGCTCAGAGTGCATTGTTTAGGAGATAGTATTTAATCTCAGGCATGAAGGACTACTGAAGGCATTTTAAGTAGGGGAATGATGTGATCAGATCGGAACAATCTAGATTATTTGTTTTCACATTAATTTGTGCATATTTTGAATTGTGTGCATAATGAACTGAGGTTACCCCAAATTTTATTCTTTCTTACACTAAATTCTCTTTCAATCTGATATCCCCAGGCTTGTTGAGACCTTGGTTATTGATTTCCATCTCATTCATTCCTGTTCCTGCTTGAACCAGGAAATAGATATATATGGTTGGTGTTATCTGACCCAGGGGTTCTCAACTTCAGCACTGCTGTATTTTGGGCTGGATAATTCTTTGTTGTAGGATGCTGTCCTATGCATTATAAAATGGTTAGCAGCATCACCAGCCTCTACCCTCTAGATGCCAGTAACACTGCGAGTTAGACATTGCCAATAAAATCACCCTCCAGCCAAGAACCACTGAACTACATTTGTCTGTTGCAGCATTTGGGCCCAGGTGCTTAAGGCCATGTGCAGTTAGTAGACCACCCTGAAAGGTGTCTGCCCTGGAAAAAAAAAGACCAATTCCTACTCCACACTGAGGCGTACAAATCAGATGATGTAGTAAGGGGACAACGGATGACACATTCAAGGCCTCATTTTGTTTTAGCTAATTCAGTGGACTTCAACCTCTATGTAGTCTCCTCATAGAAAAAAGATCGCATCTGGAGGCAACAAGGCACACTAAATGTCCAACTGTGCCCTCCTAAGGTTAGGATTCCTGTCATGGCCTAGGGCCAAAGTTGGTTCAGAGGAGGCCTTGGGCACAGGGCACAGGGGTTCAGAGGAGGCCTCGGGCACAGGGCACAGGGGTTCAGAGGAGGCCTTGGGATGTGCTGGACATGATAGTGGGAGCTGGCTTCTATGCAGCAGGACTTGTTGGCTTGCCTTCAAGGGGGAAGGAGCAGGTAGGGAACAGAAAGGGTTTTCTCATGGTGATATCAAGAAGGGTCAGTAAAGCTTTGGAGATGTAAGATGCAATTTGGAGGAGGCTAGGAACTCAGATAGAGTTTACTTCAGACCCTCTTCCTTATAGGAAAGTCTTAGAAGGTAAAGGAATGTTTCTCTTGGAATAGGGATGTCTAAAACAGCTTACCTATGAAATGCTGAGATCTTCTAGATTCCTTTTTTTGCGTTGTGTATACGGGGGGGTGGGAGGACCAGGGAATTTTACATGTATATGCCACCATTTCTATATTGATAGGGAAAATTGAGTTAAGACTCTTGTCTAGCTAAAAATGTCTAACAACTCTATTAAACTAAGACTATTTCATAACTGGTTCTTATTCTGTGGAGTAGCATTATGCCTTAGATATTGAATGGCTAGATTTACTAGTAGCAATGGCTCTGAGCTATCTTGCAATGCAACCTCTTTTTGATATATAACTCTGTTATTATTTGGCCCAGTGGTGGTCACTTTCACCAAGGCTGAAGGAAACCCCTGCTGGTTTTTAGTCTCATATTCCTTAACCCCTCTCCTACTTCACTGATTCCTCAAGTTCTGTGGTAATGAACTGAGCCTCCAAGTACTCTCTGGACTACTGGCAATGAGTAATGTCTGGACTTCATGTGAAATGCCATCTCAAGAAAGGGCATCTGAAAGCGTGCTTTTACCATTTCATTTCAGGCACTTCTGGATCCAGCTGTGTGATAGCCGCACTAGGAAATACCTGGAGTCACAGTGTGAATACCCGGCTGATCCTCCAGTACCTTGATTCAGAGAGAAGACAGGTGGGTGCTTTGACAGTATTCTCTGACTATGAAGGTCGGGGAATGAGATATACCAAGCAATCTGAGCGTCTTCTGAAAATGCTGGCCGCATTGTCTGTCCTGAGCCAGCAGCAGCTATTAGGGCCTAAAGAAACCAGCATTTCTGCTTGTCCCAACAACAGTTATAATAAAGTGGGGAGACAAGTCACACACAGGAAAAAACATAAGAATTGATCCCACAGAGTCAGCATTTCTCTGATATTTGTAAGTGACCAAGGACCACACCTCTAAGGGTATCCAATTCTCTATCTCTAAATGATCATTTCACTTAGATTGTATTTGTTGAGGACTAATTTGTATATGAATTAAATAATGATGATGCTTTTTCTTGAAGTATGTGTACTTTGAAAATCTTAGGCCAGCAGATGCTGCCAAGTGAATAAATTATTCCCCAGATACTAGGTACTTTTACATTAACGCATACACCTGTAGTGTAAAGTACTGAATGATGCTAGAAAGACCTCCAAATGGTTGGTCACTTTCTCAGAGTTCCCTATTTGTGGTTTCTATCCTGGCCAAAACTGAAAATCCTTCCCTTACATCCAGAAAGTTTACTTTCTACCTCCTTTTAAGTCTTCTGTCTTCATTCTTCATTCCAAAGAAAAGGACACCACTGTCTGACCTCTTTGGTAAAGCTTTGGTAAAATGTTTCATAATAAAAAAATTCTTTTTCCTAATGACTAACCTCAACTTTATCCTGCTGTGTGACCAGATTCAATCTAGTTTCTCCTAAAAGCAGGAGGAAGAAGACGGGTGATTATTTTGATTTTTTGGATAGGACAGAATTCAGAAGCCAGATTTGCCCACCTTGCTAAATATATATCAAATCCAGGCCATTTAGATACAGAGGCATGAAATGTCACACTGGTGATCCTTTCTGGAGAAAATGGCAGAAAAGCTGTTGTTGCCTTTACCTGCATTAGGTAAACTGGCTCTTTTTCAAGGAAGCAGGAATCATCAAAAACAGGCGTGAGCTATTGCCTGTTCTAGACATAATTTTCCAAACCAGAGAATTCTTCTTGGTTTGCTTTGGACTATGTAAATAATATTCCAGCTTGGTGATCACGTCAGCCATGTCCTGAGAAGATAGAGCTGCTTGTTTCTATTCAGGGAAACATTCTTGAGTTTTCAGGCCCTGGACTACTCATTACCTCAATGGCACCTTTTCCCTGAAGAGTCTGGTATCCTAGGTTCTGAAGCTGTTATTTCTCTTTTTAGTGGAACACATTCCAAAATATTCCTGGGGAATCTAATGACCTTTGGTAGTAAATCATGTTAAATAGCTGTGTTGCAGCTTTCAGGGATATCATTAAGGATTGTTGAACACACCTATGTAAACTTTATCAGAGGAAGCAAAATTCCTTGTGAATCAATGTTGAGTCATTCGTTTTCATGGATCCTTGATCCCACTCCTTGAAAACTTATAGTTTATCTCTGTTTCAGGTTTTAGATTTTAGAAGCCATTCTTACTGTTACACACGGAATTTATGATTTCATCTATTATATATGGTATCATGGGTTCAAGGCTCCCAAATCCTAGTTTTACTAATTCCAGTTAGAATTTATAAGTGAATAAAGAAATTAGAGCCATATTTTTACTTTTCTTTTGTTTTAATAAATTAACCAGTCAGTGTCAACAGGAAGTAGCTGGTAGGACAAATGCTATTTTTTATGTCTCTTTGGTGACTGGAGGATGTTGGTGGCTCTTGGCTTTTGGCTGATAAGGTCAAATGCAGGCCAGTGGTCATAAGGAGAACCAGGAGCAAAGTGTAGATGGATCAGTGACAGTTCATCAACTCCCATCCCATTAGATGGGTCAGTCATGTTATCTTAATTTACAAAAGACAACTTGTTACTATCATTACTAATCAATAAGAAGCAGACTTAAATGCCTTGGAATCATGTTTTCAAACAATAATTAGAAATTAATGTAAAATATGGCCAGTGTTAAAATGGCCAACCCAGGCAAAGAACATACATTTAATTAATCTATAGAAATATGCATGCCTTTGGGGACCAGTTGTTAAATTTGTGACCTAATAACTAGAATAAAGTTTGATATAGAAAAAACATGTCTCTGTCTAGTGACCTTATCTTGCCTTAGCAGAGGGTGTGCTTAGTGATTCCCTGAGTCTTTCCTGTGGTCTTATTTTATGAAAAACCATAGAAGCCATACGAAGCGAAGGCTTTTCTGGGATATGTGCATAAAACAGTACTTTAAAGCTAACCTTTAAGGTAATTGCACCAAGTAGTACTTTCTTATAACACCATTTAGTAGCAGAACGTGCCTAGATAATTCTAGGGTAGTAAGACCTCTGGGACACCAGCCACTTAGAGAAGATAACAGGTATAGTTTTTTGTTTTTTAGGGTTTTTTTTCCAATGCCCAAGCAGAGGCCACTACACCCAGGGATCAAGGTTATGGGATGAGGATTATATTTTATCCCGTTTCTATGACATTGAGCTCTACACCAGGGCTCTTGAATGTGAGGCTTAGTTTCAGATCACAGGCCTGGAAGGGGGTCAGGTCAAGCTGAGCAGACCTTCAAGCCGATTAACCCAAGAGCTGAATTGTGTTGTCTGAGGGAAGGAGTCCTCCCTGGCTGATTATTTTCTTTACACCCTGGAAACTTTGCAAAATTTTATAACCAAGAAAGAAATCTTATCAGGGCCACAAGCCAAGTTAATTTTCTTGCTTATTCTGCTTCAGTGTTTGCAAAAACTCTCTTAAGAAGCTGGAAAACATTTTCTTTTGGACTAATTTAGCTTTTTTTCCATTTGACTTTTATTTACTCTTTTCCTACTCTGCTTCAATCCTGCCCCACCCTTTTTGCAACATTTTTATTCTTACCAAAGACATGTTCTTAGAGTAGAATTAAAATGGCCTCTCCTACTTTTTGTAGTTGTTGTTGTTTTAAACCATCGAAAATATGTTTTGGTCTACCCCGTGCATGGTATGGGGATATAAAGAAGTAGAAGACTAGTTCCTGCCCTCGAGGTCCAAACAAACTAATACTGAGGTACTGTTACAAGGCAGTGTTTGATTTGTTGTCTAATGAGTGGTTAAAACAGTAACTGCTTTGACTCTAAAGGAAGGTAACATCATCAGAGGCATATTAAGTCTTTTCAGGAAAAGGTGAGACTTGAGTATTACCTTAAAATCAGTGATTCTCGGCAGGACGCAGTGGCTCATGCCTGTAATCCCAGCACTTTTGGGAGGCCAAGGTGGGTGAATCGCCTCAGGTCAGGAGTTCGAGACCAGCCTGACCAACATGGTAAAACCCCATCTCTACTAAAAAAAAAAAAAAAAAAAAAAAATAGCCAGGCGTGGTGGCGCATACCTGTAGTCCCAGCTACCCAGGAGGCTGAGGTAGGAGAATCACTTGAACCCAGGAGGCAAAGGTTACAGTGAGTAGAGAGTGTGCCACTGCACTCAAGCCTGGGTGACAGAGCAAGACTCTGTCTCAAAAAAAAAAAAAAAAAAAAAAAAAAAATCAGTGGTTCTCAAACCTGGCTGCACTTAAGGCTCATCACAGGAGCATTTATACCAATGCCAATGCCCCACCCTGACCAGTTAAATCAAAATCTCTGCCAGTAGAGCTGAGCATCAGTGTTTATTTTATTTGTAAAGCTCCCCCATGTGATTCTAATGTGCAGCCAAGGTTGGGAACCTCTGCCTTAAATAATAGATAAGATTCAGGTAGTCAGAAAGGGGAGGTGCTGGGGTAGAGTGAGCTGCAGCTGAAGAACAAACAGGAGGATAGGCTGCATCGTCAGAGGGCACAGGCTGGGTTTTGCCTTGTAACAAGAGCAGAGGGTTTGGGCACTCATTCATTTGACAAACCTTTATTTAATCACCTCTTCTCTGCTAGTCACTGTGTAACTAGTTGCGCTGGAGATTCAAGAAAACAAAAACAGGTAAGAGATGGTTGATACCCTCTGGTTGTTCACAGTCTACTTGAGGAAACAGATAAGCATGTAAACCGGACTTGCAGTAAGAGCACAGTGAATGAAGTAAGTCTAGAGGAGATGGGGGGTCCTGGCACTAAGGAAGGTTCTCTAGCGATGAATGAGGCAGAGCATGAGGCAGAGAGGAGTGGCCGAGGCCTTCACTTGGGAAACTCTTGCTATTACAAAGTGCCTTCTAGCGAGGGCTGGAAAAGCTAGAGTAAGGCTGGTTATACTTGAAAGAAGGAAGAAAAACTCGATAAAAATATTCACATTTATACAATTTCTCCTCAAATCCTCATGAAGTCTGGTCTTACAAACTACAAATGGGATTATATAAATTTTCAAGTGCCCTAGAAAGAGTAATGAAGTAAATGAATCCTGACTAAGCCTCACACCCGCTTGATGAAATAAATATTATGACTCTCTTATTTCAACAAATTGGAAAGAGGTCTTTTTTTCATATAGGAGGTTTATTTAAATGAACTTTCTAATAATATTTTCATTTCTATTTAGGAGGCACCCTGAAATTATGGGATGCTTGAGGGGCGAGCCTGAAGTACCTAGTAAATTGTTGACAGAACCAATATCACTCAAGCTGCTGATCCACACTTGAATCTGTAGGCTTTTCTCAAAGTCCTAGTTTTGCATCTTAGAAGTATTGCATCTTGGAAGTATTTCTTTGCATCTTGGAAATATTCAATGTTTCCTTTCTGGTGATAGGATTCTCAGTGTCCATTTTATATTTTCGAAGACTCAAATATCATCACTGTGAAGACTTCCCTGACACCAGCTGTGATCCGTCCCTCTTCCCTCTGGCCCACACTTGCACCTGGCCCTTGTCTCTATTCTTAGACTTCTGAGCCCTGAATTATGAGCCCCTTGAGGTCTATAACTGAATTTATCTGCATACCCTCAAATGTAAGGGCAGTGCTTGACACTTACACAGTAGATACATTTATTTTGAAAGAGAGAGAG
Organism: Homo sapiens; assembly: GCF_000001405.40. NCBI lineage: Eukaryota > Metazoa > Chordata > Mammalia > Primates > Hominidae > Homo > Homo sapiens. The sequence continues at coordinate 68,416,492 of NC_000014.9, forward strand.
AAAGCAAGAAAAAGAAATGCACTCCCTGTAGCTACTCGTGAACCCAGTCTGAAGGACGAAGGACTGCTTATTTAGAATCATTCTTCCGCATAGAAATTGAGTTTTACAATTTAACCATTCCTTTAAAATGTTAGTAATTGTCGGTTTAAAATGTTAGCATCAAACCTTGACAATTATAAGCAGATACTTAAATAGAAATACTGTAAGAATACTGAAGATAGGAATACTTTTTGCAGAACCAGCCTGCTGTAGTCTATGGGAGGATGGGAGTCAGGCTTCCCCTGGAATCTTATGGGATAGCCTTTGTGTAAGCAAGCCAGAACCCTAAACACAGACCCAGGCTGAGGGAGAGAAGGGTTCTGCAGCTGCTTTCAGGGACCAGATAGCATGAGGAGGGTAGGAAATCTTTGTTGCTATCTTCTACAAGTCTTAACTTCTCCTCTCTGTGGTTGGACAGGCTTAATGAAAGACTGAATAACCAAAGAAAAGTTGATAAATTTTTTTTCCCAGATAAGCTAAAGGGTAGATGTGGGGCAGCATGTCAGGCTTATATTCATATTCACCCAAAGAAAGATATCGAGGATGATGTTTTACCTGATGTAAGTCATAGTTGTATATCTCCCTACTCCTAGATTCCTCCAAAGAAGGATTCAGGCTTAGTTGCCCTAACTCAAAAGGAACCTCTCTCCCTTGGTGGCATGGTTCCAGGTCGCTGTACTTGTTCTCTTGTTTTCTACTCCAGCTCACCTGCTGTTTTTAGGCAAGGAGGATTATGTGAGTATGTGTGTGTGTGACTAGATCCCGCCAGAGGAGAAGTTCGGCTGTGCTGCAGGGGTAGATGAAAACTCTTTTTAAGCATAAATACCTATAGAAATAGCAAAGGGAACATAAAATCCAGTCAAGTACATTATCTTGGGTATAAATGTCTCCTCCCTTTCCAGAGCTGCTCAAGTGTGAAATCCAAGCCCCTGCCCACACTCTTGCAACAGAAGTGCTCTAACAGGTATTAAGTGGATTGGGGAAATAAATAAAAGGGGAACCCAGAATGGTGGCATTAAAAGAATCCCTTTTTTCAGGCAATGTATTGGCACTAGGCACTAGGCAAATGTATTAAAATCTGAGGAAATCCTACGGAAAGTGTGTGGTCCCAGTGAATGAATACAATGAGCTGCTACTCACAGTGCAGGGACTGAGAAAGGGCAACACAGACACCCAAGTGGTCATCTCCCATTTCCATCTCCACATTTGAGATAAGAATACCTGTATCTTTCCTACCACCCACAAACAAACAAGCAAACCATGGGACTCCCTTTGAAAAAAGTCAATATATCCAAGAAATCACTATTTCTGAATGAGCTCAAGTAGAGAGAACTTTCTCTTAAGAGGGTTCCGCTGGAAATTGCCAGCTGAAAATACACAGGTACAATGACTCCCACGCTGGAGATGAAGGGTCCCCTTTCCCATGCTTTGACCACGATAGACCGTGTACCTTTGCTAAGGTGGAGAGTCAGTCTTTCCTAGGAGATTTTGAGCCAAATAAAATAAAAACAAAACACGGGTGAGAGAACCACCATGATGTTTTAAAAGGCGAAAGATTTACGCGATTTGAAGAGAAACCAGAGTATACCACCATGATGTTTTAAACATCATTTTTTATCAAATATAGTTACAAAATTAACCGTTACCACCATTTCAAAAAGGTAAAGGCACTTTAACACCAAAAAGTAGAAAGGACATATCTAGAAGGAAGAATACATGTATTGATATATTTAAACTGAAAACATTTCTTTTTATGGCAGACTTAGCACATGTCCTTACTTCTCTCTTTGAGGCGCATGAGCTCTGACCATCACAGGACAAATGACTGGTCCTCTTACAGAGCATGTAGGTGGTTTACCCTTTAATGAGCCACTCATTTCACTAGCATTTTATCACCTCTGTTGTTCTCCTCCAGCTCTGACTTATTTTATTTTTATATGCTGTTTGTCTGGTACCAATTCCCCTTGTGCAGTGACCCTGCCTGCTCTAACTTGCTAAGTAAACTAGGCCAAATACCTGGGCAGGAGATTTCTAGAGAAATCTGAGCAGTTGCAGGAAGTAGAAGAGACACAGGGCTTTGGAACCAAATTGAAGACCCTGTTGTCTGGCTTGGGAAGAAAAATATTTTCAGTTGGGAAACAACATCGGAAACAGCTATGAGATCTCTTGGACAAGGCGCTGCCCTGAAAGTCAAGGACCTTGAAATTTATTTGGCTCATTTGAGAATGAAGATTGGACAGGATGTTTTATTTTAGCCTTAGCTGGTTAGCTGTGAGTGAGAAGAAAATGGGCAACCTCATTGGCTAGGGAAAGTAAAAAGGAAAGAAGGGTTCAATACCTGCCTAAACTATGAACTGATTTACAAATGAATCAGCACTTTCACTAGAACAAAAAGCATTTAGAATATGACAGTGCCCATCTGAGATACAGTCTAGAGATCATCTTCTCCAGTGAGTCTCAAGTACAGTAAATTTAAAAATCCCAGGTGTTTGTGAACAATGAAGATCCCAGGCCCCATCCCCAGTGCTGTATTCAGTGAGGGCAGTGCCAAGCCTAGGATCTGCAGTTTTTAGCAAGCACTTTGGGTGATTCTTACATGGGTGTTCTTCAGTTTCATACTCCATTCTAGCCCCTTTGTTTTACAGATGGCGGTAAGCAATTGATATTAACTAATTTATTCAGGGTCACACAACTAGTAGGTAGCAGAAATGGAACAGAAATTCAATTCTTTCAATTCTGAATGTGTTGCTATTTTCACTTTACTCTGGTGACTTTTAGTAGATAGATTCTAGGCAAAAAAGTCCCCAAACCCAATCAAATTATTGGGTTTGCAGGTGATATATTTATATCTCTCATGACTTTCAGTGGTTTATAAAGAGCTCCTAAAGAACTGTGCAGGAAAAAAAAAAAATTTAAGCACCATCTCACCCCACATTGCAATCAATTACAAGATAAAAGTCATCTTTTAAATTCTTGAACCCAAATCTGAATATGTGGCTTTTTCCAAGTTAAACTTCACAGTGAGCATGAACTCCCCAGTCAAGTGACTTTCCTTATAGACAACATCCTGCCACAGGGCTGGCTATGCTACCGCTCTCCTACAGACAGCCATTTGTGCTCATGGACATCTCCCTTAAATCCTGGCTCCCTAGTCCCCATCTTCATAGGCTAAAGGTGTGTAATGGGAGAACCAACTTTGTCTGATCTTGCGAGCATGGGAGCTTTTTGGTTATCACATTTTTGAGTCAGTCAATCTTTATTTTGAAAAAGCAGGGCAGGACAGAGGGAGGAAGAGAGGCTGAGGGCAGGCAGCAGCCTGTGTGGGAACCCATTTCCTGCCATCCTAGGGTCCCATAGTTGATAATGGACAACATCCTTGCTTGGTTCTTGTGCACCAGGTGATACTAATTTAAATTCCTCTTTATTTTCTAGTGATGGAAAGGAGTTAGCCTTTACTGAGTACCTATGAGTTTGCAGGGATCATTTTTGACCCTTTGTGTTTTATTTCCATCAATTCCTCCAATAACCCTTCAGCATAGATCTGATCATCTCTATTTTTACAAATAGAAGAACTTAGCTGATAACATAAATAACTCATATTCAGTGATAGCATCAATATTTGAAACCAAGTTTGTATAGTTCCAGACCCTCAGTTCTTTTTCCTGTACCATGTGCTCTGAGATGTAAGATGGTGGTTGTGTTACCGGAAAGGGATCTCAATCCAGACCCCAAGAGAGGGTTCTTGGACCTCATGCAAGAAAGAATTTGGGGTGAGTCCATAAAGAGTCTACTTTGTGCCAGAGTTCATAAAGTGAAAGCAAGTTTATTAAGAAAGTAAAGGAATAAAGTATGGCTACTCCACAGCACAGCAACCCGAAGAGCTGCTGGCTCGCTATTTTTATGGGTTTTTTTTTTATTATATGCTAAACAAGAAGTGGATTATTCATGAGTTTTCCTGTAAAGAGGTGGGCAATTCCCAGAACTGGGCGTTCCTCCCCTTTTTAGACCATATACGGTAACTTCCTGATGTTGTCATGCCATTTGTAAACTGTCATGATGTTGGTGGGAGTGTCTTTTAACATGCTAATGCATTATAATTAGCGTATAATGAGCAGTGAGGACACCAGAGATCATGTTCATCATCATCTTGGATTGGTGGGCTTTGGCCAACTTCTTTACTGCAACCTGCTTTATCAGCAATGTCTTTGTGACCTGTATCTTTTCTGACCTCCTATCTCATGCTGTGACTTGGAATGCCTAACCTCCTGGGAATACAGACCAATAGGTCTCAGCCTTATTTTTACAGCTTGTTTTCAAGACAGAGTCACTCTGGTTCAAATGCCTCTGACAGTTATCACTGTTTTAATTTAGGAATAAAATGAGGTGCTAGAAAAGGAGGCCTTGACTTGGTGATGATTCTGCTGGGTTGCAATGAATGGTCCTTATTATCTTCCTCTCTGACTTTCCTGAACGATGATTAGACCTAGAATGTCATTTGGTTTACCTGTAAAACTTAGTGAGTTATGTATTAGGATAGCCCCTCCCACCCTGGGGCAGGAACATGAAAGCAGTGAGATGAGGAGCTTCTTCTTGCTTTTTTTCTCTTGCTCTAGGCATTATTTGACTTTGAAATACTCCTGGCATTTTCCTGTGATTCTGAAGTGCCCCTTCCTCTGCTTGTGTGTGTGAGATTTGAAAGCTTATCACACATGTGGCTAAAGCAGGTCCAGCTTGGAGCATTCGTCTTCTGGCTGCTGTTGCTGGGGGAGTATCCCTGCTGTGAGATGCTACGCCGCCTGAGCCTGTGGCCTCTGCTTATCTCCTGGGGTGGCTGTGGCTGTGAGGTGCACAGCATGGTACAATGCTAGTTTTCATTTCAAGTCCTTTCTTGATGTCACTGATGGGTGCAATGAGTGGAGTGGGGGGACCTCAGGCCCTTCCAAATTCTTTCTTTTTTGTTGTTGTTATTTAGTTTTTATTTCATAATCATAAACTTAACTCTGCAATCCATCTAGGCATGGGAGGGAACAAGGAAAACATGGAACCCAAAGGGAACTGCAGCGAGAGCACAAAGATTCTAGGATACTGCGAGCAAACGGGGTGGAGGGGTGCTCTCCTGAGCTACGGAAGGAATGGTCTGGTGGTTAAGATAAAACACAAGTCAAACTTATTCGAGTTGTCCACAGTCAGCAATGGTGATCTTCTTGCTGGTCTTGCCATTCCTGGACCCAAAGCACTCCATGCCTCCACAATATTCGTGCCTTCTTTCACTTTGCCAAAGAGCACGTGCTTGCCATCCAACCACTCAGTCTTGGCAGTGCAGATGAAAAACTGGGAACCATTTGTGTTGGGTCCAGCATTTGCCATGGACAAGATGCCAGGACCTGTATGCTTTAGGATGAAGTTCTCATTTTCAAATTTCTCCGTGTAGATGGACTTGCCACCAGTGCCATTATGGTGACTTCACAGTCACCACCCTGACACATAAACCCTGGAATAATTCTGTGAAAGCAGGAAACCTTATAACCAAATCCTTTCTCTCCAGTGCTCGGAGCACGAAAATTTTCTGCTGTCTTTGGGATCTTGTCTGCAAACAGCTCGAAGGAGACATGGCCCAAGGGCTCGCTGTCGACGGCAAATTCAAAGAACATGGTGGGGTTGACCATGGCTAATAGTACACGGTTTTCCTCAGCGGTGGCGTCCGCAGAGCACCCAAATTCTTAATAGCTTATAAAATTAGGGGTAGAGGAGGTTGGGTGCGGCAGCTCACGCCTGTAATCCCAGCACTTTGGGAGGCCGAGGCAGGTGGATCACGAGGTCAGGAGTTTGAGCCCAGCCTGGCCAAGGTGGTGAAACCCCGTCTCTACTAAAAATACAAAAATTAGCCAAGTATGGTGGCAGACACCTGTAATCCCAGCTACTTGGGAGGCTGAGGCAGGGAATTGCTTGAACCCGGGAGGTGGAAGTTGCAGTGAGCCAAGATCGCACCACTGCACTCCAGCCTGGGTGACATGGCGAGTCTCCATCTCAAAAAAAAAAAAAAAAAAATTAGGGGTAGAGGAATGGGAAGCAGACAAAAGGTTTACATTGTGGAGGTTTGAGGAGAAATGAATCAAATAAGTCTCTAGCATTCTGTTTGACTTTATGTTAGTCTGATTATGTTACCATAACATTTTATGATATGCTACACATTATCTGATGGGTGATTAATTTTCAAATGTAATACAAATCATTGAGCTTTCCTGATTTCTGCCGCTGTAAATAATTTGGAATTTTCAGTTACTGCAAAGTTGACATAGTCACTCCTTCCTTCCTGTAACCTTCACCTTACCTTGTTGTCCCCTCCCTGCCCCCAAGCTTCCCTGGATTTTTAAATCAGCCAGTGGCTCCTGGCAACTGTCTTAGAATGCTTGAAGCCGAGGTTTTTTTTCACTGAGGGTCTCTTTCTAGAAGTTTCTCTTCTTACCTTGGCAGAGCTTAAGAGTTCTTGCATCTCAGACAAAGACTGTGTGTGCTTGACTGTTGGACATTCATTTTATTGTTACAAAGGGACCATGATTTTGAGAACACCTTTGGAGAGCCCAGCTCCCATGGTTGTATCCCACTGCCCATTTTCTGAATCCTCAACTCAGAATTGGCAATGAAAGAGTGAACTGGGATTATGATCTGTGATTCTCTAACAGAATTCTCTGAGAGTCAAACTCCAGAAAGAGGCTCATCTTTACAAACCTTAAAGAATTAGAGCTAAGGCACCTGGTATGTCTGGGAGGGATTGAAAACAATCCCCCCAAAGCCCCAGCGGCCCTGGCTCTCTGGTTGCTATGCTGAGTTGATTCATCCATTTATTGAGAGTCTACTTTGTACCAGTTATTCTGCTAAGTGCTTTGTGGGCATTTTCTTTTTCAAGCCTCACGAAAACTCTGAGGTGGGTATTACTAGATATACTTTACAATTGGAGCACATTGAACGTTATGGAGTTTGAAAATTTTGCTCTAAATCACATGGTTCTAAGGGGCAAAGCCAGAACTTTCCTTTTCCTTTGCCTCTCCCTCCCCCATCACATACATACACTCCCTCTTTTATATCCCTAGGTTCTTAACCTTTATTCTACAATGAGTACCATGTTCATGTAAGATTATTCATGCATGTTACTTGGAATTAATTGCAGAACAATTTTTTTTCAACCCCTGTGGTGTGGTCACCTTCAATACTTATACTTGGTGGAATACTCCCTTCAAAGAGTGGAATGATCCATTGCTTTGAGAGAGCTTTTTCGATCTCTGTTAAGTAATGATTAGTTATTTCCTTATAACTGTGTGGCTCTGTGTGGCAACAGAACACTTTTGAGGAAGAATAAACTCTACAGGACATGGTCTTCTGAATCTCACCATTCAATCAGGGGAAGTTCTGGTTCTTCTTCTCTGTTCCAAGTACTAGCCTTTCCAGCCAGCACCTTTTCTGTGCTCTGGGTTTGGCTTCAGTGTTCTGTCATTTATCGTCAAAGAAGAAAGAGAAGTCTCTGTGGCATCTTGCCCACAGTGGGGATGGACCTGTGCTCACCTCTCTCCTCCAGTAAGAACCTAAGGGCCCAGGAGGTATAGTGGTGCCTCCCATAGATACTTCCCTTCCCTCATGGATGATACAGAATGACATATAAATGATATCTATTTCTTCATTTTTTTCCTTGCAAAGTCACTTTTCCACATACTAATCCATTTCACGGTTTATCTTTAAATCCTTTCTCAGTTGTCTATTCTTCTCTGAAAGTATTATCCCAGCATCCTAATGAAGATTCCATCAATGTCTAGTAAAATGACAAAACTCTCTAGCAGTACTATGTTTTGTTTTTGGTTTTGGTTTGTTTGTTTTGTTTTTACTGGTGCCTCTTTATAATAAAAAGATTTGGTGGCTCCAGCACAGCTTCTAACCCTTCAACAGCTGTGCCTATACCAAGCTGTTCTCTCTTATTTGTAACTATTTATGCAGTGTTCTCTCCAGATATACTGTTCCATACTGACCTGCATTGGAATGTTAGGCTCTTCTTTGTGACTGATCTCTATTTCCTACTTGTGACTCCGTTCTGACACTACCTTTGCCTTTTTATACCATCCTCCCTACTTTTCTCATGTAGATTTGCTAAAAGATCCCCATGACTCCAAGATCCCTGTAACTGGCTCTGCTGAGTCTGTCAGCATTTGATCCCTTTGACTTGAGGAGGCCAGTCCTTCTCAGGAACCACCTGTAATCTCTTTTTTTTCCTTAGAGACAGGGTCTTGCTGTGTCGCCCAGGCTGGAATACAGTGGCATGATCATAACTCACTGCAGCCTTGAACTCCTGAGCTCAAGCAATTCTTCCACCTTAGCCTCCCAAGTAGCTTGGACTACAGGCACATACCACCACACCTGGCTATTTTTAAAATTTTATGTAGAGATGGGGTCTTGCTGTGTTGCCCAGGCTGGGCTTGAATTCCTGGTTTCATGTAATCCTCCTGCCTCAGTCATCCAAAGGGCTGAGATTACAGGCATGAGCCACAGCACCTGGCCTATACCTATAATCTCAGTTTGAATTAAACAGTAGTCTCTAGGACCCCTCTGTGTAGGGGATCTTGTTACATGTTGTGGTTGTTCAAAGGCCAAGTATTTTCAAAGAAAACCCACTGAGATAAGTTGGATGAGTGACTGCCATAGCAGTCAATATGACACCTTTGTCACTTTTTTTCATATCCTAATAGTCTAATATTTTTCCTCAAGAAAAGGTATATGCTGCGGTTTGAATGTGTCTCCAAAACAGCATACTTAAGTAGTAGTTTACTTAATGGCCATTATAAACTATTAAAAGGTAGGACCTGTAAGAGGTGATCAGCCCATGAGGGCCCTGCCCTCATGAATGATTAATGCCATTATCAAGAGAAGTGGGTTTGTTATTGCAGGAGTAGGTTCTTTATAAGAAGACAAGTTCAGCCCCCATTTGTCTCTCTGTCACCCTCTCTTTGCCCTTCCACCATGCAATGATGCAGCAAGAAGGCCCTCACCAGATGCTGGCCCCTTGATTTTGGACTTAGCCCCCAGAACTGTGAAAAATAAATTTCTGTTCATTGTAAATTATCTAGTCTGTGGTATTTGGTTATACCAGGACAAAATGGACTAAGACAGAAGATTGGTACTAGGAGTGTGGTGATTGTTATAATAAATACCTGAAAATATGGAAGTGGCTTTGGTATTGGGTGATGGGTAAAGGCTGGAAGAATCTGGAGTAGCAGGCTAACAAAAGCTTAGATTGCTATAAATGGAGTATTAACAGTAATTCTGGAGGACTCAGAAGAAGAGAATGAGAAACTTCTTAGAGATTACATAAGTGATTGTGATCAGAATGTTAGTAGAAATAGAGACAGTAAAGGCCATTCTTTTTCTTTCTTTCTTTCTTTCTTTCTTTCTTTCTTTCTTTCTTCCTTCCTTCCTTCCTTCCTTCCTTCCTTCCTTTCTTTCTTTCTTTCTTTCTCTCTTTCTTTCTCTCTTTCTCTCTCTCTCTCTTTCTTTCTTTCTTTTTTTGTTTTTGAGATGGAGTTTCACTCTTGTTGCCTGGGCTGGAGTGCAATGGCACGATCTCGGCTCACCACAACCTCCGCCTCCCAGGCTCAAGCAATTCTCCCACCTCAGCCTCCCGAGTAGCTGGGATTACAGGCGCCCACCACCACACCTGGCTAATTTTGTATTTTTTTTTTTTTGGTAGAGACGGGGTTTCTCTATGTTGGTCAGGCTGCTTTCGAACTCCCGACCTCAGGTGATCCACCCACCTCAGCCTCCCAAAGTGCTGGGATTACAGGCGTGAGCCACCGGGCCTGGTCAGTAAAGGCCATTCTGATGAGGTATCAGACAGAAGAGATGAATATCTTATTGGAAACTGAAGTAAAGGCCATGATTGTTATGAAGTGGCAAACAACTTGGTTGAATTGCATCCACGCCTTGAGGTCTTGTGAAAAGCAGAATTTAAGAGCAATGAACTAGGATATCTGGTAGAAGAAATTTTAAACCATGACATCGAAGAACTGTGCGGCTTCTTTTAACTGCATACAGTAAAATGAGAGAAGAGAGAAATAATTTAAAGATGGGATCTATAATTAAAAGGGATCTGAAGGATTCTCAGCCTGGTTGCCTGGTAGAGAAAGAAAGAGAGCATTTTCTGGAGAGGAAATGTGTGGCTAAGCAACCATTTGATAAGGAGATTAGTATGAATAGAAGAAAGCCAGATACTATTCATCAAGACAATGGGAGAATGACCCCGAGGGGATTTTGGAGATTTTTAAGGCTGCCCCTCCCATCACAATCCCGGAGCTCTAGGAGGGCAGATGGTTTCCAGGGACAGACCCAGGGTACCATCCACAGGCTGACTTTCCAGGGCCACTCAGGACGCTACCTTCTGCATCCCAGAGGAGCATTTCTCTGCCACCCAGTCATAGCTCAAGCAGGCCCAGGTGTGACTCATGTTGCCACTCTAGAGGCACGAGTAGTAAGCCTTGGTGGTGCCCACATAGTGCTAATTCTGCAGGCATGCAGAATGTATGAGCTCTTAGGCCATGGTAGCCTCCACCTAGATTTGAAAGGATATATTGGATAGCCTGGACATCCAGGCAGAAATTTATCACAGGGGCAGAGCCATGGCAGAGAGCCCCATCTAGGGCAATGCTTACTGGAACTGTGGGGTTGCAGCTGCCACAGGGAGTCCCCTCTACACCTAGTATAGGTGTCATGGCAGGGTCACTTGAGACTCCAGAACTGCAGAGCAACCAATGTGCAGCCCCAGCCTCGGACAGCTGAAGCAGCAAGACTAACCCGTAAGAGCTGCTGTGAGGGTGAGACTAGCAAAGCCATGGGGTTGGAGCTTCCCAAGGTCTTCTGGGTACAACCCCTGCCTTAGTGTGAACAGAAGGTGGAAATGGAGTAAAAGGAGGTTATTCTGGAGCCTTATTTGAGGTTGTTTTCCCTGTTGAGTTTTGGACTAACTTGGGATCAGTTACTCCTTTCTTTTTTATTTCTCCCTTTTGGAATGGGAATGTCTATCCTATGCCTTTCCTATCATTGTATTTTGGAGGCACATAACTTGTTTAATTTTATAGGCTCACAACTAACAGGGAATTTGCTTTAGGATGAATCATGCCTTGAGTCTCACTCATATATGATTTAGATGAGACTCTGGACTTTGGACTTTTAAGTTGATGCTAGAATGAGTTAACACTTTGCAGCTATTGGGATGGAATAATGTATTTATATGTGAGAAGGACATGAATTTGGGGGGCTGGGGCCAGAATGCTATGGTTTGAACATGTCCCAAAAAATACATGTGTTGGAAACTTAATGACCATTGTGATAGTATTAAGAGGTGGGATCTTTAAGAATTGATTTAGGCCATAAGAGCTCATCTGTCATGAATGGATTAATGCTGTTATTGTGAAAGTGAGTTTGTTATCACAGGAGTGAGTTCCTTATAAAAATTTGAGTTTTGTTTCTTTTTCACCTTCTCTTTGCCCTTCCACCATGGGATGATGCAGCAAAAAGGCCATGGCAAGATGATGTCCTCTCAATCTTGGACTTTCCAGCATACAGGACTATGAGAAATAAATTTCTGTTCATTATAAATTACCCAGTCTGTGGTATTCAGTTATAGCAGCACAAAATGGACTAAGACAATATGTATTACAACTTAAAATATTTAGTAATAAATCTTCTAGAGACTGTAATTGTAATAATAATCCTTTGTGTGTCCTCTAGCCACAGACACAATCCTCTTCTAACTCTTCCAATTTTTTTGCATTTTAAATTTTTTTTAATTTTTACTTTTTATTGTGGTAAGACCACTTAACATGAGATCTATCCTTTTGACAAACAGTCTAAGAACACAGTACCTTATTAACTGTATGCACATTGTCATACAGCAGATGTCTGGAACTTATTCGCATTGCATAACTGAAACGGTGTATCCATTGAAAGAGAACTCCCCATTTTCCACTTCTCCCAATCCCTGGAAATCATCATTCATCATTCTACTCTGTTTCTATCTTTTTGACTATTTTAGATACCTCGTAAGTGGACTCATATAATATTCGTTTTCTATGACTGGCTTATGTCACCTAGCATAATGTCCCCCAGGTTCATCCATGTTGCATATGGCAGGATTTTCTTTATATATATATATATATATATATATATATATATATATATATATATATATATATATATAATTATTATACTTTAAGTTCTAGGGTACATGTGCACAAGGTGCAGGTTTGTTACATATGTATACATGTGCCATGTTGGTGTGCTGCACCCATTAACTCGTCATTTACATTAGGTATATCTCCTAATGCTGTCCCTCCCCACTCCCCCCACCCCACGACAGGCCCCAGTGTGTGATCTTCCCCTTCCTGTGTCCAAGTGTTCTCCTTGTTCAATTCCCACTATGAGTGAGAACATGCAGTGTTTGGTTTTTTGTCCTTGCGATAGTTTGCTGAGCATGATGGTTTCCAGCTTCATCCATGTCCCTACAAAGGACATGAACTCATCATTTTTTATGGCTGCGTAGTATTCCACGGTGTATATGTGCCACATTTTCTTAATCCAGTCTATCATTGATGGACATTTGGGTTGGTTCCAAGTCTTTGCTATTGTGTATAGTGCTGCAATAAACATACGTGTACATGTGTCTTTATAGCACCATGATTTATAATCCTTTGGGTATATACCCAGTAATGGGATGGCTGGGTCAAATGGTATATCTAGTTCTAGATCCTTGAGGAATCGCCACACTGACTTCCACAATGGTTGAACTAGTTTACAGTCCCACCAACAGTGTAAAAGTGTTCCTATTTCTCCACATCCTCTCCAGCACCTGTTGTTTCCTGACTTTTTAATGATCGCCATTCTAACTGGTGTGAGATGGTATCTCATTGTGATTTTGATTTGCATTTCTCTGATGGCCAGTGGTAATGAGCATTTTTTCACGTGTCTGTTGGCTGCATAAATGTCTTCTTTTGAAAAGTGTCTGTTCATATCCTTTGCCCACTTTTTGATGGGGTTTTTTTCCTGTAAATTTGTTTGAGTTCTTTGTAGATTGTGGATATTAGCCCTTTGTCAGATGAGTAGATTGCAAAAATTTTCTCCCATTCTGTAGGTTGCCTGTTCACTCTGATGGTAGTTTCTTTTGCTGTGCAGAAGCTCTTTAGTTTAATTAGATCCCATTTGTCAATTTTGGCTTTTGTGGCCCTTGCTTTTGGTTTTTAGACATGAAGTCCTTACCCATGCCTATGTCCTGAATGGTATTGCCTAGGTTTTCTTCTAGGGTTTTTATGGTTTTAGGTCCAACATGTAAGTCTTTAATCCATCTTGAATTAATTTTTGTACAAGGTGTATGGAAGGGATCCAGTTTCAGCTTTCTACATATGGCCAGCCAGTTTTCCCAGCACCGTTTATTAAATAGGGAATCCTTTCCCCATTTCTTGATTTTGTCAGGTTTGTCAAAGATCAGATGGTTGTAGATGTGTGGTATTATTTCTGAGGGCTCTGTTCCGTTCCATTGGTCTATATCTCTGTTTTGGTACCAGTACCATGCTGTTTTGGTTACTGTAGCTTTGTGGTATAGTTTGAAGTCAGGTAGGGTGATGCCTCCAGCTGTGTTCTTTTGGCTTAGGATTGTCTTGGCAATGTGGGCTCTTTTTTGGTTCCATATGAACTGTAAAGTAGTTTTTTCCAATTCTGTGAAGAAAGTCATCGGTAGCTTTATGGGGATGGCATTGAATCTATAAATTACCTTGGGCAGTATGGCCATTTTCACGATACTGATTCTTCCTATCCATGAGCATGGAATGTTCTTCCATTTGTTTGTGTCCTCTTTTATTTCATTGACCAGTGGTTTGTAGTTCTCCTTGAAGAGGTCCTTCACATCCCTTGGAAGTTGGATTCCTAGGTATTTTATTCTCTTTGAAGCAATTGTGAATGGGAATTCACTCAGGATTTGACTCTCGGTTTGTCTGTTATTGGTGTATAAGAATGCTTGTGATTTTTGCACATTGATTTTGTATCCTGAGACTTTGCTGAAGTTGCTTATCAGCTTAAGGAGATTTTAGGCTGAGACGATGGGGTTTTCTACATATACAATCATATATCATCTGCAAACAGGGACAATTTTACTTCCTCTTTTCCTAATTGAATACCCTTTATTTCTTTCTCCTGCCTGATTGCCCTGGCCAGAACTTCCAACACTATGTTGAATAGGAGTGGTGAGAGAGGGCATCCCTGTCTTGTGCCAGTTTTCAAAGGGAATGCTTCCAGTTTTTGCCCATTCAGTATGATATTGGCTGTGGGTTTGTCATAAATAGCTCTTATTATTTTGAGATATGTCCCATCAATACCTAATTTATTGAGAGTTTTTAGCATGAAGGGCTGTTGAATTTTGTCAAGGGCCTTTTCTGCATCTACCGATATAATCATGTGGTTTTTGTCTTTGGTTCTGTTTATATGCTGGATTACGTTTATTGATTTTTGTATGTTGAACCAGCCTTGCATCCTAGGGATGAAGCCCACTTGATCATGGTGGATAAGCTTTTTGATGTGCTGCTGGATTCAGTTTGCCAGTATTTTATTGAGGATTTTTGCATCGATGTTCATCAGGGATATTGGTCTAAAATTCTCTTTTTTTGTTGTGTCTCTGCCAGGCTTTGGTATGTGGATGATGCTGGCCTCATAAAATGAGTTAGGGAGGATTCCCTCTTTTTCTATTGATTGGAATAGTTTCAGAAGGAATGGTACCAGCTCCTTCTTGTACCTCTGGTAGAATTCGGCTGTGAATCCATCTGGTCCTGGACTTTTTTTGGTTGGTAGGCTATTAATTGTTGCCTCAATTTCAGAGCCTGTTATTAGTCTATTCAGGGATTCAACTTCTTCCTGGTTTAGTCTTGGGAGGGTGTATGTGTCCAGAAATTCATCCATTTCTTCTAGATTTTCTAGTTTATTTGCACAGAGGTGTTTATAGTATTCTCTGATGGTAGTTTGTATTTCTGTGGGATCAGTGGTGATATCCCCTTTATCATTTTTTATTGCATCTATTTGATTCTTCTCTCTTTTCTTCTTTATTAGTCTTGCTAGTGGTCTATCAATTTTGTTGATCTTTTCAAAAAACCAGCTCCTGGATTCATTGATTTTTTGAAGGGTTTTTTATGTCTCTATCTCTTTCAGTTCTGCTCCGATCTTAGTTATTTCTTGCCTTCTGCTAGCTTTTGAATGTGTTGTTCTTGCTTCTCTAGTTCTTTTAATTGTGATGTTAGGGTGTCAATTTTAGATCTTTCCTGCTTTCTCTTGCGGGCATTTAGTGCTATAAATTTCCCTCTACACCCTGCTTTAAATGTGTCCCAGAGATTCTGGTATGTTGTGTCTTTGTTCTCACTGGTTTCAAAGAACATCTTTATTTCTGCCTTCATTTCGTTATGTACCCAGTAGTCATTCAGCAGCAGGTTGTTCAGTTTCCATGTAGTTGAGCGGTTTTGAGTGAGTTTCTTAATCCTGAGTTCTAGTTTGATTGCACTGTGGTCTGAGAGACAGTTTGTTATAATTTCTGTTCTTTTACATTTACTGAGAAGTGCTTTACTTCCAACTATGTGGTCAATTTTGGAATAAGTATGATGTGGTGCTAAGAAGAATGTATATTCTGTTGATTTGGGGTGGAGAGTTCTATAGATGTCTATTAGGTCCACTTGGTGCAGAGCTGAGTTCAATTCCTGGATATCCTAGTTAACTTTCTGTCTCATTGATCTGTCTAATGTTGACAGTGGGGTGTTAAAGTCTCCCATTATTATTGTGTGGGCGTCTAAGTCCCTTTGTAGTTCTCTAAGGACTCGCTTTATGAATCTGGGTGCTCCTGTATTGGGTGCATATATATTTAGGATAGTTAGCTCTTCTTGTTGAATTGATCCCTTTACCATTATGTAATGACCTTCTTTGTCTCTTTTGATCTTTGTTGGTTGAAAGTCTGTTTTATCAGAGACTAGGATTGCAACTCCTGCCTTTTTTTGTTTTCCATTTGCTTGGTAGATCTTCCTCCATCCCTTTATTTTGAGCCTATGTGTGTCTCTGCATGTGAGATGGGTCTTCTGAATACAGCACACTGATAGGTCTTGACTCTTTATCCAACTTGCCAGTCTGTGTCTTTTAATTGGAGCATTTAGCCCATTTACATTTAAGGTTAATATTGTTATGTGTGAATTTGATCCTGTCATTATGTTAGCTGGTTATTTTGCTCATTAGTTGATGCAGTTTCTTCCTGGCATCGATGGTCTTTACAATTTGGCGTGCTTTTGCAGTGGCTGGTACCAGTTATTCCTTTCCATGTTTAGTGTTTCCTTCAGGAGCTCTTTTAGGGCAGGCCTGGTGGTGACAAAATCTCTCAGCATTTGCTTGTCTGTAAAGTATTTTATTTTTCCTTCACTTATGAAGCTTAGTTTGGCTGGATATGAAATTCTGGGCTGAAAATTCTTTCTTTAAGAATGTTGAATATTGGCCCCCACTCTCTTCTAGCTTGTAGAGTTTCTGCTGAGAGATCAGCTGTTAGTTTGATGGGCTTCCCTTTGTGGGTAACCTGACCTTTCTCTCTGGCTGCCCTTAACATTTTTTCCTTTATTTCAACTTTGGTGAATCTGACAATTATGTGTCTTGGAGTTGCTCTTCTTGAGGAGTATCTTTGTGGCGTTCTCTGTATTTCCTGAATTGAATGTTGGCCTGCCTTGCTAGGTTGGAGAAGTTCTCCTGGGTAATATCCTGCAGAGTGTTTTCCAACTTGGTTCCATTCTCCCCATCACTTTCAGGTACACCAATCAGACGTAGATTTGGTCTTTTCACATAGTCCCATATTTCTTGGAGGCTTTGTTCATTTCTTTTTATTCTTTTTTCTCTAAACTTCTCTTCTTGCTTTATTTCATTCATTTGATCTTCAATCGCTGATACCCTTTCTTCCAGTTGATCGACTCGGCTCCTGAAGCTTATGCATTCATCACGTAGTTCTCATGCCATGGTTCTCAGCTCCATCAGGTCATTTAAGGACTTCTCTACACTGGTTATTCTAGTTAGCCATTCGTCTAATCTTTTTTCAAGGTTTTTAGCTTCTTTGCGATGGGCTTGAACTTCCTCCTTTAGCTCGGAGAAGTTTGATCATCTGAAGCCTTCTTCTCTCAACTCGTCAAGGTCATTCTCCGTCCAGCTTTGTTCCATTGCTGGCGAGGAGCTGCGTTCCTTTGGAGGGGGAGAGGCACTCTGATTTTTAGAATTTTCAGCTTTTCTGCTCTGTTTTTTCCCCATCTTTGTGGTTTTATCTACTTTTGGTCTTTGATGATGGTGATGTACAGATGGGGTTTTGGTGTGGATGTTCTTTCTGTTTGTTAGTTTTCCTTCTAACAGGACCCTCAGCTGTAGGTCTGTTGGTGTTTGCTGGATGTCCACTCCAGACCCTGTTTGCCTGGGTATCTGCAGCGGAGGCTGCAGAACACTGAATATTGCTAAACAGCAAATGTTGCTGCCTCATCGTTCCTCTGGAAGCTTCGTCTCACAGGGGTACCTGGCCATGTGAAGTGTCAGTCTGCCCCTACTTGGGGGTGCCTCCCAGTTAAGCTACTCGGGGGTCAGGGACCCACTTGAGGAGGCAGTCTGTCTGTTCTCAGATCTCAAACTCTGTGCTGGGAGAACCACTACTCTCTTCAAAACTGTCAGACAGGGACATTTAAGTCTGCAGAGGTTTCTGCTGCCTTTTGTTCAGCTATGTCCTGCCCCCCAGAGGTGGAGTCTACAGAAGCAGGCAGGCCTCCTTGAGCTGCTGTGGGCTCCACCCAGTTTGAGCTTCCCCGCCACTTTGTTTACCTATTCAAGCCTCAGCAATGGCAGGTGCCTCTCCCCCAGCCTCGCTGCTGCCTTGCAGTTCAATCTCAGACTGTTGTGCTAGCAATGAGCGAGGCTCCATGGGCATGGGATCCTCCAAGCCAGGCGTGCGTTATAATCTCCTGGTGTGTCATTTGCTAAGACCATTGGAAAAGCGCAGTATTAGGGTGAGAGTGACCTGATTTTCCAGGTGCTGTCGGTCACAGCTTCCCTTGGCTAGGAAAGAGAATTCCCTGACCCCTTGCACTTCCCGGGTGAGGCGATGCCTCGCCCTGCTTCAGCTTATGCTCGGTGGGCTGCACCCACTGTCCTGCACCCACTGTCTGACAAGCCCCGGTGAGATGAACCCGGTACCTGAGTTGGAAATGCAGAAATCACCCGTCTTCTGCATTGCTCATGCTGGGAGCTGTAGACTGGAGCTGTTCCTATTCAGCCATCTTGGAACCGCCCCACCACATTTTCTTTATCCATTTATTTGTTGATACACCTTTAGATTGTTTCCATACCTTGGCTATTGTAAATAATGCTACAATGAACATGGGTGTGCTGATATCTCTTTGGGATAAGTTTACAAGTTTTAAAATATAATTTCAACTTTTATTTTAGATTCAGGAACATATGTGCAGGTTTGTTACATGGGTATGTTACGAGATGCTGAAGTTTGAGGTGCGAATAATCCCATCACCCGGGTAGTAAGCATAGTACCCCATAGGTGTTGTTTTAAACCCTTTCCCCCATCCTCCTCTTCCCCATCTAGTTCCCAGTGTCTATTATTCTCATCTTTATGTCCATGGGTACCCTGTACTTAGCTCCCACTTATAAGTGAGAACATGCGGTATTTGGTTTTCTGGTCCTATGTTAATTCACTTAGGATAATGGCCTCCAGCTGCATCCATGTTGCTGCAAACGATATGACTTCATTCTTTTTTATGGCTGTATATGTACCGCATTTTCTTTATCCAGTCCACCATTGATGGGCACCTAGGTTGATTCCATGTCTTTACTATTGTGAATAGTGCTGCAATGAACATCTAAGTACATGTGGTTTTTGGTTTTTTTTTTTTTTTTTTGGGAGAACAATTTATTTTCCTTTGGGTATATACCCAGCAATGGGATTGCTAAGTCAAATGATAGTTTTTAAGTTCTTTGCAAAATCTCCAAACTGCTTTCTACAGTGGCTGAACTATCTACATTCCCACCAACAGTGTATGAGCATTTTCTTCTCTCCACAGCCTCACCAGCATCTGTTGCTTTTTAACTTTTTAATAAAGCCATTCTGACTGGTGTGAGATGGTATCTCATTGTGGTTTTGATTTACATTTCTCTGATGATTAGTAATTTTGAGCATTTTTTCATGTATTTGTTGGCTACCTGTGTATCTTCTTTTGGGAACTGTCTGTTCATGTATTTTGCCCATTTTTTAATGGGGTTATTTATTTTTTGCTTGTTGAATTGTTTAAGTTCCTTATAGATTCTGGATATTAGACCTTTGTCAGATGCATAGTTTGTAAATATTTTCTCCAATTCTGTAGGTTGTCTGTTTACTCTGTTGTTAGTTTCTTTTGCTGTTCAGAAGCTCTTTAATTAGGTTTTGTTTGTCAATTTTTGTTTTTGTTCCATTTGCTTTTGAGGGCTTAGTCAAAAATTCTTTCTCAAGGCCAACATCAGAATGGTATTTCCTAGATTTTCTTCTAGGATTCTTATAGTTTGAGGGCCTACATTTAAGCATTTAATCCACCTTGAGTTAATTTTTATATATGGTAAAATGTAGGGGTCTAGTTTTATTCTTCTGCCTATGGCTACCCAGCTATCCCAGCACCATGTATTGACTAGGGAGTCTTTTCCCCATTGCTTATTTTTCTCAACTTTGCTGAAGATCAGATGACTGTAGGTGTGCAGCTTTATTTCTGAATTCTCTATTCTGTTCCATTGGTCTGTATGTCTATTTTTGTAGCAGTAGCATGGCGTTTGGGTTACTGTAGCATTATAGTATAGTTTAAAGTCAGGTAATGTGATGCTTCTGGCTTTATTATTTCTGCTTAGGATTGCTTTGTCTATTCAGGCTGCTTTTTGGTTCCATGTGAATTTTAGGACAGTTTTTTGTAATTCTGTGAAGAATTATGTTGGTAGTTTGATAGGAATTGTGTTGAATCTGCAGGTTTCTTTGCACAGTATGGCCATTTTAATGATATTGATTATTCTAATCCATGAACATGGAATGTGTTTTGGCGGGGGGATCCTCTCTGATTTCTTTTAGCAGTTACTTGTAGTTCTCCTTGTTGAGATATTTCACTTCCCTAGTTTGATGTATTCCTAGGTGTTTTTTGTTGTTGTGACTACTGTAAATGGGATTGTGTTCTTGATTTGGCTCTGAGCTTGAACATTATTGGTGTATAGGAATGCTACTAATTTTCTGTACATTGATTTTGTATCCTGAAACTTACTGAAGTCATTTATCAGCTGTAGGAGGCTTTAGTGGAGTCTTTAGGGTTTTCTCAGTATATGATCATATTGTCAGTAAAGAGGGATAATTTGACTTATTGTTTTCTTACTTGGATCCCTATTATTTCTTTCTTTTGCCTGACTGCTCTGGCTAGGACTTCCAGTACTATGTTGAATAGGAGTGGTGAGAGTGGGCATCTTTGTCCTATTCCTGTTCTTAAAGAGAATGCTTCTAACTTTTGCCCATTCAGTATGATGTTGGCTGTGGGTTTGTTATAGATGACTCTATTTTGAGATATGTTACTTATATGCCTAATTTGTTGAGGATTTTTTCATGAAGGAATATGGATTTTCTCAGAAGCTTCCGCATCTATTGAGATGATCATATGGTTTTTCTCTTGAATTCTGTTTATGTGATGAATCATAAATATCGATTTGCATATGTTGAACCAACCTTGCACCTCAGAAATGAAGCTTACTTGATCGTGGTGAATTAACTTTTTTATGTACTACTGGATTTGGTTTCCTACTGTTTTGTTGAGGATTTTTACACATATGTCCATCAGGGCCTGAAGTTTTCCTTTTTCATTGTGTCTTTGCCAGATTTTGGCTTCAGGCTGATGCTAGCTTTGTAGAACGTAACTCTTCTATTTTTATCTAGACAAGACAACTAAGTGTTCTTTATGTTGAACACCTCCCCTTTCCCTCCATTCCTGCCTCATTTTTTCATCCTTCATATCCTTTCTGGGTACATATGTGTGCCAAATGCTGGGAAAAGTAAGTCAAATAAAGCTCAGTTTCCTTCTATGAAGAGCCATAGTAGTAGAGGAGAATACCCAGTGTTAATAGAGGGAAGCATACAGGCAAATAAATATAAGAAGGAATTGAAGGAATTGTGGAAGAGGACAGTGTAGCTATCGTTGTTGGGATGGTCAGAACACTCACAAGGAAGTGATGGCCAGAGAAGGATTCAGAAGAGGGTGTGATACTGGAAACAAAACTTGAAAAGTGCATTGGTATTTGCTTGATAGATGAAGTAGGAGACTGAGGAAGATGTTTGAACAAAGGCTCTGAGGTGGGAACTACAAATGGTCCTTCTTTAGTGCTACAGGGGAGCACTAAATGTGTCTGTACAATGAGTAGGGATCGGGGAGGATGGGGCCTGTATGTAGTTAAAGATAAAGTAAGGAAAGGAAAGACAAACCAGACTCAGTCCTGCAGGTTTTCAGAAGCCCCACTAAGGAACTTCCAGCAAGCCTGCGACATCAGATTTGTACCTTCCAAGTCTCCCTTTGGCAAGAGTTTTCCATACAGATTTGGAGGGATTTGAAATAAGATGCAAAGAAATGAGGGCCTGAACCAAGACAGTGGATATTGAGAGGGAAAAGAGGGAAGAGTTATGAGATGGTTAGGAGGCAGGATCCACAACATTTAAGCACAAAGAGGAGATCTGGAAGGGTGTGGGAAGGGGGTTGTTCCTGAGGCAAATGAGTGAGTGGATGAGGTTTTACTCACTGAAACAGGCTGGTAAAGGAGAAAAAGGAGGCCTGGGAGGGAGGCAAGAGCTGGCCCTGCTTGGAACATGCGTTGTTTCCTGCTTACGTGGACAGTGTATGGCTGCTTCCATTCTTCCATCCAGGCCTCAATGACTGCCATCAAGAATTAGGTTGGAGATCAGAAATGATTTCTTATAATTGCACAGAATCTTTAGTCAACATTTTGTCTTCCCCTGCCTCCCACCACTGTTTATAGCACATCATGTCATCTCCACTCTCAATGCCATTTCCTTATTTCGGATCCCTGGCTTCTGTATAGAGACAATGGTTATCAGAGTGTGGGAAAAATGAAAAGTTAAGAGACGCCTTCTGCAGAAAGGGAAGATGCAAACTATTTTCAGTAAAGCGCCTGAGCTGAGAGAGGAGAGGGCCCTATGGAGAGCTATGTCTCCCTCTCCACTGAATTCTAGCAAATGTAAAGTCCAGGGGAGTGGCATCAGTAGCTAATTTGCAGAAATACCAGTACAGGCTTCAAAGTTTTCTGAAAGACCCACATCTGCAAATTGGGAATCAGGAATCCTTGCTTTCGTGGATCATGCCAGTCAGTGGATTGTTTGCTCTCAGATCCGCTCCCTGCCCTTCCCCTGCTCTACTTGATACCACAGGGAACTGACCTTTACAATTTGCATTTCCCAGTCTCCCTTTCCATTGAGTCTGGTTAGTTTGGAGAGGAGGGATGAAGGGCAGAAGTATGAGAGAAGCCATGTATTTTTGTACACACACACACACACACACACACACACACACACTCTCTCACACACACATTCCTCTGCCTTGCTTCCAGTGGTGTCCCAGGCAGTGACATTAGTTCCTCTCCACGATCCCTTTGCTGTCCCCACTCTAGTTGGGCAGCTCCAGCCTCTGGGCTCTAGTAACAGCATCTCATCCTTGATTCCTCCAGCCCTGGGGATGGTGGTAGCTTCTTGTTGTTGCTAATCTCTGGGTTGACTCATTGTCCCCTATTTTCATTTCAGCTCTTCTAACACATTTGTAACTAATTCCCCAAATTGAATGCTCTCTCTTGAACTACCAGGATATGTCCCATTTTACTGATGGACCTTGACAGATACAGGTCTACATAAGCACCCTGGTTGGTACATGGTTAATATAAGACCCCCAATCTCTTCTCCATTGTCCCTGTTCCCCCAAAGGACTCTTCTGTCTACCATGGTTCTCCATCCCTCAGAGTTGGGCTCCTGGCCTGGACTGTCTTGAAGGGCAAACATTTGTGCTGTGCTTCCTGAATGGCATGAGAAAAGGAGCTCTTTTGGCCTAGCCTCCTTCCTGTAGGATTTTCCAAAACTTTCCAGATGTATCTAAGCTCAGGAAACATTTTAATGGCTGGAAATAATGTCTCATGGGGGTTGGGGGTTTGAAACCAACAGAACCTTCTCCAAAAGAGGTGTGTTGAAATGTTCCAGGGTCTGTATGCACACATCCAAACCCTGCCCCTCCCCTGTTGAAAGCATGGCAGGCTCCCACCCTTTAATTGGTTCATGTCGTAGAAGAGTTGGCATTCTCTGAATGCCCTAATGACATGGAGCAGAGGAACAGCTCCAAAGGCCAGAACTCTCTCCAGGAGGGAAAGGATTATTAAGCGGTTAGTGATGCATTTGGATTCTAATTCAGATTCCACCTCAGATTCTGTAAAGAGACTCCTATAACCCTCTTCTTTTGGCCTTATTTGGCTAGTAATAATGGTTGTAAGATTGATCTAAATCATAATAAATGTTGTCTAAGGCTGCTCTTACTGACTTAATGAATTGGAGCATTCTGAGTTTTTTGTGAGGATAGGCATTATCCAACTGCAGAATACATATTGATTCTTTTTCAAACAGGCTGTGGCTTTTACTTTGCAATGTTGCCCACATTTCATGACAACTTTCAGAACAAACTCTGTTGAGGGATGAAGATTATTGCTATCTGAATGCATTCATCAAAGAAAAGTAGAAGTGGAAGAACTATACTTCTGCCTTCTCATATTCTTCAGCATTGGGCCAAGAGTAGAAAGTAACCATCATTTCAGCCAGGCACAGTGGCTCACGCTTGTAATCCCAGCACTCTGGGAGGCCAAGGCAGGTGGATCACCTGAGGTCACGAGTTCGAGACCAGCCTGGCCAACATGGTGAAACCCCGTCTCTACTAAAAAATACAAAAATTAGTTGGGCATGGTGGCGGACACCTGTAATCCCAGGTACTTGGGAGGCTGAGGCAAGAGAATCACTTGAACCTGGGAGGTGGAGGTTGCAGTGAGGCAAGATCGTGCCATTGCATTCCAGCCTGGGCAACAAGAGCGAAACTCCATCTCAAAAAAAAAAGAAAGAAAGAAAGAAAGAAAGTAACCATCATTTCTAGTCTGTGGGGATCAAACTCCAGAAATTGCTAAATTATTGCATGTTCTAATACTACAGGGAACAGCTGAAACCTCATCCTTTTGAGAACTGGACTTGAATCCAAGCCAATATTGATTTATTTGGGATGTGTCTTGCAAGTCCACAAATGCTTTAACACAGTAATCACTAACCAGGATACTTATGTAGTTGTTTGATGACTCATAGAACTTTATAGACCTTGGGGTCAGATATATGTTTTATATGAAAAGAGCAAGATTTTAATGAAAAGGAAGTAGGTCATGTGCAACAATGTAACTACAGTTTCTGTGTCTCTGAAGTGTTCAGTTTTGTATGACATTGTTAGTTCTTTCTTCTGACCAAGTTTCCTTCATTAGCCTACAAGGGAGCCTATGAAGTGAATTCACAGCACCAGAAATAACATGAGAAGACCATAATTTTTTAATTATTTCAGAGATTAAGATTAATTTAGGCCAGGCACGGTGGCTCACGCCTGTAATCCCAGCACTTTGGGAGGCCGAGGTGGGTGGATCACGAGGTCAGGAGATCAAGACCATCCTGGCTAACACGGTGAAACCCCGTCTCTAGTAAAAAAACAAAAAATTAGCCGGGCGCGGTGGCAGGCACCTGTAGTCCCAGCTACTCGGGAAGCTGAGGCAGGAGAATGGAGTGAACCCGGGAGGAGGAGTTTGCAATGAGCCAAGATGGCGCCACTGCACTCCAGCCTGGGCGACAGAGCAAGACTCCATCTCAAAAAAAAAAAAAAAAAAAAAAAGATTAATTTATGGATTCTAGTATATAACATACATACATAAACTACTGTCTTCATATGTGGGTACCTGGAAAAATTTTTCCATTGCAAAAAAGATAATGTTATTCTAAAGTAAAATTCTAGCTCTGTTTCTAATTAGATATGTGATCTTGGACAAATGACTCTGAGTCACAGGTTCCCCTTCTATAAGAGAATTTCATGATCTAGAAGATGATTTCACTTTCTGGTTCTATGAAGAAGAAGCAATGCCATGCTATACCTCAGTTACTATTTTATACAGTGGGAAAAGTCTCATTATCAACGGGCGCTGGCCACATTGTTTGTGCTAAACCATAGGATATAACCCTAACACTCTGCTCAGTTATTTATTTGGCTGACGACTTCCTCTTGTAATACTTCTTGACAGGTGGTCAGAGGAATACCTCTTGGAATCCACTGGCAGAGCTTGTTAAAAATTCAGATTCCTGGACTTCCCAGACTAAATCAGCAGCTTTGGGGGTGGGTCTAGAAATCTGCATTTCTACATTGCTGGGCAATTCTTAAAGATACAAAGTCTGAGATCCATGGCCAGTCAACAGCACGTAGTGTTAATATATTCTATGATGTGAATTACTTTAACTCTCTTTACTCTGCGTCCAGTCTGCAGGGTCTTAGCCCAGGGCCTACTACTGACTGGATGATTTGGTCACAACCTTTCTCTCTCTAGGACTGTTTTCTTATTTATGAAATATGGGGTCTGGAGTATTAGTCTCTAAGGAATCTTTGTGTTCTAACAGTTCATGAAAATAGTTCTCTAGCAGCATCTGAGAGAGTTACTGAAACTACCTTAACAAATCCTATTTCTTGAGTGCCTACTATGTAGTAGGCATTGTGCTTTTTTTTTTTTTTTTTTTTTTTTTAGCTAGAGTCTCGCTCTGTTGCTAGGCTGGAGAGCAGTGGCGCGATTTCAGCTCACTGCAACCTCCGCCTCCTGGGTTCAAGCTATTCTCCTACCTTAGCCTCCTGAGTAGCTGGGACTACAGGTGCATGCCACCATGCCCAGCTAATTTTTGTATTTTTAGTAGACATGGGGTTTCACCATGTTGGCCAGCATGGTCTCAATCTCTTGAGCTTGTGATCCGCCCGCCTCGGCCTCCCAAAGTGCTGGGATTACAGGCATGAGCCACTACACCCGGCCGGTGCAGCTTTTATGTATGTTTCATTTATTCTTTATGCTAACCTGTGATATTATTATTATTATTATTATTATTCACACTTAACACTTAAGGAAGTGGAGGCTGTGAAAAGTTAAGTAACTTGTCCAAGCCGACTTAATCAATAAGAGGAGCTGCAGTAAAGTGGAATGAAACTGGGGCTGTGAACACCTAAAGAATGACCCAGGTTGTTGCTCCCCCTGAAACTTCACAAGGCCTGGGCCTCATGCAGTGCACTGCTCATTCACCCTGTGTTCCACTCTCCCAGCAAAGGAGTCCTGGTTTTGGTTTCTTTCGATGTTTACTTGGCCTCTTGCTTAAGCATTTGCCTTTCCTCCTCAATAACAGTGAAAGGACTGAAAAATAATAAAATAAAGAAAAGAAAATCCCAGGGCTGGAAACATTTTGTTTCCTACAAAAAGAATATTTTGCGGCCAGCTCTGTGGTTGAAAGTATTTTTCCTGTGGTCTAGGGATGAGTTGGATCCCATCTCTTCTTGGCCAGGGTCTGAGAACTTAGCCTGTGGCTTCCCATCGAGTCAGCACATAGCATGCTATTTTTTGAACGAGTGTCTGATGATGTTGAATGTGTTCACGAGTGGACGAATAGGTCTGTTTGGGTGTATAAGAAATGTGCGCATGTGCCTCTGACTCTTCCAGGGCAGAAGGAACCTGGGAGTGGTTTTCCACATGCTATACATATCAACGTAGCTTTTAAGTTTTCATCACTCACATGATGACCAAAAAAATTCAGATGCTGACAAATGAGAGGAGGGTGATATGTGAGCCTTATGTGGATTTGCAAGTAATCAGAAAGCCAGGGAATCTAAGATTCCCTATCACATTTCTTTCCATTTTCAAATGGAAAATGTCACATTTCTTTCCATTTTTCAAATGCTCAAAACCAAGACATGGGGTTGGTTTTATTATGGCAGGGTGGTCTGATGGTAATGCAGAAGATGGGAATTCTGAGAGCTGCCCCAGCTTGTCCACCTTCAGCCTTTGGGACACCAACTTTGCCTAGCCTTGAATAAGTCACTTTTTCTCAAGGACTGCATTTTCCTATATGAAAACATGAATTTGTGTTTAAAAAAAAAAAACAAAACTTTCTGCTTTCAAGAATAAAAGCTTCTCTAGTGAGGGATGAATTTTGAATATTCAAACCGAATTCATGGATAAGAAATAGTAGTGCTAGGTACCTTTTCTTTACTCATAAAGCATTATGTACTCATATTTGTATGCTTCCAGTATGACTTTGAAGTGTATATTAGTGCCTAGAACTTTTCAGCCTGTTCTCCATGGCATGGCCTTCATGATTCTATCTCTTACATTCTTGTAAAGAATGAAGAACGGGTGTTCTCTGGACTCTCATTGCACATGGTTTTATGTTCAGTTACCTGCTGACTGCCTCCCTGTCATGCCAGCTGCAAGTCACAGCACAGTGCCTGGCACAGAGCAGATGCCCAACTTGTATTTGTTGACTTAAATAAAACTTCTCCAAAGATGACAAGCTACTGTTTGTAACTTCAGTATTCTCTTGTGCGAAGTCCTCTACATAGCTCTCCATTCAGGGACATTTCTAGAGCTCAAATCATCATGACTTCCAGGAAGAAAAGTTGTAGTCACTGGATTAGGGGGCATTGTTTGAGGAAATAAGCAAATTCCACAGGTGGAAAGAATTGTGAATTGTGTGTGTGTGTGTGTGTGTGTGTGTGTGTTTTGAGGTGAAAGAGGTTTAGGGAAAATTTGAAAAGCTATTGGAATGGAAATTAAACCATCCAGAGTGTTTTATTTTAGAGGGATAGGGTTTAAGATAGACTCAGCAGTGGTGGCATTGGCCACAGGGCTGCACCTACCCTGGGATGCAGAAACTGGCCCATCCAAGTCAGCTCCATGGGAAAGAATGACCACAAAGTGATCAGGGGTCACCAGTGAGAAAAACTGGCATTTGCTGTATTTTGTCACACAGGACAGTAGAACTGTTCTCACAGTAGGAGCAGGGATGGGGTGGAGGTGGTGGTGGTGATTTTAGTAAACCAGTTTTCTGGTGATGGGGGGGCATATTTCTGTTTTTACCCCTTAATAATGAGACAGCAACCCAAATAACAGATCCCTCAGTACACTGAAATGCCAAGGCTAAATGAACTGGTGGAACTTTGTGGCTTTGGCTCTTGGCCCACAGGCATATCCGTGCATTAGAGCCATGGCTTGGCAGTAGACAAAGCAGCTGTGTGGGTCCTCGGGGAGCTCTCTGGCTCTGTGGCTTTCTTTGATATGCAACTGAACTTTGGCAAATTTTTCCTCTCATGGCACTGTTTATGAGGTCCAGAGACCTTCATTATGGAACCCAATGCCAACAGCAAACTAGAACTACAGGATGTCTTCCCACATTCACACTCTGCTTGCAGGCTGAAGAGTTAGCCCACAAGGCTTTCAACAAAGGGACAATTTAGGGGAAGAGACTGCAGAATTCTCTTCTCAGCTTCACATGGCTGTAAACCCATAGGATTGGCCAGACCTCTTAAACTTTCTTTCCTTCAGAAGGAAAAGATCTCTTACTTAAAAATGATTCTGTATAAGATTACTAATTTACTGATTTCCAATTCAATAGTATTTAAAAACAACAACGACAGTAACAATAATAGCTAGCATTCATCAAGTACTTGACCATTTGCTAAGTACTAAAGTGCTGTGCATGTATTAATAAAAATGCATTTATTATCAACATCTTTGTAAGGTAAGTACTATTATCCCCATTTTATACATGAAGAAACTCAATCCCAAAGAGATTAATTGTTAGTTGTTATTGGTCTTAATAATTATTCACCAATTTAAGGTATAATCCTGCAGATATAGCTTATAATTGACTGGCTTTCCTGAACCCCACCTTCCTCAGTCTATGACACTGGGCCACAGATACTAAAATAATTAAAATTATCATTCTTAATTGTTAACCCACCTCAAACTGTAACTGGGTCTTGATGAGTTTCAAGTAGTATCATCCTTATATTGGGAAATCTATAATTAAGACTTTTCTAAAGTCATGAGCAGGTATACAGAAAGTGATTGACTTGGTGAATGAGAGGGATCAACTATCCTCCAGAGCTTGTACAGTAGAGTGGAAACAAATGTGGTGTTGGACTGAGAACGGTTTAAGGTATTGGAGGCAATGATTCTGTTCAAGTGCCAAGATTAAACCAATAGACTCTAGAGGGGCTCAAAAGTGAGGCTACATGTCATGGTTTGACGTCTAAATTATAGCTATGCAACTTTCTTTCCTACCCATTTCTACTGTATCCTCTGTGCTTTCTATAATAGCCGCTCCAGGGAATGCTGATAATAACATTATCGGCTGCCATTTTTATGCCAGGCACATGATAAGAGCTATACAAACATCATCTTTATAATATGCTGTGAGGTGGGTTTTTACAATAACACTGTGAAGTGGGTATTACTACCCTGAATTTACAGATGGAAGAAATGGGCTATGGAGATTATGAAGTGCTCTGAAGTTAAAACAACTAGTAAATGGTAGAAAAGAGACTCTGAAGTGACTTGTAGCTACTAGTTTGTCTTGCCTCATAAACAATGTGATAGACATCTGGTATTTCTGCTTGCCCTTGATCTCTTACCCCTTCTCTCATACCTACACTATGATTTTCCTGTAAGGAAACATGCCTCTTCAATTTTTTTCAGCCTATGTTGTCTAGTTAGAGCTGAGGGCTGATTGTACCCACTGGGTTCATGTCTGACCAATGGAAGGATCACATTTCCTTTCTACAGAGATTGGTTTGCAATAGTTGGTTAACCCAAGCTAAGTTGAATAGAGTAAGCCCAGAATTTTGCTGAACAATAAGAGTTGCTAAATTGGTAGGATATAAGCCTGGAGCTCCTTGTGGCTGTCTTTGCCACCATATGAAGGAACTCACCTCAGAATGACAATAAATCAACGTAGAGAAAAACAAGAGATTGAGAGAATGTTCCAGGTGGAAGGAGGAATTGAATAATTGAATTAATATAAGATTATGAGGCCATCATCTGAGGCCCTGGATCCAACTGTGCCTCAGGTCAGTTACTCCTGACATTCCAGTTAAGTGAGCCAATAAATTCCCTTTTTTGTTTGGTCTCAATCACATCTCTGTTACTTGCAACAGAAAGAATACTAAATAATACACATATTAAGCTGGGTGCGGTGGCTCATGCCTGTAATCCCAGCACTTTAGGAGGCCGAGGCGGGCGGATCACCTGCAGTCAGGAGTTCGAGACCAGCCTGACCAACGTGGTCTACTAAACCCATCTCTACTAAAAATACAAAATTAGCCGGGCGTGGTGGCACATGCCTGTAATTCCAGCTACTCGGGAGGCTGAGGCAGGAGAATCACTTGACCCAGGAGGCAGAGGTTGTGGTGAGCCAGGATTGTGCTACTGCACTCCAGCCTGGGCAACAAGAGTGAAACTCCATCTCAATAAAAATAATAATAATAATACACATATTAGATCCTCATAGTTACATACAAATGTGGGCCAGAAAATTCTAATAATGAGAACCTGTATTGTTAAGTTAAAGAGTTTATTCCCCCATTAAGTAGAGATAATTTCTGATTACTTAGGTCTACTTTCCTGGTTCCTATATTATTCCATTCCTTTTCTTTTCCTCTTCCATCTTATGCATTTGCTGTTCTTCTTCCTAGTTTCCTTTTGGCCTTTTTATTATTCACCTCCACCACAGTAGAGAGAAAAAAAAAAAGCATGAAACTTACAATAAACAGCTTTTCTGGCTTATAAGGCTCTTTGAAAAGTTTCAGATGAAGAGTAAGTTAAAAAATATTAACTAAAAAGCATTAAACTTACAATAAACAGCTTTTCTGGCTTATAAGGCTCTTTGAAAAGTTTCAGATGAAGAGTAAGTTAAAAAATATTAACTTAAAAGCAATTACGAAATCATTTTTGGGTTTTAGTTAGCCATTCTATCCATGACCTTTTTTTTTTTAAACCACATATTAAGCTTGATGAAAGTCCTTGATGTCATTGCTTCCACGACAAAAATACAACCTTTTCTGGGTTAGTTTCCCTTAATCATTAATGATGAGCTGTAAAATATTCTTTCCAGTTCAAAAGTGGCATCAAATAAGTAACTAAGATGAAATTAGTAATAATTTTGGAAATGTGGTCATTTAGCAAGCTGATATTTACTGAACATCTACTGTGTACTAGGTTAGGCTCTGGAAAAAGCAAAGATGAATAAAACATAATTTTCAAAATCTAGCTGGATCGGCAAGTCTGAATTGGGAGTGAGCAGGAGGGGCAGAGGTGAGGGCTGAGCCTGGAGCAGCCAGTTGGCCCATACTGAGGAGGACCTTCCAAAGGCTTTGGAAAGTAGATACTATAGGGAGCTGAGGATGGTCTTCAAGAAGTGAAAAATGTGCTAATCCACTGGGGAGAGCTTACGGGTTATATACAAGGGTGTTATTTGTCTGACAGAGAAAACTCACTTTAAGATTACATGAATATATGATCCATATAGTCTACCAGGACATCTCTTTTATATATTGACCAGAATAATCTGAGAAAGCTGGAAGTACAGGCATTTAAGCCACTAAAGCTGTGGACTACAGTTCACCCTAAGCAAGGAAGCGAGTGTTTTTTAACATGTCATCTCCTGGATTCCCGAGGCTTTCTGGGTTAGCTCAAACCTGGGCCATTTAGCTTCTTATGGGCAGGGACCTCATCATGTTCATCTTTGCTTTCCCTAATGTCTAAGCCAGTACTTGGAACATAGGAGGTACTCAGTAAATATTTGTTGAATTAATATAACATTAAATAAATCATTCAGTTCTGAGTAGTCATTGTTTATACTTGCTGTAAATATGGTTTTATGTAATTTCCAAGTGTGTCTGCCCTTTTTAGGTCCTGTATTTTCATTTTGGCATAGTCTGCTTTCAGTGGCACCCAGCTAGAATTTGCCTGCTAAACAGAAAATCTCTGGTGACACCGAATTGCATATCCTGGCTTGATTGCTGATGGAGAATGGCAGAGCACACACTCTTATCTTTAGCTTGACTTTCCATGTATAAGAGAGGGGATGTTTTTGTTTGTTTATTCTGAAATGGAAAACAAAAAAGTAATGCATGCTAGTTGTGAAAAAAAAATCAAGCAATATAGTAGGAGGGAAAATCCTCTAATGGTATATAATCTTCTAGGCTTTTTCTATGCATATATCAAAATATTTATGTACTCACCATATATAATGTTATATAAACTACTTTAAAATTAATCCACACATTATGGATAATTTTTCATGTAAATATACATATTACTAACCGTTTTTCATAGCAGCATAGTATTCATGGTATGGATATACAGGAATGCAGTTAAGAGGATAACATAAAAATGAACGAAATGTTGTGTTCCTTAAAAACTCATATCAGGAAAATCTAAAGTATTTTCATTTCTAATTATTTTTAAAAAACAACAAAACTTTGTTTCAAACCAAAGAGGTAGCAATATAGCTTCATTTCAGAAATTGCTAACTCCGTGCATGAATATTGTAGCCGTGCTTTGCTTCATCATTAACCTTCTCTAATTCTTCTACCTAGGGACCCCAAAGAGCATGGTAAACATTTTACAAAGTCTCCTTAAAGATGCTGGTCTGGACTGAATGGATCTTTAAATCTAACTGTTTTTAAATGTCTTTTAGTAAGGCCCACCTTAATTGAGCTTTTTTCTTAAGATCCTGATTTTAAAGGGGTGGATGGCTCAGAAAACTGCTCCAGATCACCAAATAAAAAATCAAGTTCTGAACAGTGAGACACCTTTAGGCCCATCCCCCCAGCTGTCCCCAAGATCACACTCCTTCATCATGTGTCTCCTGAGAGTCAGAGATCCTGCAGCTGTGCCTGAGGAGGACTGAGGTCTCCAGGCTCTTGTATTGCTAAACCTAGTTTTTGTTTTTGTTTTGTTTCCATTCTCTTTTTTCTTGCCTTTTTTTCCTCTGTGGTGTCTCATTTCTCCTAGAGTCCCGGCTGACTCCCCTGGGGATGAATCTGCCTGCCTGTGCATACAGGAATCCACAGTGTCATTAGGGTAGTTATCTCTAATTTATTCTTCCTCCTTGTGATTAGAAGAACTCGGTCTGAATATTGAAGAAAACTCATGTGGGCTCTTGTCTTTGTGATAAAAGCTTCTGTCCCATAGTAATTAGGCAGAGCTCTAGTTTACTTCTAAAACATGATTAACTCCTTGGAAAGGAGGGGAAAAAACGGAAAGTTATTTAAGATGGGTACCCTAGGGGAACAAAGGAGAGGCTTTTCCCATTGTTATGCCTCCTAATTAGGCCAAGCCCAAGGTTGCTGTGTGTCATTCCAGGAGGCAGTGGCCTGCCTGGTAGGCGGATAGGAGCAGAGGGGTGACAGAATGAAGCTGACATCAGAAAGGCCCAAAAAGAGCTTAGGGCTTTTTTTTTTTTTTTTTTTTTTTTTTTTTAAGATGGAGTTTCACTCTTGTTACCCAGACTGGAGTGCAATGGCACGATCTCTGCTCACTGCAACGTCCACCTCCCGGGTTCAAACATTTCTTCTGCCTCAGCGTCTCGAGTAGCTGGGAATACCCAAGTGCACCACCACACCCAGCTAATTTTTGTATTTTTAGTAGAGACGGGGTTTCGCCCTGTTGACCAGGCTGGTCTCGAACTCCTGACCTCAGGTGATCCACCCGCCTTGGCCGCCCGAAGTGCTGGGATTATAGGCGTGAACCACCACGCCTGGCCAGGACTTTTTAAAAGACTATATCTTCTGAACTTGCCTCCTGTTCCACCTCTGAAGGGCCCTCGGGGAGAGACGGAGCTTAGATACCACACTCTGTTCTGTAGTTCCTCACATAGTTTTTCTCACTCAGAACCACTGAAAGAGGTTAGGTTGCTTTATTCCTCATGACTCTCTGTTTTGCTTGACTTGTTTATGGTGAACATGTGGTATTTACATAATCAGAAAAACATAAAGCCATATTCATAGTGTACCAACCGGGAAAGAGAGAGAAAAATTAATTGTTTGTTGGGACTGGCAAATAGTCTCACAGTGTAGTCAAGTCAACATTAACAGTAAGAAGGGTATATGGGATTATGAAACTGTAAAAGGCCCCTGAGGATTCTGAGCAGAGTTCATTCTTAGCATGACTGTGGGGGCTCAGTGCCAGGCCATGCTGCACCCCACAGAGGGCCCTGTCCAGACTTCTCAGCACAGGGAATGCCTCATATTGGACAGTTTTTGACTCCTGTGATGGTCAGTATTCTCAGCTTCAGGGCCCTCTGTTTCAGGCAAGATAACCTATTCACTCATTCTATAGAATGCTCAGCCTGATGGTATGTGTGTTAAGTAGGTAGACTGCCTGGAAACACAGATTGAGCACCAACAAATGATTCTAATGAGAATTTTAGAATTTTAAACTCCTTATATATCCAGTCTGGTTGCTATCAAGCTCTTCCTACCAAGTTCTTTCTGAGATCCTTCTGGTGCCTATACCTGTTTCTTGAATTATTTCAGTCTGTGAGCTTATTTCTATGAATTAAAGATACCTTAATTCCCTTATAATAGTTGATAAGTGAGTCATTCTATGGTTATATATAGTGTAAGATTTAGAAACATTCACATTAAAAATATTGAAAATACAAAAGACGAAGCTGACAGGTTCCTGGTTATACCCTGACAGCACTGGGGAGAGTTATTGTATAAAGTTCTAGCTCTCCTCCATCTTACTGAAACTAATTTCGTTTGTGCTTAAAGGAAAAGACAGGAAGGGTGCCCTGTTGTCTCTCTGTTACACTCTTCAACTCATCTGAAATCCTGTCTTGTGTTTTCTTCTTGTCCTTTGCCCTTGCATTTGCTGGAGGAGGACTTTAGGGAAATAGTAAGAATGCTGCGGTAACAGAGAGAATTAATTTGACCGTGCTCTGAAGAAAGAGCATGTTGATTTCTCACTAGAATTGGTTCCTCCACCCATCAGAGCAGGGCCAGGGATGTGGTACATTACACAAACCAGTCCCATTTGACCAGCTGTTTTTGGATGTGTCAAGCCCAGATTTCAGCCCCTTTACATAGAAACATGTTGCCTTCCTTGAATGGGTTCCTGTGAGACTAAAGAAAGTCCCGTGTGGTCCAAGCATGATGTAACAGGGATGTGTGCTTCAGAATTCAAGACACACCCTCTGAGTTCCTGGCATCTTTTTACTATAGTAATCACACAGCCATAGTCTTCCTTCTGTGACCCTTGAAGGCCAGAGCTGCCTTGCCTCTGCTGCATTTTCTAATGGGCCTGGACAGGAGGACCCAGCTCTGTTTCTTATGGGTCTTGTGGATGGCGCTGGGAAATCAGGCTTGCCTAACTGGATATACAGAGCTTAGCATTAACAGCTGGACAGAGCTCTTGTGCATCTTGTTTTTTTTGGTTATTTAAATACTCCTGATTTAGGGTGGAGAAAGGGAATGGATTTCTGTTGCTTGAAATTCCTTGCGACAGTATTTGTTTGCTTTAATTGGCGCTAGATTGAAGTTACCAAATTCAGATGATGATGAAACCAGTTCACACTTATTTGAAAATTGAAATTGGTGATACTTATGTTAACTTTTGATTTTTTAAAAAAACAATAAAAAATAAAATTTAAATGTAGTATTTGATGGCGATGAGCTTACTGACAATAAAGTCAATTCTCACTTCCTTCAGCATACCCAATGGTAATATTAAACAAATGGTAACATTAACAATTTTAGAAATGGTTAGAAATATGTACAGTTCTGTAGCATGTGTGTGAAGTTGTACATTAGCCTTGCACACATAGGCACTCTCACATGGACAGCAAGGAAAGGCAGACCATTGAACTAACTCTTTAGCCTTTAAAATGGGGCAAGTTACTAACTTTTCTGCAATTTTTATCCCCATAAGATTCTCTCATCATAGTGGAAAGAAACTAATATTTCTCAGGTTCCTATGACGTACCGCATTTTTCACTAATTTCTTTCATCTCTTTAATCCTCACAATAAGCCTATGAGATGAGTGCTATTGTGTTCATTTTAGAGATGAGGAAAGTAAGTCTTGAAGAGGTTAGAGTACCCAAAATCATATAGCCAAGATTTGAAGCCATGCTTGACCAGATCTAAGGTGTGTTACATTTTGTAATAATGATGATTGTACTTGACCCCAAGCCTCCTTTTTTTAGCCCCCTATAACCATGACTTGATAATAGCTAAAAAATTGTATTGAGTAGCCTTAAGAGGAGCTATTTGGTACATATTCACATGTGGGATGTGTGTGTGTGTGCACATGTGTGTGTATGTGCATAACCCTCAAACTGATATTAAGATAATGTTACTAAATCACTACCTAATTGGAGATAGAAAAACTAAAGTTCACAAAGAGTGCCTGCACTTTAATGTGGAGGTTTGACCACATATGTATATTCTTTCTCATGATTCATTTGAAATTATGTCTGTATGATAAACTAATAAAGTTAATCCAAAAAGACAAAGAGAGCATGAATCTTTTTGAGATATCAACAGGCTTCAGCAAATAATAGAACACATGAAGTGATACAAGATTGGCAAGAAAGAACAGAGACACTTTTGTGCCCTCAAAGTAGTGTAGCAGTAGAACACTTGAGAGATTTCTTCAGGACTTAGAAGAACCAGATATCATAGAAGACAGAAGAGACAAAAACAGCAGATTGGTTTAAAATTGTATATGAAATATATGAAGTAGCTGAACCCCCTTTTTCACCCTGGAAAGCTAAGTGACAAGTCTCCAACCCAGGATAAAAGCCATAATTTATCTTTGGAGAAAGACTTGGGACTCTAGACAAAGCATAGGACAAAAATGGGCATTTTATTAAAACAGGGGATTATGCCTGCCAGATGGTGAGTCTACAGCCCCTTTCTCTGCCCTGCTTCTAGAATGTAGCAACCAAACAAGAGATTTTTATAAATATCAATCCACCTCTGAGAAGGTATCTCCAGTTATTGACTCTACAGTGGATCCCACCGTTTACAAATGCTGTGTATATACATGGTGCTTTTAACTGTATTTTTAGTAAAAAAATATTTTATGTTTTAAATATGATTGAAAACCAAGGATCACCAGACTTTGGAAAATGCCTCTCATAGCAAGGAGAGAAGAAAATAGAGATAATGTGAGACTCAAAAGAAAACTTAAAGTATAATTAATTTCCTCAGAGAGTTAAAGATGACATAAGAACAAGAATAGGAAGCACTGAATTAGAAGTGGTCAGAAGACAAGGAAGAGCACCTGGAAATTAATAATATAATAGGTGACAGATTCAATTAAAGAGCTAGAAGATAATACAAAAGTGAAATCATTTGCTGTTTTCAATTTTATGTGTAAACATTAAGTTGATTAAAAGATCAGTTGTCTAGTGCTGTGAAAACTTTTAAAACAGAAAAAGGAGGAGTCAAAATTGAATAGGGGGAGATAACCAAGATAGATACTGAATCAGGATGTTTACATTTTGGCTTAGGAGACTCAATTTTCAGCATAGTGGAATAAGGCACTCCCAAACTCTACACCTCCATAAAAGTAACAAGAACATTGACAAAAACTTAAAAAAAACTTCTTCAGAATTCTGGAAATTAAATAAAGGCTCACAACAGTCTGAGGAGTGTTTATTTGAGAAAAAAAACAAGTGACTCTCAGGAAGAACAGCAAGACTTGTGGAATTTTAACTTGCCCTAATTCCATTCTCCTTTCATCAGTGCTACAGTAACCTTGCACACCAACAATCTTTATTTGTGGCATCTTTGAAAGCCAGCATGGTAGCAGCCACTGGAGAGGATAGAACAGGTTTGGAGCACCTTAAAAACCCCATCCCAGAGAATTGCTATTATTTGACCTGTCCAACAGCATGCTAAAAAGCTCCATTCTCAGGGCTTGTCTTTATTTGACTTAGATTCAGAACTTGGCCTGTGTGAACAGCACTATCCACAGAGCATTTGTCAAAAACAGCCAGTGGTAATTGCTCACCATCATGGCTGCCCAAGGCTCCATTACCAGGTAGTGCCAACAAGAGGCTGACCAAAAAATACAAAAGGAAAATCTGGGGGAATGAGATAGCTACAGTGGGTTTTATAAAGCTCCTACATACACCAGGAATCTAGAGGGCCACATAGATATCCAGGGCTTTGTAAGAGCTGAGAAAACCTGAAGATCTCACTTCCAGCTGACCTTGAGGCTGTGTGCAAGAAGGAAGTGAAGAATGAAACAGAGTTATATGGCTTGATGGAGTATTGAATGCATGCCCCAACATACACACACACAGGCTGAAAGATTTACTGATTCACAGCATTTAAGGAAATCTGTCATGTCATTAGTGGACCACGAAGTGGCTTCATGTATAAGGGACCTTCAATAAAATTAACTGACTGACTTCTCATCAGAAACCACAGAAGCCAGAAGGTAATTGAATAACATATTCAAACTGTTGAAACAAAAAGATTGTCAATCCAGAATTCTATATCCAGCAATATTATCCTTCAAAACTGAAGGAGAAATTAAGACATTTCCAGAGAAAACAAAATATAAGAGAAACACCTGCCATACAGAAAATACTACAAAGAATTCTTCAGGCTGAAATGAAAGGACACTAGAGAGTAACTCAAATCAGTATGAAAAAGTAAAGTGTGTAGCCAGGTGTGGTGGCTCACACCTGTAATCCCAGCACTTTGGGAGGTCAAGACAGGTAGATCACGAGGTAAGGAGATCAAGACCATCCTGGCTAACATGGTGAGACCCCATCTCTACTAAAAATACAAAAAAAAATTAGCCAGACGTGGTGGCGGGCGCCTGTAGTCCCAGCTACTCGGGAGGCTGAGGCAGGAGAATGGCATGAACCCAGGAGGCGGAGGTTGCAGTGAGCCGAGATTGCGCCACTGCACTCCAGCCTGGGTGACAGAGCGAGACTCTGTCTCAAAAAATTAAAAAAAAAATTTTTTTTTAAAAAGTGTGTTGGTAAAGATAAATATGTAGGTAAATGCAAAAGACAATAGAATGTATTTTCATTTGTAAGTCTTTTCCTCTCCCATCTGATTTGAAAGATAACTGCAAAAAGCAAGAATTATAAAACTGTGTAGATGGGCTTATAATGTATAAAGATGTAATTTGTATGACAATAGTACAAGGAAGGGGAAGAGAATAGAGCTATATTGATGCACATTTTTTGCAAACAATTGAAATTAAGGTGGTATCAATCTGAACTAGTTTTAAGTTAAAATGTTAATGGCAATCCTCAGGGCAGCCTCTAAGAAAATAACTCAAAAATGCATAGTGGAAGAAACAACAAGAGAGTTAAAATTGTACACTAGAAAAATACCTAACACAAAGAATGCAGTAATGACAGAAGATAGTAATGGCAAAACAGAGGAACAAAAAGGAAATACACACAGAAAACAAATAGCAAAATGGCAGGCATATATCCTACTTTATCAATAATTACATTAAACGTGAGTTGATTAATGCTCCAACCAAAAGGCAGAGATTGACAGAATAATTTTTTTTAAAAACAACATGATCCAACTATATATGCTGTCTACAGGAGACACACTTTGAGTCAGACACAAATAGGTTGAAAGTAAAAAGATGGAAAAATACATGTCATGCAAACAGTAAAGAAAGCTGGAATGGCTATGCTACTATCAGACAGATTAGACTGTAAGACAAAAATCATTACTGGAAACAAAAAAAGAGACATTTTATAATTATAAAAGGATTGCTCCATCAGGAAGACATAACTATAAATGTATGTGCACCTAACACCTATGCCCCAAGATACATGAAGCAAAAACTAATAGAATTGAAGGGAGAAATAGAAATTCAATGATAATAGCTGGAGGCTTCAATACCCCACTTTCAATAATGGATAGGACAACTGGACAGAAGTTCAGCAAAGAAATAGAAGACTCAAACAATACTCTATGCCAACTAGACCTCAAAGGCATCTATAGAACACTCTAAACAACAGCAGATACATGTTCTTCTCAAGTATAAATTAGACTACAAGTTGAGCCTCAATAAATTTAAAAGATTGAAATCATACAAACTTCTCCAATCACAATGGAATGATTTTTTTTTTTTTTTTTTTTTTTTTTTTTTTTTTTTTTTTTTTTTTTTTTTTGCTTTTTTTGAGACAGAGTCTCACTCTGTCACCCAGGCTGGAGTGCAGTAGCACGATCTTGGCTCACTGCAACCTCTGCCTCCCAGGTTCAAGCAATTCTTGTGCCTCAGCCACCTGAGTAGCTGGGATTACAGGCATGCACCACCACACCCAACTAATTTTTGTATGTTTAGTAGAGACAGGGTTTTGCCATGTTGGTCAGGGTGGTCTTGAACTCCTGGCCTCAAGTGATCTGCTCACCTCGGCCTCCCAAAGTGCTGGTATTATAGATGTGAGCCAACACGCCCAGCCCTGGGATGAAATCGATAATCAGTAACAAAAGGAAAATTTGGAAATTCTCAGTTCTGTGCAAATTTAAAAACACACACAGACACACCCCTAAATAAGCAATAGTTCAAAGAATAAATCACAAGAGAAATTAGAAATGAGTGAAAATGAAAACAAAAATACAACATATCAAAGCTTATGTGGTGTAGTTAAAGCAGTAGTTATAGGGAAATATACAGTTTAAATGCTTATGTTAAAAAATTATTGCATGTATATTATACCTAAATAAAGCTGATATTAATGTAGAAAGAATTGGTGGCCCATATTTTTGACTGTATAAATTTGCATACTACCATATATTTGTAGTTGATAAGTTTTCTCTGATTGTGGTATAATTCAGGAAGAATTACTAATACTTTCTTTTTTTTTGAGACGGAGTCTAGCTTTGTTGCCAGGCTGGAGTGCAGTGACACAATCTCAGCTCACTGCAACCTCCACCTCCTGGGTTCAAGCGATTCTCCTGCCTCAGCCTCCCGAGTAGCTGGGATTACAGGCACGTGCCACCACGCCCAGCTAATTTTTGTATTTTTTTTTTTTTTTTTTTTTAGTAGAGACAGGGTTTCACTATGTTACCCAGGATGGTCTCAATCTCCTGACCTCGTGATACGCCCACCTCAGCCTCCCAAAGTGCTGGGATTACAGGCGTGAGCCACTGCGCCCAGCCCTAGGAATTATTAACACTTTCAAACCACATGTAAAGTTCACTGAAAAAAAAAAAAAAACCAACATGGTTTTTAAATTGTGTTAATAAATATTAAGCTTGTAGTTAACTATATGCATGCTAAAGTAGTTAGAGAAAAGTGTACTGATGTTTGCAATTTACTTTGAAATGTAATAACAACCAGAACAAAAAATAAGATGGGTTGATAGATAAATAGATATGTGCTAAAAAACAAGTGTAATAAAATTATTTTGGTCTTTTTGTTTCCGTTTTTTGAGACAGGGCCTTGGTCTGTCACCCAGGCTGGAGAGCTAATCATAGCTCATTACAACCTCAAATTCCTGGGTTCAAGTAATAAAATGTTAATGGCAGAACCAGTTGATATGTTTATGGGTATTCACTATAAAATTCTTTCACTTTTGTTTTATGTTTGAAAAGGTTCATAATAAAATGTTGAGGAAAAAACCGTAAACTCAAAATGTCATTCTGACCCTGAACTATTTACTATTCCATAATTTACTAAGTTAACATCCTACTGATCAGAAAAAATTAATATTTTCTTTAAGGAGCCCTAGCTCTTTTCTAGGCAATACTTTCTTATACTTTGGGAACTTGATGTGTTATATTATAGGTAAACATTTTGAAAACAATCACCAGAGAGGTGTTATACAAGAGCATAATGATATTCTATGAGGAAATAGGATCTTATAACCTCAGGGTCAAAATTCCTAAGAGACTCTTCCCAGAGACTACAATTATATTATTTATATATCATATTATTATATTGTATATTATTATTTATATTATATTTTTTAGGGATTCAGATCAGCTTACTTTATGTCCCCTAATTTCTGTAGAAAAACTTGGGAAGTAGGCCACATGTAGACAAATTAATAAATTCATGCCTGCTCAAATACAGTTCATTTTTCCATCCTGCCATTTTCCAGCACTGTATTACTTCTACAGATCTTGCTCTTCTATTATGAGAAGGCAGTTTAGATGCCGCTAAACTCATTCTCTGCTCTGCCCGCATAATCCTGCAAAGCTGCTGGTGTTGAGGCTTCAGTGTTCCATGCAGAGTGATTTTCCAAGTGATGAAGCAGATTCTAATCAGTCTAAGATCCAACTACAGACTGGGAGTTGGACCTCTGCCACCTTTCCCTCCAGCTCTCGCAACACAATGGGGAATTCCTGTGAGGATCACTGGGTACACTTCAAGCTCCCCTGATCCTATGGCCTCATTCCAGTCACAGATCTTCCTGTCTGGAGCATTTCCGGCCCTTCTGTCCTTTGGCTTGGAGAGTTCAGCTCAACCTGGGAAGGGACAGAAGACTTTGGGGTTATCAAAAGCCTGTTGAATTATCTGATGCAAGACTAACTGGTTTGTTTGCCTCCCTGGCTCTCTTCCTGAGCTTCAAAGCAGCTGAGAAAACAACTTTTTTCTAAGTCTTGGACAAGGAGGAAAACCCTGGCATGAAGGATTTCTGTCGCAGACACTTGGCATAGCTAGAGGAAAGGTTTGTTTAACTTACCAATGGGTTTTATTAGCCTAGGACTCCAGTTGAAGTGAGATAATAGGGTCCCTGTAGAAGGACATTTCAGTCAGTGGGCTTCCTCCCTAATTTCTCGACAGGACCCTTGCATGCAGATGAAAAGCATCAGACACATTCAACAAGGAAATCCCCACTGAATTTATCAACGACCACGTAATCTTGCTGATCATGAGGGAGACTGAGACAGGATTAAAAAACTAGCAGGACAGGAAATTGTGTATGGATGCAAAGTCATATTGGGGAGCTATCTACTTCAATTGCTTCTTGCTGAACTTCTCTTTGCTGAACGTATTACATTGTCTCTGGGCCCCACATCTTATAGCAGATAGCAGGGATAGAAAGAAAGCCAGTCCTACCACCTGTCCTTACAGGAAGAAACTCTTCTGCTTATACTTTTCCTCTGCCAGGTCATTTCACTCTTCCTTTCACCTCCCAACCAATGTGAGATTTGGGGTTGGGGTGGGAAGGGGAAGGAAATAGAAGAGAGGAAGA
Source organism: Homo sapiens (assembly GCF_000001405.40). Taxonomy (NCBI): domain Eukaryota; kingdom Metazoa; phylum Chordata; class Mammalia; order Primates; family Hominidae; genus Homo; species Homo sapiens. Next base: position 68,459,955 of record NC_000014.9, read on the forward strand.
ATTCATGACTGGTGTACAGGAAGCCTTCCTGGCACAGGAATTAGAGAAGAGAAAGTAGAAGAATCAGTGCCAGCTTACCCTCAGCCTCATGGCCGCCTATTCATGTCTGCTTTCCTGGGCCACATAGGCAAAACTCACTTTTTCCTAAGGTTGGGGCTGTATTGCAGGAACTCATGTAAACTGCCAGGACCAGAAGTCTATAAAAGCAGCCTCCAGGCCGGGCACAGTGGCTCACACCTATAATCCCAGCACTTTGGGAGGCTGAAGCAGGTGGATCACCTGAGGTCAGGAGTTCGAGACCAGCCTGGCCAACATGGTGAAATCTGGTCTCTACTAAAAATACAAAAAATTAGCTGGGTGTGGTGGCAGGTGCCTGTAATCCCAGCTACTCGGGAGGCTGAGGCAGGAGAATCACCTGAACCTGTGAGGCGGAGGTTGCAGTGAGCCAAGATCACACCACTGCACTCCAACCTGAGCAACAAGAGCAAGACTCCATCTCAAAAAAACAAACAAACAAAAGCAGCCTCCAGGGTAGCCTGTGCCCAAGGTTCCTGACATCTCTGTGCTGCCTGCTCCACACTGGCCTTCCTAGCCACCCATGGAGAAGGACTGGGCTGGGTTGCCTCAGATGAGGGCCACACCTATACTTTAAAAAGGAGGACCCAGACACTATCCCTAGAAGGTGTCGCCATCCTGGAGAAGGCCTGGGGTGACTATGCCCAGCACTTTCTGTTCTGTGGCTCCTTTTCCACTTTCTGAGCCTCTTGGAAGTGGGATCAGGCCAGGAAAAACATGTGATGCTATAGCAAGCTGAAACCAAAGACTTGACTTTGGGCCTGGCCAAGCCAAGAATCTTGGCAGTGATTGACTGGGAAGCCTGCTGTTTTCTATGGCATTTTCTGAGTCCCCTAACTCTGGGAAGAGGGAACCAGATAAGTCCTAAAAATGGATATGAATCAGTAGAGCTTCTGTGGGTCATCAATTTGTGCATTTATTCACTCATTCATTCTTGTATTTCATAATGAAGCTTCTCTTACGTATATAGCACCACACTAGAGGTTTGTGGGACCAGAAGGAGCAGCAACAACAAGAATGGGTCAAATAGATTATGTTAAATTGAGGTAACATTAACCATAAAACAGTAAAGAAAACTAATAATTAGAGAGTACAGATAAAGTATGAAGAGATTAGAGAGAGATGACTTTAGGCTGGAGAAATCGGCTGAAGCTTCTGGAAGAGGTGACATTTGTATTTAGACTTTCAGGGATGAAGGGCAGAATGAAGACTGCCAGTGTGGAAGCTTGCGAACAGCTGAGGCAGCCCGCACGGATACCCTGTCCAGCTCCCTTCTTTGTCTTGAATCATGCAATATCCATGCAGGGAAAAAAAAAAAAAAAAAAAGCCCTTATTTGCTGTTATGTATCCTGCCTCATTTAATGTATTATCCCAGAAAAGTAGATTGAGTTGTATGTGGCAGATTGGGAGCTGCCATCATGGTGGTTAAAAGTACAGACCAGGTAGTACAGAACCAGGTAGCCTGGGTTGGAACCCAGCTTCAGTACTTATAAGCTACCTACCTTTGAGGATTATTGTGAAGATTAACGTCCATTGGTTGTTGTTGTTCTCATCAGCATTATTACTGTAGGAACCCTGGAAGTCTCCCCTACCCACCCAAGTCCTATTGCACTTTCTATCATGACAGACCATTTCTCTTTTTTGAGAGTCTTATATTACAATGCAGACACACCTGAGAGGGCTAATGCGTGAAGGTTTACCAGCCCTCACTTTAGGGGTAGAGATAATTAGCTGACAGCTTATTTACTAAGAGCAAAATAGAAACCTGGGGAGAGGGACATAAAAGAAGGAGGAGAGAGTTTACAAGGAGAAGCCCATGGGCCCCAATGGCCAATTTTCCTTCCACGCTTTATTTAGAGTACATAGGCCTCTGTGTTTCTACTTGTCATTGGAGAGAAACCTCCACACACCAGCATAGGGATGAAGTGAAGAACAGTGAGGAAGATGCCTGCCCATCATTCTAGGAGCCCTCAGCTGAAAAGCACCGTATTGGGCCCTAGAGAAGGGAACAGAGTGAGATTACAGAAAATGCCCCAGATCTGCTGAGTCCCACTGAAAATTCAGAGCTTGCCTCTAAAAAATAAACTGAGGTAGAAACAGGTAGCAGTATTTTAATAAGTGCACATTTACAGAGTGTAAATTGAATCTGCCTGGCCCAGAGTGTGGTACTCAATAAATGTTTGTTGATGGATGGATTGAATGCCCTAGAGTGAGGAGCACGTAGTGGAATGTCACAGTGGAAAAAGCCCAAAGGCTTCCCTGTATTGTCTGTCTTCTGCCACCAGAATGTCAGCTCTATGAGATCAAGGACCTCTCTGTCTTATTCCCTGCTCTATCCCCTGCACCTACAACAGTGCCAAGCACAAAGAAAAGAGCCCAGTAAATATTTGTGGATTGAATAAGTGCATGGATGGGTGGGTGGATGGCACAAATAACGAAAATTGCTTCCAGATGGTAGTGGGATTGGGGATCCAGCATCGAGTACATATTGGATATACCTTAAATGTTCCTCCAAAGAATTGATGGATAGTTGGATCAATTAATCAAAACAGAGTCTCACGATGTTGCCCAGGCTGGTCTCAAACTCCTGGCCTCCAGCAGTCCTCCTGCCTCAACTTCCCAAAGTGCTGAGATTACAGGCCCGACACCTCCAAAGAATTTTAAAATATGGGTGACCACTTTCCTTGCAAGGATAGGTAAAGAGAGGAGAAAGTGTATTTGTTAGAGTGCAGTTAAAGCCAAGCTGGTCTGATATGAAGGAAATATTCAAGAAGAAACAATTTGGCTATTTGTGGGAGATGGGATTAACTGCCCACATACCACATACCTACCACAAGGAGCCCCAGGCTTTCTGAGCCACATATATCTACACTCATTCTTGCTCAGTTACATATTTCTTTGAACCCTCAGACTTCCAAAGCCAACTTTCACACATTGCACACAGGTTTGAGTGCGATCAGAATTTTTCACTAGGGCCCTGTTGTTTTATTAAGTACCTAGGCCTCCCTGCAGGGCACCATGTATTGAAGAAGATAGAATGATACTTGAAAACCACCTAAGTCAGACAATGATTAGAACTCCCCAGATTTATGGGATGGATGAACATCTGAACCAGCACAGCCTAAATTACCTGCTGGGGGGTTGTCTGCTTTGGAAGAGGATAGTTTATAGTTTGAATGGCAGAAGGGTCATGGGGCATTAATTCAGATCAAAAAAAGGGAGGAATCTATATGTATCCACAAAGATACATGGCAAGCATCACTTTTTTTCCTGAAATATATTGGGCTAGAAAGCTAATTTACACTTCCCCTCACTAGTATATAATACTATAGAATCTTCAGGTTAGAAAACTCAAAAGCAATGTGCATCTTCATATAGTATATACTACTAGCATATAATATTACAGAATCTTCAGGTTAGAAAACTCATAGTGAAAGCAATATACATCTTAATATAGTATATGCTAGTATATAATATTACAGAATCTTCAGGTTAGAAAACTCATAGTGAAAGCAATATGCATCTTCACATAATATGTACTAGTGTATAATACTAGCATATGACAGAATCTTCAGGTTAGAAAACTCATAGTAAAAGCAATATGCATCTTCACATAGTATATACTAGTATATAATATTATAGAATCTTCAGGTTAGAAAACCCATAGAAAAGCAATATGAATTTTCACTCCAGTCCTCTTACCATGATGTTTGCATTGAAGTGTTTGTGGTCATTGATTGCTTTGGGCCTCTAACCACCTTCTTGTTTGTCATTTTTTCTTTTGGAATTTGGGCCCCAGTCCAAACACATTGCATCAGGCATGGTTTCCTGGGTGAGGAGGAGAGCAGGACTATCACCTCCCTTGTTCCACATACTATATCTCCATTGATATAACCTGAGAACTTGCTAGATTTTTGAAAATTACATCTCACAGCTGACTAATATTGAACTATAGTTAACCAACATTCCATTTTCTGAATGCTGAATCTCATTCTGGCTGTTCCATAATGAATCATTGGTGCTCTGTTCTCAAGGACAAGGCATTTCATTTAGTTCAATAAAATTGCATCCCAAACAATGTGTAGGATTTGTTCCAACATTCTAACCAAATTGAGATTTGTTTTGATATCATGTTTATCTGATCTAATATATGACCTCTTTCTCTAAATTTTTTGTCTTCTGTTACCTTCCCATCAATTCAGCATCTCATCATTGGGTTTAGTTACATGATTCACAAGTCCAAATGTCACCTCTTCAGTGAGATCTCATGATACTCTATTCAAAATTGATGCCCCCACCTCCAATCCAGTACACTTCCTGTATTCTTTATCTGCTCTTTTCATCCATTGCACATATACTCATTGAACATAACATATTTTATTTATTTTGTACTTCTTATCTTTCTTTAGAATGTAAGCTCTATTAGAGGAGCAGTTTTTGTCAGTTCTGTTCCCTGCTAGATTTCATATTTGTTGTATGGGTGTAATTGAATACATCAGCAATCTTATTCAAGTCAGTAAGACCAAGCTAGAATTCTGTACATTCTACTAGAGGTTGCTGCCCCTCACCAGGTTACTACTGACCTTTTGGTCACTCACAAGTCCACTTAATGGTATTAGCACCCAGCTCAACTTATCTTCACTTTATCCAGAAGGCTATCAAGAGAGTTTGTCACATTTTTTGCTGAAATCAGATATTTTTTATTGGTGCTAGCCCTCTGATCTATCACTCTGGAAGTTCTTTTCCAAAGAAAGGAAATGGAATTCATCTGACATAACTTATCACTTCCTTTTTTCTGACTGCACACAGATCATCCTTTTGATGACTCATTATAAATCCTGCTCCAGAAGGACAGTGCATTAATCAGTGACCTGTCCGAACTCTTTGATTTCCGGCAGAGAGGTCCCTCCAGGTGTGAGATCCTTTTGGCTGGGGTTCAGGGCTTGCTCATAGACTGGCTATTAGAAGGTGGAGTTAGCACCACAGAGTTGGAAGGCTTAGGCTCAGATGCCATTCTTGTGTCTCATTGAAATATTACATTCTTTTTTTCTGGGTCTCAGTTTCTGCAGTGCATAAAATAAAAAGGGTAATATTTTTAAAAATATAGCATGATACTTTATTTATTGCTATTTACACCCTTTTGGTTTCATGTCTAGTTGCTACATACAGACAACAAAGATCTGAGATTTTTTTATATGTTTAGTTTATTTTTACTGCTATTTGATCTAAAGGATTTACGTTTATCTTATCCATTTCCTTTTTTACCACTCTTTCTGGCACAGCTATAGTTTAGGCCCTTATCATCTCATCACTGAATTATTGGAGTTGCTTCCTAACTGGCCCCACATCTCCCATCTCTTGCTTCTCCATCTTAGACTCTTCAATCAGGCTAATTGCCTAGAACCTGGCTACTCAAAATGTAGTCTATGAACCACAGCATCATCGTCTCTTGGGAGCCTGTTAGAAATGCAGACTCTCTCAGGCTCCACTCAAAACCTAAAGAATCAGAATATGTAGGTCAACAGGACCCATAGGTGATGCAAACCCACATTAAAATCGAGAACCACTGTTTTTTCTTCTACCATGCCATTCCCCTTCTAAGGGATATCCTTAAAATTCACATTGAACCGGGCCAGGCGTGGTGGCTCACACCTGTAATCCCAGCACTTTGGGAGGCCAGGGCAGGCGGATCACGAGGTCAGGAGATTGAGACCATCCTGGCTAACACAGTAAAACCCCGTCTCCACTAAAAATATAAAAAATTAGCTGGGTGTGGTGGTGGGTGCCTGTAGTCCCAGCTACTCAGGAGGCTGAGGCAGGAGAATGGTGTGAACCCAGGAGGTGGAGCTTGCAGTGAGCCGAGATTGCGCCACTGCACTCCAGCCTGGGTGACAGAGCTAGACTCTGTCTCAAAAAAAAAAAAAATAAATAAATAAATAAATAAATAAATAAATAAATAAATAAATTCACATTGAACCATCTCCGAACTGTCTCAGGCAGAAAGCAATCTACCTTAATTTTCAAATGAGATATTTTTGACATGAAAGTGTAAATTCCCACCTATACTTTCTTCTCATTGGTTCTGAGAATGATGAATTAGTGTATCTAAATAACTTTAGAACATTTGTAAAAATTACTGCAACTCAACTGGAGACTTTCTTCTGGTAGGAGCCAAGTATATTGTTATTTGGTGAGTGAGGGTTAAGGGAACCATATGTGATGGGTTAGTTGGAAATGTTCCTATTATTTATTGTGAACTTATTTTGTGTTTGACACAGTGACAGGTATTTTGTATACTTAATTTAATCCTCATAATAATGCCACTTAGGAAGGTGTTTTTATCACCATTTTACAGGTGGGGAAACTGAGACTTAACAAGTTTAGGTTGTCCAGAGTCACAGTTTTGGTTAGAATTCAGGCTGCACTGTAGCATCAAAGATGTCAAAATACAGTGGTTGAGCCAAGTGGCTCTGCCCTGAGAGGACTGGTGACCCCGAGTGGGAGACACTGATGCTCTCTGAAGCCACCCAGCTTCCCTCTCTCATGCTGCCTTGTCATCCCCAGAGTGTTGTCCACACCCATTTGCTTGGATCTGGTTCCTGCCTTGGGAAGAGCGAAAGAGAAAGTGGAGGGCACGCAGTTTTCTTATGAAAACATAATCCAGAATTTCTACCTATCATTTGTACTCACATTCTGCTAGTCAAAGCTTGGTCACATAGCCACACCTACTTGCAAAAGAAGCAGAGAAATGTGGAAACTTGGGGAGTTATTTACTAAAGGGAAGAAGGGGAATGGCTGCTAGAGGAAAATTGTAGGCTCTGCCATAGGCTCCTAGCCAATCAGTGGAAGAGCTAGATTCCAAGCCTATGACTAAAACCTGTGATCTTTTCATCACATTTTCCCACCACTTCTCATAGTTGACAGCAAATATTTGTTGAATTAAGATAGGCCAAGATATTATATATAAGCCTTTTGATCATTTGAAATTGTTTCTTCCTTCTCTCTTGCCTCCCTGATTACCTACACGGTTCAGTGTTCAAACTGTCTTTGTTTCTGATAATGTTTTAATGTGTAAAACAGGAAACTGATAATTAATCTTCTTCAGTAGAAATACTATAATAAAATAATCTACTAATTATTAGAGGTTCTGTAGAACCATATGAGATGTGATAATGGCTTAATGATACTGATTTTTTTAAATGATCAAATAACCATCTCCTTTAAAATAAGTGTTGTCTTAGGAAAATGCCATTGCTGAAAACATTTTTTGATATTTTGGCTGGTATATCAGTTAACTCTTGCTGCACGCACTAATGCTTCATGACTCCACTACCAAAATCTCAGAGGCACACAGTGATATTTAACTTGTGTATCTGTGGGTCTCTAGGGGTCAACTCTTTAGCCTGAGCCTTCCTGGCCAACTCTGTTTCAGGTATCTATTGCCCTTCTTCTGAGATAGCAGACTAGCATGGACATATTTTTCTCTGACAATGGCACAAACGTTAAGAGAACAACTAGAAATACTTGAGGCTTTTTGAGGCCTCGGCTGGGAACTGGCACAACCTATGTCATGCCACCTGGCAAGTCATATGCCCAAACCCACAATCAAGGGCCATGGGAAATGCTCTACACCTTAAGTAATAGAAAATGTAGTCACGTAGTAGAGGGTTTGGTGAAGGACCAGGGCCAACAAAGAAACCTTCAATTGCTTTGCCTTTCGCAAGTTATTTTGAATATTTGCAGTGATAGTAAATCTTTTAAAGGTAGCTTTGAATTTTTTTAGTAAAACAGCTAAGTTTATAAATAAAATTAGAGAATCAAGCTAGGTTTATTTTTGGGCAGAAAGGTAGCTATTTAAGCATGTGTTATAAAATAATGAGACTTATTTCTAGAAGAATTGATTCAAGAATATGGCATTTGATGACAGAATAGTTGGAATAAGCATACAGCCTTTTAAGGTGACCACTTTGAAAGGATAACACTCATTTAAACATTGGGTTATAAAATGGTTTTTTTTTTTTTAAATAAGCCTTGTGACTTACAGTCCTATGTTACCACTTTGTCTCAAAGTGGGAAGGGGAGTGAATAGAGGCCCATCCCTGATCCTTTGACTAACCCTAGAAAAATGTGCTTTATGTGCAGATTCTTATTGCCAAGTCCCCTCTGGCTCCCTTCACCTCATTTGTCTACACCATCAAGGAGGAAGGCCTGGTTCTTCAAGGTAAGATCCTTGGATTAAGCCATTTCTTTAAGCTTATGCTCAGTGCTGCCCATTGCTAGTGGTAATTAGTGCTATGGTTCTGATAGAAGCTAGCTCCAGACAGAATCAAAAACCAAGATGCATTGGCCAGTGATATTTACCCTAGTGAGAGCAAGAGAGCGGCAGTTGTGGCAAGAATTTGACAGAGAAGATTGAGGTAGGGCCGAAGGAGACCTACAGAATTTCCTAACAGAATGAGACAATCAAAACATGAGGATCAAACCAAGAAAGCTCGGAATTGCTACCACCCCATTCCTCTTTGCAGATCCTATGGCATGAAGTGGGCAATGATTCTGACACCAGTGTGGAGGTGAGGAGCCAGTGCTGCCCCAGAGCCTTCTTGCTTAACAAGCTAAAGAACCATCTGGGTTGGCAGCCTCTGGGGCACAATGTCATGGCTCCATGAGCCCTACTTCCCTGACTCCTTCTGGTTATCTTGTTTCCTTTTCCTGTCCTGTCCTGACATGGTCTTCCTGCTGGGGACCAGACCTTTAGGACCTGCACCTTGTGACGTGAGCCCAGGACTTAGAAGGAGCTGAGTTCTTGCTTAGGGTATAGCACCCTGAGGCCACATCCTGGAACTCACTGATCTACAATGGTGATTCATTCTCAGATGCTAGATACGCCAGTGGTTAGGAAAGGCACCCGATTACAGGTCTTTCCAGAAAGCAATTAACATGAAGGGGTAAATTCCAGCACTGTTAGAAGAGTCAGCCCACAATGTCAGATGTACAAAACTGCTTTGTGGATGAGGAAGGATCTGCACAGAAGTGCTCAGGATATACATCTGTCCTCTGCTGTGGGGCAGGAGACCCCAACCACAGAGATGCTTAGGTGAATATCTGGCCTGACCCTAGAGGAGCATATTGTCACTGCTGTCCATGGGAGAAGTCCTGCCCTGAAGGATTTATAAGTTAAATATTTTTCCCAGGTTTATGAAACAGGGCAGTCCCTGTAATTTCCCCATGGAGACACAATGCAGTGCAAAGACCTAGCAGGGAATATGCAGGGCAGGCTGGAGAGTTCATGCTTCTAACTAAGGAACAGGCTGCAGCCTTCCCTTTCCTTCCCCTTCTAAAATGTCTGCTTCTTAATGGACTCACAAAGCGGCATGTTTGTTTGGTGCAGCTGAGCTCCACAGCGGGGACTCTCAGGTCCACGAAATTTGGGGTGAGAACTACGACCTTTGGCTCTTAGCCTTTGACTTATGCTATCCAAGTTCCTTGGTAAATATTTTTTTTTACAATTGCAAATAGTGTTTTCTGACAAAGGAGCAGAGATTTTAACACCAGATTAAGCAAAGCAAACAGCAGGCCTCTTTGTTACATACTCTCTACGGGTGTATAACTAATAAGCAATCAGAAAGCTGGACTTTTATTTACCCAGTACACAGGGTGGCATTCAGCTCTTCATTTTTAGAGGCCTTCTTAAAAGATTAGAAGTATAGTAAGTAGCAAATTTCGTTGAAGATTTCAAGAAATTCTATGGAAGATTACAAGACAATTTCAGGAGGAAAAAAGTTTGTTCTGCTCAGATGACGTGTGTGAAGAGGCTTGATGTGATACACGCACCCTGATCACTAGGCATTTTGTTAAATAGCATTTCTAAGCCCGGTCAAATCTGGATAACTTTTGGGATAACATTTGTGAGAAGAAGAGTCACTGAGTTGCCTCTCTGATGTTCATTGCTAAGATCATGATTTTAAGAGGGAAGAGAAAGTTATTTAGAGAAAGTAGAGCCTGGAAATACAATGAATTGGTAGAGTTTAAAAAACTGCAAGGAATGACTTTTCGAAAAAGTTGGAAAACAGGGGAGAAAGTGGATCACTAAAGGAGGCTGACCTGGAGCTGTGTCCAGGAAAGAGAAAAATTCAGGAAAATGTCTTATAATTCAAGAACAACAACCAGTAAATAAAATGCTTGGTTAGGAGACCTCAGAACCTCACCTGGTTGCTTTCTAAGTTGTTTTCTCTATCCCACTCCCCCAAGCTACACATCCCTCTCTGAGGTTTCCCAGAAGCAGTGGAACACCTCTGCTTTTACCAGCAATGCCCTTGAAAACAAACCTCTTGGCACACTCTGCCTTCTTGCTGTGTGCTCCCAAAGACTTTGGGAAAACAAAAAATGCAGGTCCCCAGAAAATGCAGGCCCCTCATTTACTAGAAAGAACCTTTGGATTTTACCTTCAGCTTTGGTATGATCTTGAGAAAATCTCTGGGCCTTGCTTTTGTCAGCTGGAAAATGAAAACATTAACCTTGATTCAAGACTTTGAAAACTGTCGCAACCCATTGGTGGGTCATGAAGTGAAATTGATGAATCACAACCAGCATTTGAAAACAGAGAGAGAGAGAAGACAGAAGAAAGAGTGAAGAAAAAATATCAGATTATATCACACATATTGTTTCATTTCATAAAATATTTCTTGTGTGATTGTGTGTTTGTGAATGTCCACATACATTATGAGTTTGTGTGGGGGCTGCAGCATAAAACGTTTTTCTTACGTGGATTGTTGTAACCATCCTGCGGGATCTCTAACAGCCTTGTCACATCAGCTTTGTCCGATCCTCCTAGGAGAGGATGTACTCATCATTCCCTTAGCTCAGCCCAGTTGTACCCTTGAGATCTCCACATACTGCAACATCAAAGCTAATTTTTCCCCCTTCTTACCACATGACCAAACTAAAAGACACCTGCATGATTCCCCAGGTTTAAAGCAAAGAAACCCTTGGTCCCTGGGTGGAAAACTTGGAAAGGTACCATCAGTCAAGGCCAAGTAGCTTTTCTTACATGAGGAGCTGCACTGGCAGGTGAGCCCCGAGTTGGTGTGGAGGTTGGCACCTGGAGCTCTGGGTGGGATGTGCAGCCCATGTCCAGGGACTTAGAGACAGACAGGGCAGCTCCTGTGCTGCCAACTAGAAGGGAGGCCGCCAGCCACTGTGGCCGACATTCGGTCTTCAATAGAGCCACCTGGATGGTGGAAACAAGCCAACCACACCAGCTACCCGTGGGGGTAGGGAATGATCCCTCAGTGCCTTTTATCCCTTGGCAAGCCCCAAGATGCCTACTGGCCTGCTAGCCCGGAGATTTTATAATACCTGAAGAACTCCTGAGTGCTCAAGCAGAGGGAGGGAATAAAAGGTGAGGGCAGAATTCGATTTACCAGCTCCACAGGCCATTTCCCTCACCGGTTCTCAAGGATTAGGATGCTGAGAACAGTCAGCAACTGGGGGACTTCTACCCTTCCCTCCCCTTTGTTCACTGGGATGGGAAGGACAATAAAGCGGCAGGCTGGAGAGACTGAGGGGCTGGTTAGAGATTTCTCAGGCTGCTTTTTGAAACTCTTGAAGGAGCCGGTCCATGCTATTGTTGTAGTAAAATAGAAAGCGGAACTATTCTCCTTTTGCAAAAAAAAAAAAAAGGAAGAAAAAAAGTAAATGAAAGAACCCCCCTCCTCCCAGCATCTTCAGGAGGCCTCAACTCAGGCCATTAACATGGTAATACCATCCTGTTTGCATCTCCTTTGTCTGTCCAGCGTTTGTCTGGGATCCTGGCCTCTGGATGCTGGAAATACTTAGGCCCCAAAGGAGAGGGAGCTCACAGCCACCAGTTTCCTGAGGGTTTGGACTCTGAGATCCCAGGCAGAGAGAGAGTTGAGCCTCTCTGTGCAATGAAGTGGGAAATGTTGGGGTAGGAGGGGATCTCATGAATCCATTTTTCCTTTGGTCCCCAGAGTTCACCATGCAAGTCTCAGTGCCCACTAAGTGAAAAAGCTCAGCAGTTTGGCTAGCCTCTTAGAGTGATGCTCAAGTGTGCTGGGGCCTAGTGGAGAGGTAAGAGCAGGAGTTGGTTCTGGGAATCAGCTTTAATGGTGTGTGCCCACAGAAGCATCTGGCAGCAGAAAGGAAAGGGAGTTTACAGTGAGCTCCAGGTTGACCCACCTCTCCTCTGGTCATGTCCTTTGTTCCCTTAGCAAGCCCCGAATGTTGTGCCACCCAGAACACAGCTGGGACTCAAGGCCAAGAATAAAGATTCTGTCATTGAAAGCAGCTGGGCTGTGTTGCTGGCGCTGCAGGAGGCCTAGAGGAAAACCCAGGTCCCAGCTCTCCGGGAGCCCTCCTAGTTTTCAGGGGCTCATAGGCACAAACACCTGCGGACTTGGTGAAACAGAACCTAAGGAAGGGGAGGTCCAGGGGAATGAAGGGTTGATCTAGCACAGCCTCCCCGTTACTCCTTTCCTCAGGGATCTGGGGAGGATTTGTAAAAGAAAAGCCAGGTTGTTTGGAACAGGACAGAAGATAGTGGCTTAGTTCCTCAGTAAGACAGAAGTGTGTTTTTTATATCATTTTTGCAAAATCAAAGTCAGGTATGACAGGTTTAATTTGGATCCTGGGGCTGTCGTCTATTAGTGTAGGTTTGAATGAGCGGGAGCTGGGGAGACCAGGGCACCCTGAGACAGGTCCGGAGAAGGTGCTGGAGATGAAATTAGTTTCCCATATCTCCAACCACTTGGCATAGGGTGGCAGAAGAAAACAGAAAACAAAGCAACAGCGATCTTTTTTAGAGCTGGAAAGCTATGTGCCTCATCTTTCTTGCTTTGCTTTTGCAATCAAGAACAGTTTGATCACCTTTTGAAATGTATCAGGACAGGCATTAATCTCTTCTGTTTGTTCCCTTGTCACAAACTTGCGTTAAGTTTTCCCACCCCATTTTTTTAGTCACTGAGCCAGCTGGATGATTTATTGACAAAAATGTCCCCCCAAATACCACCACTTGAGTTCATCAGATTTCAGTTTGAATCAGTAACCTATCAAAATGTTTTATGCTGCTGGACTCAAAGTGACCCAGAAGATTCTCAATTTATTTCCATCCAGGTACAGAGGTATCTGCATGGTAAATACCACCTCCGCACCTGGCACAGCCTGGCATTCTTGTAGGAGCCTGGGCAAAGAGCCCTGGAACTCAATGGAGCAAAGAGAGTGAACTCCTCTCCCAGAGGTCATGGAGAAGAAGGCAAAGCAGGCCTGTCACATTGTCCCCAGCCTGCCAGGTGCCACTGCAGCCTCGGAAAGTTTGTCTAGGCCAAGGCGCTCTCCTTTGCTGCTTCTGCCTGCCTCTTAGTGTGGGACCTCCCAGGGAGATGAGAAAGGAGAGGAAGGACTCGTATCTGTTCAGTTCTCTTCTCCCCTGTGCACATTCACTTTACATCCCCTCCCTCCATGACATCTTCTCACACAGGCTCTCTGCTTTGTTTACTTTTTTTTTCTGGCAATCAGCCTTGAAGAGAGATTTTACAATATTTGGAAATATTTTATAATATATGAAAAAAAATTTTAAATACAGAACAGTACAGAAAATCATAAAAGAAAACAGGTGAATCTAACACCCCAAATAAATACTAAAATTTTGTCCCATTTGTTTCAGATTTTTTTTTTATTTACAGGAATGAAACTTGACAAACTTTAGGACTCCTTTGTACCTATTCCTGGTCCATTCCCTCCTTATCCCACATTCCTCCACAAAAGTGGAAACTCTCCAGAGTTTGGTCTACATCTTTCCTCTCCATTCTTAAAAACTTTTCTACATATATGTGAATCCACACATAGTATAATGATTGATTTTGAGTGCATTCTGAAATTTGCATAAATGATTTATTGTACACGATTTCACAACTTGCTTTTGTTGCTTAACACTGTTTTTGTAATATAGCCATGTGATACACAGGTCACATGATACACAGGCCACGTGATACACAGGTCACATTCTTTCACCTTAGATATCCACATCCATTCAGTGTGTGAATGTACCACATGCTACCCACTCCCCTACTTATGGAAATTTTGATTATTTGTAACAATTTTATTACCTGTGCTTCTTGATGTTTAGGTATGAGAGTTTCACTAGGTATATATAAAAAATGGAATGGCTGGTCAGAGTGTCTACACGTTTCCATTTACTATATCTTCCCAAATTGCTCTCCAAAGACTTTTACCAATTTATACTCGTTCTGGAGATAGTAGACCAATTTCTCTGCAGCCTCGTATAATCGTTAAGTTTGTTGTCATCTTTCCATAGGCAGTCTTCTCATGCCTTCTTTAGGGATGCACTGCACTCTAGCCTGAGTGACAGAGCAAAACCCCATCTCTCTCTATCTTAAAAAAATTCTTCATTTCCCTAAAGTTAACTATATAATAGTTCCCAGAAAGTGAGCTTTTAATCTCATCCATCACCCTGATTCTCACTTGAGGAAACTGAGTTCCAGAAAGGTAAAGTAATGTTCACTGCCTCAAAATTGGGTTTGTAGCCATTTCTAAGCCCTCAGCCTGGGCTCCTAAGATTTTAGAAAATCCGAAGTGGGTTTGGGCCCTCTCATCTTCCATCAGGGAAGCCCCTGTGACAACTTACCTCTCAGGCTTCATGAGCCTCTGTTGAGATACTTCAGGCCTGTCCTGAAATTTGAATCTGGAAATTCTAAGCTAAAATGGATTGGTCATACTGATACAATAATCCTTCAACGAAGTCCCTGAGTGCAGTTAGATTATAAGTTTGGCCAGGTGTAACTATAACCTAAACTAACAGTGGTATACATGATAGAGATGTACTGCTTCCTCCTGTAGTGCCGAGGAGGAATGCAGTCCAGAGCTGGTTTGGCAGCTTAGCTCTACATGTCTATCGAAGAGCCCAGGCCATTGACTTTTTGCTCTGTCACACCTAGGATGTTGCCGTTACCATGGTCCAGAATGGTTCAGCATCATGCCCTCCATCCCAGTAGCAGGATGTGCATGAGATAGAGAATGGTGGTGGGAGAGAAAGCATCCCCCATCCCTTAAGGACATTAACCAGAAGTTATACACATTATTTCTGTTTATATGATGTTGGCCAGTCTGTAAATATATGATCAGAAAGGCTAAAAATATAGTCATTAATCTGGGTGGCCATATACCCAGCTAAATTTCGGGATTTCTGTTATCATGAGAAAAGAAAATGAATATTCGGTGACACAGCCCTTTCTGAAGAGCCCAGTTGCAGAGATTAGGTGCAATAGTACAGACGTAAGGGCTGGGCTTGTTGCATAATAGAGTTATACTCTTAAAATGCAGCATAAATATTGTATGTATTGAAAAGTGCCATCAGGACCCTCTTTGGTTCCAGACTCTAAAGTAGAAGAGAAAGGGTATCACTTCACCAAGGATCAGCACCCAAAAATCTTGTTCTGCCCACCCAAAACAGAATCTCCTTCAGGAAGGAACTTTAGTATGTGTTTTGCTTTTATGCAGTATCCAGGAAAGAAACTTCAATGAGAGCTACTATTGCTTATAGCACAAGGCAGGGCATGAACTTGGGTCCAAAGTCATAGACCAAACACTTTTTTTTTTCCAAAATGTTTTTTCCTACCTCCACTTTTAAAAAAAAAATGAAACAAAATATCAGTTGAAATAACATTATTGAGAAAAACTTTATTCCAAGGCCTGGACTATAGTTAGACTGGATTTACATTTCTCTTTTAGAACCTGGAAGCCACTTGGCTATCTTTGCAGAGTTAACAATTTGCATTTGCAAAAATGGCCAGGTAACAGTACCAAAATATGTTAAATCAATTCAGGTTGTTGATTTTCTTTGAAAGTCTCTTCCAAAGAACTTCATGTTCTTTCTGGAATATGATTTAAGCTGCATTTCAGTGAGTTCAGTTCAGCAAATATTTGTTGAGCATCTATTGTTCACAAAGCATGGTGCTCAGGGGTCAAGAGATATAAGGCTGAAAAAAAAAAAAAAAAGGTCCCTTCCTTTTAGTAGCCCAGAATCTAGTTAGGAGAGATGTAGTTAAATAAGTTTAATCAAAAGCCAACTGTGATACCTATTACCAAGGTTCAAACAGTGGAATATAGAAGGATAAAGGGAATAGACTTATTCCAAGTAGGATGACTGAGGTAGGTTCTTGAGAGTACGTGGGACTTGGACTGGATTTCAGCTTGTGAATACTGACAAAAACCGCATTCCATTGTCTCTTGACAGAAGCCAATTTCTTTTGCTATTTGAGGATAGATTCAGGGACACTGGGGAATGCTGATTAGTTCCATCACTAATGCTGATTAGTAGTGAATGTTGAGTCATGCTGACTAATGTGTTCTAAATGGATTGACTCAACAATAAAGGCAACGTTGAGAGTCAAGAGTTCAGATCCTGAATTTCACCGATGAAGTGTAAATCATTTCGCCACTTAGTGCTTAATTTTTTTGTCAATTAAAATGTGCTCGTGGGTGAGAATCCAGTAAGTCATCTTGACCCATGAGGGCTTTACAAACTTCAAGGATAACAGACAGCTTAACAGCAACTACCAGGACAGGCTTATGCAACCTCAGGTTATTCATAGCTCACACAGAGTCAGAACACCCATCACATGCTGCTCGCCAGCCATGCGAAACTTCTGTTTCCTCACACATGCCATGAGAACTGACAAACAGTGCACTGAACTCACAAAACCCGACAAATAGAGGAGCTTTTGAAAAATCTTCCTATCTACCTACTGGGGTGTCTGTGTCTTTCTACAACAAATGTCGCCACAGAACTAAGGGCTTGCATTGCAGACACAGCTCTTTCTCTCTTTTGACATCTCCCCAGCTAGACTGCTTGAGAACCTGGCCTTCCATGTCCAGATGTTTACTGAATTCTGAAGCCCTCCCAGAGAGCCCAGGTTCTTTTGTTGCTCTCCAAATCATTTCCCACAGAGGCTGACCAGTGTCCTGAAGGAGCCCTTCAATAGGGAGGATAAATGAAGGCAGATGAAGACATGACCCCCTGAGGCTTGCCCACATCCACTGGAACAAAGGGTGTGAGGCACAACCTTGTAAGGAGTGTTTTGGTCAGCCGCGTCCCTATGCGAGGCCAAGTCTCCCCCACAGGGCTGCTTTCAATGGCTACCATCATAGTGGAAGTATTGGGCATTTGTTAAGGACTGTGGTGTGCTAGATATAGCACAAAACATCTAAATCATGGTCCCCTGCCTTTGTGAGGGCTTCCTGGCTACAGATGGCAGCTGGCTTTCTCAGGGGAAACTTGGGGGTCATAGAGAAAGCTGAAGAGGGGTGCTTGCTTCTGTGGATGACCTCTTCCCACCCAGTGCAGCGACACTCCCCTTTTGTCTATAGCTATCCTTAGTCAAGCCAGGGCTGCGGGACCCTAACCCACACTTCCGCTGTGTTTCTGGATCTCTGGTTTGCAAGGCCAGTGGCTCTGTGGGCAATACGTATGAAAGAGGACTGCTGTTGGAGGAAAGTTCCATTTAGGTTGCTGGTGGGAAGTTAGTGCATTTCATAACAATTTTTTTTTTTCAAACTTTCTCTTTTTTTTTTTTTTCCTTTAGGCCAAGAGAAGCCATAGGGATACTGTGACCTTTGTCTAGAGTTGATGGGGGTGTGATTTGTGAAATAAAACAGGACCGTACTGCTTGGAAGAAGGAAACGGAAGCTGACATAATGGGGATTAATTAGTTGATTGCTGTTGAGATGGTAACAGATTTGCTCCTAAACCATTGAGCTAGCGATTTCAGACCTAGCAGGGAAGGTGAAGATGAAGAAGCCTTTGTTCAGGTCTCTAGATGTGTAGGGCTGAGGGCTTTGCCGCCATGGGATGTCAACAGCCATAATAATAATTTGCACTTATATAGCACCTTTCAACCAGGCACCTCAAAGCGGTTTAACCACATTAATTAATTAAAGCCCACAATCCTCCTGGGGAGAGGAGGAGGATGACTAACAAGATTTGTAATTACAGGAGGGAACATTTCCGAATAAAGTATTGTCTACCAGATAAAAAGAGTAGGTGTAAAGGAATTGGGGTCTCCAAATAGTAACCGATTCAGAAATGAAATCATGGAATGATGTGGGAGGCTGGGGGCGGGCATGGGCAAGGGGGTCGACTCTGTGTCAGAGGGAGGTCGATGGGCTCAGAATTCACTGACAGGTTCAGATCCAGCCGAGAAGTGGAGCATGTATGGTATTAGTGGCATTTGAAGGTCATTAGTGGCATAACTATTGTAGTGTAAATTCAAGTTTTATTGGTATATTGTGTATAGCCCTGCAGAACAAAGACTGAGACTCATGCAGTATTTAATAAAGGATGAAATGATTTCTTTAGATTTAAAGCCCAAAGCTGGGCCAGTCAATTAGCAAATAAATCAATTGGTGACCCGTAGGATAATTTAGTCGTTTCCAGTAGAACACCCAGCCTACACACTCCTACTGCCATGAGGCTCTGATTGAAGCATCAGACTGGGTTCAGGGCAAGGTCTGGGGGCTTTAGCCCCTTCAAAGCCAGGCATTAAATCTTTCCAGCCTTTGGCCTTGTGACCTATCTTACCCAGGTTGTTAGTGACCTCAAGCTGTCCTCTGTAGAATCACTTTGTACCTGCTCCTCCATCAGAGATTTTTAGTGCATTGAGGGCTAGAATCAAGTCTCATCCTATTTCATGTCTCCTATGAGTGCCCAACAGAGTGCTGTGCACCAAGTAGGTGCAGATTGATGAAGATTGATGAAGAAAGACTGAGTCCTTTAACGACTCAGTATTTGTTGAGCGCATACCAAGTGCTCAGGTAAAGCTTGAAAACAAAGCTCAGTGTGTGCCTGCCCTCCAAAAATGTACTCCAAGGAATGGGAAAAGACTTACAAACTATTAACTATAATATAAAGCAGAATCACATCCAAGCCCCGGGCAGCAAGGGCAATAGGAAGAGCATCTTATTCAGCTGGAGTGAATCAGGGAAGGTATTGGTGTGCTGTGCATCGGAAGGCAAGAAGGATTTGGGTAGACCTGGAAGAGGCAGAGCAGGAAGATGTCCCAGGCTGTGACCATGTGTCTCCCTCTGAGTGAGGTACATTTTGAGAACTTGGGATGTTCAATAGAATGTTGGTGAAAACCAAGGTGAGTTTTCGTATTTAATCAGGAAATATACATTTCCTGTGGATTCTTATGACATGAATTGGTTAATTTCAGACATCAAGGGACTATTTGAGAAGTTGGAGGTAGGGTTCAGGATACAGTACTCCAAAATCCGGCACGTTGGCCTTGAAAAAACAGCAGAGGCAGGAAGGCCGTTGTCACCTTCCCCTCACCCCTCCTCTCCTGAAGCAGGTTGTAAAATGTTCATTCCTGAAGTGTTCACTCTCTACCCAGAGGAAAGGAATGTCCTTATCTCTGAAGACACAGGGACAGAGAAGAATCTGAACAAACAGGCCTTGCTAAATTTCCCCCAGTTTATTCCCATTAGATCATACTCTTTAGTCCTCCAATCATACTTCTGCCTGACTGTCTACTCTTCATCAAACTTAAGCATAAAAATACACAGATTTCCCTGGTTTGGGGGTGGTCTTTCTTCTTATTCTTCTTTTTTTTTTTTTTTTTTTTTGCCAGAGTCTCACTCTGTCTCCCAGTCTGGAGTACAGCAGTGCTATCACAGCTCACTGCAGCCTCAACCTCCCAGGCTCAAGCAATACTCCAACCTCAGCCTCCGAAGTAGCTGGGACCACAGATGGGCATCACCACACCTGGCTAATTTTTTATTTTTTGTAGAGACAGAGTCTCTACTGTGTTGCCCAGGCTGGTCTTGAACTCCTGGGCTCAAGTGATCTTCCAGGCTCAAGCCACCTTCCCAGCTCAGCCTCCTAAAGTTCTGGGATTACAGGCATGAGCCACCGCGCCCAGCCAGGTCTTCATTTCTAAAGGTTCTCATGTCACATAAAACTTACGTTAAATAAATTTTTATGCTTTTCTCTTGTAAATCTTGTTGTTGTTGCTGTTATTGTTGTTTGAGATGGAGTGTTGCTCTGTCACCCAGGTTGGAGTGCAGTGGCATGATCTTGGCCCACTGCAACCCCTGCCTCCCGGGTTCAAGCAATTCTCCTGCCTCAGCCTCCCATGTAGCCAGGATTACAGGCATGTGCCACCATGCCCGGTTAACTTTTGTACTTTTTTTTAGTAGAGATGAAGTTTCACCATGTTGGCCAGGCTGGTCTCGAACTCCTGTCCTCAGGAGATCTGCCCTCGTCGGCCTCCCAAAGTGCTGGGATTACAGGTGTGAGCCCGGCCTTCTCTTGTAAATCTGTCTTTTGTTATGGGGGCCTTGGCCATGAACCTTGCAATGCGTTCATGCAAGATATTACTTTTTCTCCCCTACAGTTTCTGGTGCCCAATATGGGGTGACTGAGACACCCCACTCATTCTGGATCTTGCAGATGAGATCCTGGGGCAACTGACAAAAAGCTGGAAAAATTAGAATTCTTATCAAAGTCAGCTCTCCCAGATCTCTGTCTGTAGTGCTTGGTCAAGAGAGACGTTAGAAATTTCTCCTTGTCCCTTCCTTCCCAAATTCAGATTATCAGGAAAAAAAAAAAAATGTCTATATTGTGACTCTCTGACTAAATCTGGCTTTAAGGTACTCGTTTGTTACTGATCCTTTCCCTCGCAGGGACTGCTGTCTCTTTCCTTGTTTTTCTCAATTTCTGTCCTGATAACTTGGTTTGATTTTCTCCCTGTTGGGGCATGCAAGCTGTCTTGAGTTCCCCAACCAACTTCAGGGGAGGGAACTCAAGAATACGGCTGGACAGAAATGTGGGTTGCACCCTATTTCCAGCTATCCTACCAAGTATTGCCAGCTCTTGGGGGGTTTATTTGTATATTTCTTTTGACTCTCTTTGGGGGTAGTTCTGGATTTGGGAGGGCTGCACTCTCTTTTGAGAACCCCTTCTTAGTCCATGGTGAAGTCATAAAAGGCTCTTTGGTTTTGGTTGAGTCACTTAGTAGGTACTTTCAGTTTAAAACAAGAAAAAGGTAAATGTATATGTTTTTCTCTTGTTAATCTGTGTTTTCTTGTAGTGCTCTCAGCCACGAACCTTGAGATAGGTGAGGAAAATATATTATTTTTCCTCCCTTACATTGAGCAAGATGCTGTCTGTTCTCTGCAACTCCTAATTGTTCTCTCTTCACCTCCATTGTCTGCCACGAAAAAAAAAATGCTACATTGTTCACACATTAAAATGGATCACTCAAAAGTGTCTGAAAAAAGCAAGAGGAAAACATATCCTAATTCCAAATGTCAAAAATTAAGTGGCTCCTCCTTGAGACTACCTTTTTGACCCCAAGAAACAATAAGAGAGTGCCCTATACCCAGTGTTTGACAAACCAATACAGTACTCTCCTGCCCAAGGCCCTCCAGGCCTTCACCACAAACCATGCTGCAGGGACAGGACGTAAGCACTGCCTCTGATATGGAGCACTTGCTGCGTGTCTGACACACACTTTACATACACAATCTTCTCTAATGCTTCCAGTAATCTTACAGGTAGAATTTTGTATTATTCCTTCTCTACAGATGAGGAACTGAAGCAGGAGAGGTTCAGTTTGTCACCAGAAAGGATGAAATGTGGATTTGAACTCAGGCAGTTCTACTCTCTTTTCTCTTTCATCCCTTGCCCTGTAATATTTCTGTTCACAACTCTTATTCATCCTAAGTTCACTAAAGTACTCAGCATAATACTACACACACAATAGTAAAGAACTCAGTGAATATTTTCTAAATAAAAGAATCACCAGGAACAATGCTAGTAGTTTGATCTTCTACTCTGAGCAGTGATGCTCAGAATATAGTAGAGGTTCCATCACTGCCTTATCATGTCACCATTTTTAAGGAGCAGAAGACATGCACAGGAAAGTTGCCCCAGGAAATGTTCACAAGAAAGAAGGACACAGGTAGCATTCTTCCCCGTGAGCTGATAATCTGCCAAGCTGGTACCACCCATGAGATTCTAGTGTGGCATTTTGTATCATTAATTACTTTTACTGAAAGTAATTACTTTTACTGAAAGTAATTAATGATGCAATTCAGAGATATTTTAGGGGTGTGTGTGTGTGTGTGTGTGTATGTGTGTGTGTATCAAAGTTCAACTTTGTCTCCCTAATCCTGCTAGCCTTCTGGCCATTCTATTAAGGTATTGCAGTCCTGGTGAAGATTCAGAAATGTGTGGTCCCCGTCAGCCTACAGGGTGAACATTTTGGATTAACCCAGAGAGCCTTGAACTCTGTGCATAATGTCTTTTAGGTTGTGTGTTGTGAACAAAGCAAAATGACTGCTCAGAGACAGGGTTGTAAAAGTTTGTCCAGCAAAACCAGGATTGCCAAATGAGAATTCTGGAAAGGGAGGATAAGGATTAGGTAATGGGAGAAAAGTGAGTGAAGGCAAGGAGAAGTGCAAAATATCTGATTCTAGCCTAAAAACTGGTCTTGGAACCATTTGGAAGGGTCATTTTTTCCATGTTTTATTTTCAATATCATCACCATCACTTTTATCCTGTGGCTGTGAAAGGACTTTCTTCATTCCACTCCAGAATTCAAAGAGGCTTCTTTTGCACAAATGGAGGGAAGGCACTCATCACACTTCTCAGCCAAACATCCTAAGTGTGAGAGAAAACACACTGCCTACTTCTGAATTTCGGTGAGGGCAGGGTTCAGATGGAACACATATTTTCCAAAACTCCAAATAGATCTGGGAGGAGAGGAAACCATTAAATCACTAGACATAAGTCAGGACACATTTGGTTTTGTTCCCTATCAAACAGTCCCCCCAAATCTCAGTGACTTGCAAAATCCATGCATGTCTGAGACTCTCCAGACAAGCTCTCCATGTGTGACTCAATATTGCACTTCAGTATTAACATGCACTGCCACAGTTGCCACAGTAGGGGAAGGGAAAGGTGGATGGGGGAGAGAGAGAAGAAAGTAAGAAAGAGAGAGAGATTGAGCACTGATAATTAAGTCCTTCCCTCAAAAAATGATATACATTCCTTCTACTCTCCTGGCCATGCAGCCACTCCTAACTTCCAGGAGGCAGGAAGGTACCACTTCCTCCATGTTCTGAAGGAAAGGGGAACTGGATATTGGTGAACACCTGTAATGTTTGGCATGCACAGCTATACCCAGTGGGCTTGCAAATGTTTCCTTCTTCCATATTCACGCTTGTATATACCTTTCCCTCAGATTACCTGGCATACATCAAAGATTTATGGGGTAGTGTTCAGGAAGACCAAACAGTTTTGCAGCCTATTTTAGTCCACAGGTGACCTTTTGAAATAGAGGGGTAGCCAAGAAAGACCAGTTAACTCTGGGTACTTTTCCCCTAGAGCTTTCAGACACAAGTAACTCTGGGAAGGGATAGTGGGTTCAAGGGAGCCATGGCCTGATTTCAATGACACATTCAAGATAGAACAACTAGTTTGAGTGACCCCAGACCATCATGCCTTGTGTGAAAAGACTTTTGGAAATGTGCCCTTCCATTTCCATTCTGCCGCTTGTTACCAGACATGATGCACGTTCCTTCAAAGCCCTGTGACTTTTCCAGAAAGCAGCTCTCCCTGCAAGAGAGAGAAACTTTCCCTTATTATTCTTTCAGTAATGAATTCCTGCTCTGAATGGGCTGCCTCCATGTGTTTTCAGTCAAGTGCTGATGGCAGCCTTGCCTGGGGGCATTTCCAAAGCTGAGGACATAAGAGATGAAGGAGGTCTCATATTGACAAGAGCTGCTTTTGGTTTTCCTTCCAGTTTAGCCCTCCTGAGCCTTGAAATGGGAGATAACAAATGATTCATCAGTTCTTGTTGGTGAACCAACATGACCACCACACCTCTTTGCTCCTTTCAACCAATGAAAAAATCATGTTTTAAAGCTTTCCTCAGAGAGGTTTGTGGACCTGGATTTTGGTGACTTAACAGGGATTTAACTTTCTCAGACCAAACCAGTATTTTGTAGATGCCAAGACTTCCTTTCTTCAGGTCTCAAACATAGACTTCGCGTACCCTGAGGTGATAAGAACAAAGGAGAAATTAGGTCACCCTGTTTCCTGCCTAAAACCTAATCTCAAGTACACAAGCTGCTTCCAAGTAAGCTGTGGTGGTAGGCCATGTTTGCTGAGAGCCAGCCCACTCACTCTCCCTAAAGCAAATGTCTTCAGACAATAATTCAGCTTTCAACCTACCTGCATGAAACTTGTACAAACTTTTAGTTACAGTTGGGCTATTTTCTTTCTTTTTCTTTTTTTTTTTTTTTTGAGACAGAGTTTTGCTCTGTCGCCCAGGCTGGAGTACAGTGGCGCGATCTCAGCTCACTGCAACCTCCGCCTTCCGGGTTCACGCTATTCTCCTGCCTCAGCCTCCCGAGTAGCTGGGACTACAGGCGCCCACCACCACGCCCGGCTAATTTTTTGTATTTTTAGTAGAGACGGAGTTTCACCGTGTTAGCCAGGACGGTCTTGATCTCCTGACCTCGTGATCCACCCGCCTCGGCCTCCCAAAGTGCTGGGATTACAGGCGTGAGCCACCGTGCCTGGCCCAGTTGGGCTATTTTCATTGGGAAGAGGAGTCTCAATTATCTCCGGTAAAAGGGGACACATACTGTTAAGGATATAGGTGGTGCAGAATTGGAAAGCCTTCTGGAGGGGAGGCAGCCCTGGGAATTCATTATCCTGGGGTCTCTGCTTTTCTTTACATGTCTGCCCAGGGCTACTCTCACTCTCCCAGCAGATTTTGTCCTGCATACTATAGTTTATTTACTCAAAACTTCAGTTTGCACATGGCTCACCCTGTGTTTCTCTCTTAGCCTTTCAACTTCAGTTCCCATTGGCTTTTTTCCTTGGTTAAAATTCTGAAGAGAGAATCTGATTAGCTCGGACTTATCTTAGTGTTTTGTCTCAGACAACATCATTGGTCACTGGCTAACCAAACCTTTGTTGGATAAGGAAGTCGCTGAAAACATAGCTGCCCAAGCAGCAGGAGGTGTGGGAAGGCCAGCTTTTCCTAGAGGGGCTGTGAGAGGGCAAGACAGTGATGAACTCCAGGGCATGCTTTACACCCTCTAACTGGACTACTGCAAGCATACTCATTCCCTCTTGCTTCTTGCTCATAACTGTAGACCTGGTCCCCTTACACCCTCACAGCCTAGGCATCTCTTTTCACTGCTCACCTCCAGCCCCTGACTCCAGGATCTTACTTCTCACCCTGTTAAAGTGCCCAGTCACAGAGGTATAGGACTAGTGAGTGGGAAGGAAGAGCTGTTGAGATTTATTTAAGAATATACAGAAGATTAGGGAAGGTGTGTAATGAAAAGAGGAATGAAAATAAAATCCCTCTCTCAGCTAAAGAAAATTGTGTTCCCACCATGGGACCCAGCTACCTTTCCTCCTTCCACCAGTCTTTGGAGTTACTTCCTTTTCAAAAAAAAACAGACATCAGCAGAAGCAAGAGGAGCTTCCATTGAGGAACCCTGACCAAGCAAGTGGGAAGATATTCTCTCTTCATTAACCCCCAAGGTCTTCTCTGTCCCCTGCAAGGATCCCTTGTCCCTATCCCTGATCCTTGCATTTCTCCAGCCCCCACCCTCAGGTCTTGTAAAGTCCAGATTCTTGACTAAGAAGTCCCAAATAACTTTCAAACTAAGATTTTAAAACACAAGTGAAGGACTCGGTTTGGATCAAGTTTTTGCCAATTGTGTTCTTAGTGCCCAAAGCTCTTTATTGGAAGTTATTCACAAATCTTCATGATGGTTTTTGGACGACTAGTCACGTGTGGTGTTGCCCTATTTCAAATGAGTCAGAGAAATTGTGCTTTATATGAATTCATGCATCAACCAGAGGATTAGGGGGAAAACTGAATTGTGGTAGTATGCTTTACCATTTATTCATTAGATACTATTACTTTTGTACCTCATCAGATGGCTAAAAGCCAAACCCAAACCAAATGTATTCAAATTTCAGTCTGCCCATATTATTTTTAGTGGACGTGAGTCTAGGAGTGAAGGAGAGGCTAGTCTAAATGTCTGTGTTTCCTTGCCCTTTCTTGAACTCCGGGTATGTCAAAGGTGATTAAATCATTGGTCAAACTTTGTCCTGTGACTGACACTTTTATCTAGTGACTAGAATTGCAACATTTCCCTAGGAGCCTATGATAGTTTTTCCAAACCTGCTACTGTGGGGTTCTAGTCAGTTCCTCCAGAGCACCTCCAGATCCCTGCCCATTCTATTTAGAATCGGAGGTTTAAGTCTATTGCCACTGGCTGTCCTCTGGGGCCCAGAAACCTATATGGGGTTTGTCCAGCCTCTCATCCCAGCACCATCGTCCAAACCCCACAGTCATTACCAATCTAACAGCTTGAAAGTTGATACAAAGATGAGGCAGAAGCCAGTTTGGCTTTCTCCCAGTTCTCTGTGCCCCTCCGGAGTTAATCAACAACGACCTATCTTTGTGTCAATAACATAAGCCTCTCTAACTAGAACACCTGGTGAAAAGCCGGAGGAAAGCTTAAAATGAAGCAAATTTTGCAGTGATTATTCTGACCCTCACTGTTTAAGCTGGACTCAGGATCTCCAGACAAAAACTGCTTGTTAAACCCAACCAACTAGTTGGATGAACCTTAAGCCACCTTGGGTTTTGCTAATATTTTTCATGCCCACACCTCAACTCCAAAGTCTGTAAACTTTAAGCATCAACTCCCCATTTCAAGCACACAGGGTTTAGTGAGATGGCCTGAGTTCATCTCGCTGGTAGAATTCTTTAGTGGCATCTCCTCATCCCTTTCCCACCCTCAAAGCCCATCCTGATGGTGCGGTCACACCACTGGAGAAACCATAGACCTTCTTAACTGGGATTACCAACACCTTCTCTTAGTACGTATTCACATGGCCTTGGATGTTAGGTGACTGCCTGTTCAGAGAAAGTGGGGAGGGTGAAAGGGAGTGAAAAGGCAGAGGGCACATGGACAACAGTTCCTTGCTGTATTCGTCTGCTCAGGCTGCATAAAAGAATACCACAAACTGCATGGCTTAAAGATCAGAAATGTATTTTCACACGGCTCTGGAGACTGGAAATCCGCAATCCAGGCTCCAGCAGGTTTGGTTTCTCCGGAGGCCTCTCCCCTTGTCTTGCAGGTGGACGTCATCTCTCTGTGTCCTCACATGGCTTGTTCTGTGTGTGTGAGCTCTTAGTGTCTCATTCACTTCTTATAAAGACACTAGTTCTATTGGATTAGAACTAGTATCTTCTTGCTTTTTATTTTCTGTGTATCCATTGTATGTTTTTTGGTTTGAGGTCACCATGAGGCTAGGACCTCATATTTATGACCTTGTTTAACCTTAATTACATCCTTTTGTTTTATTTTTGGTTGTTGATCATGATGTACAATTCATTACTTTTTTTTCTTTTTTTTTTTGAGTTAAGTCTCACTCTGTTGCCCAGGCTGGGGTGCAGTGGCACAATCTTGACTCACTGCAGTCTCCACCTCCCAGGTTCAAGCAATTCTCCTGCCTCAGCCTCCCGAGTAGCTGGGACTACAAGCATGTGCCACCACACCTGGTTAATTTTTGTATTTTTAGTAAAGATGGGGTTTTGCAATGTTAGCCAGGCTGGTCTTGAACTCCTGACCAGAGGTAATCTGCCTGACTGGGCCTCTCAAAGTGTTGGATTACAGGTGTGAGCCACCATGCCTGCTCATTAATTACCTTCTTTTAAAGGCCTTATCTCCAAATACAATCTCACTGGAGGTTAGCACTTCACATATGAATTTTGAGGGGACACAGCTCAGTTCATAACACCTACCATAACTGTTTTCCTCACAGAACATCCCTTATCCTCTGATCTTGCCCTTCTTATCTGATTGGGAAAAAAGTAGATGCTGGCCAAGAAATGCAAGTATGACTATGCAGTTTGAGAATTGCTAAGCTAGGTGGGGAGGGTGCATGAGACAGGAAGAATGAAAACGTGGGTGGATGGATACATGAATGGATGGTTATTACATGGAAAGACAAATGAATGAATAAATGGCTTTGGCAGTGTGTTGATGGCACCAGGACAGAAATTACGTTCTGTTTCTTTAGGGTTTGTCTTTTTTTTTTTTTTTTTTTTTTCAATAATACAGGGCTTACAAACTCAAATGTGCATGCCAGACAGGTAAAAAGAGTTGCAAAAAGAGGCCAGGTGCAATAATAGGCAGTTGTAGGGACTGACAGATTAGAGAGAGCCTACCGTATATAAAGGGGCACCAGTTACTGACAAAGACTCTCATTCTGACCAAACTTGAGTCAGGCTCCTCTGAGTCCTCTTTCTGACTAGGCCCCAACCTTGGGCTCTGTCCTTGGCTTGCTTAGTCCAGTTTTAGCAAGAATCCTGCTAAGTCAATTGAGTGAAAATTCCCCACCCTTTGTATTTGATCACCCTCAGTACCTAATCAAATTCCTCAGCCCCCACCCTTAATACCCTATCACCCTTGCCTGCCTTCAGTAAGAATCCTGCCATGTCAGTTTAGCGGGAATCCCCCTAGCCTTGGTGTTTCTTCTTAGTAATTTTTCATCCACTGACATCCACCCTGCTCTTTGGCTACACATTATCACTTTTCCTTGTTGTATTCGGAGTTGAGCCCATCTCTCTCCAAGGCTGCAAAACCCCATTGCAGTGTTCCTTCTTGAATAATGTCTTACTTAAAGTCTTTAACAACTGTCATGAAAAATTTCTCTTTCACAGTCTCAGCTCTAGACAATTGTTATCTTGTGGGATGCTGACCTCATGTTGCCAGAATGTCGGATTTTACAAGGGAAGCCAGAAATCTGGGTTTTCAGATAAATTTTTTCACTATTTTTATTTTATTTATTTATTTTTTGAGATGGAGTTTCACTCTTGTTGCCCAAGGCGGAGTGCAATGGCGCAATCTCAGCTCACCACAACCTCCACCTCCCAGGTTCAAGCAATTCTCCTGCCTCAGCCTCCCAAGTAGCTGGGATTACAGGCGCACGCCACCACGCCTGGCTAACTTTTTTTTTTTTTATTAAATTTTTCTTTAAATCTTGAAATTCAAAAATTATAAAATATTGTATAAGCCAAATGAATGCTCTTGTAGTCCGAATGCACCCTGGAGGCTGCCAGATTTCAACTCTTGGGATGCTAGAAAGGCATCTGTAATGTTATCACATGAAGATATAGATGCTTGTGAGTTTAGGCTCATGAGTAGACTGCCTGGGTTCATACTGCAATCCACCACTTACTAGCTTTGTGATCTCAGGCAATTATGCATATAATTCTTAGAGTTATTATAAGGTTAAAATTATTTAATGCATGTAAGTACCTAGAACAATGCCTGCTGCCTAGTAAGAAAGCAGTAACTGTGAGCTGGTATTATTAGCTAGTATCATGAAATCTCTTGGTTTCCAATAATACCATTTCTGTAAAATGGGGGAAACCCACTTGCCTTTTTTACCCCCTAAAGGCTTGTTGTGCAAGTAAAAGAACAACTGTGAAAGAGCTTGAAAAAGTAGACACATTGCTAAGAAATACACCAGGCATTTCTATGTTCCTATTCCCACAGATGAGGCACAGCCTTTCCCAGTGCAGGGCTGGGACTCTGTAGGAAGAGGAAAATAGCAGTAACTAGAACCAGTCCTTTATTCTTCTCAGGGTCATTTGCTGTTTTGTTGTTCTTAGAATTTGGTGAGTTTTTCTTTTTCTTTCTTTTTTCAATTATGATAAATTTCAACATTCAGAAAAGTAAAGAAAATAATATAATGAACACCCAAATGCCCTTATCTAGATTTCCTAATTATTACATTTGGCAGATGTGCTTCACTTGGTGAGTTTTCCTGGCAGATATATGTGAATGGAACATGCAGAGATGTGGTAGAGAAGTGGGGAGAATTGCAGAATAAAGACAGACTGGGAAGCTGAGAGCCGTAACTACCGCAGCCTCTACTTATTTTTTAAACTTGTAAGATCCAATCAAGTGTGGATGGTTGCCTTTTGGATAGGACCCTGGAGAAGGGACTTCTGTGCAGAATGGTTTGTTATGGAGAATACATTGTTAGCACCTTAAAGAAAGTAATATAAATGGGATAACAGAAATGATTTTATTATTTATGTGATTTTAATTTATTTTTAAAGTATCAATTCTTTTGCAAAGAGAATATATTCATGTATTGCTTATGTCATTGAAAATTAAAAATTTCTAGAGAGACTTTCAATGTGGAAATGTCTCTGCCATGAAGAACTCAGGGGTTGAAACTTGTGGATCTGAGAGAAGTCTGATAAAATCAGTGATTTAAAAAATGTTGGTCACTAAAATTGAAAGGTTTTAAAGGCAGAAACACTCCGATTCAAAGAAAGTATATGCTAATTATAAGTGATTCGTTTCTGGTAGATTATTTGAAAAGATTCTCTAAGACATATTGCCCCATTTCTCAACATCAACTATTACTGCATTTAAATGCTAACTCTTCTCTCTGGAAAGGATGTCTTAACAACATGAAAGCAACTAAACTTTGCTTTAAAATTCTATTATTCAGACTCCACATTAATTTAAGCTGACACTCCTTCTCAATTGGGGCAAATCATCAAAGCTTTATTGTATTGAGAACCTTGAATTCAGCAACAAAGAGCGTGGGGTATGGAGGGAAAACGTTGAGAGGGGAAGGGTGGAGAGCTCCCAAGGCCAAAAGAAGGGAGGGGCAGGGAGGAACACTGCAGGAAGGACAGCAGAGAGAAAGATGGACCTTGGAGAGGCCAAGGGGAGAGCGGGGAGTTAGAAAAAGGCTGAGATAAGCAATGGGAGGCCTCCTCAGAGGGGCCTTACACTGTCAAACTGCCCCTGGAGCCTCTGCTCATTAACATGGTAGAAGCAAAACTAGCCTACAACTTTGTAGTCACAAATTTTTCTCCAGAGTTATGGATAAAAAGGGAGCTAGGAGATAGAGAAAGGGAAAACATTCCCTTTCTTCCTACATTTGGATGCCTCTCCAATGTCCTTCCTAAGGCACCCTGCCCAGTGGCCAGTGCCTGCCAGTAAGCCCACTCCACAGACCCTGAGGCCTGGAGCCCCAGCCCTGGTCATGGATTAGTGCCTGGCCAAGTTGCACTCCAACCCCAGGCCCGCAGCCGCCCTTCCTCCTCCTTTCTGTTGTGATTGACTCTGAGATATATGATGTGGGATATACTAGGTGCAACGCATCATGTTCGTTATTGAGGCATAAGGTAAGGAAGGATCTTTTGAAATGTGAGGACATCATCCACAAACTGTCACTGACCATTTACGATTTATAACTAGAATGTAATAAGATTTATAAGATGCACTTTAAAGCCTAAAAGAAAACTGAGTTTTTTCAACATGTAACAACATGTAATAAATATTAATTTCAAAAACCAAAGTAGCCCCAGTTGGTCTTTTCTCTACACCAAAACAATCCTCAAGGATGCATGAAAGCCCATGGACACTGTGGAGCAGACAGCTCCTAGTGTCCAGAAACCCGTCTTAGTCCAAGTGGGGGGGCACTGCAAGAATTCAGTCCCCAGCCTACCACCTTCCAGCTCTGGGCCCTCAGAGAATGCCCATAGCCTTCCCGAGTCCCAATTCCCCAGTTTGTAAAATGGGAATAGAAATAATCTGCCTAATCTTCATGCCAGGGGGCCTGTGAAGATGACAGGGTAGATAAATGATTGGTTTTCCAACCTTCATGGAAGGCCTAAGCCTGAGTCTATGACCTCCTCTCCAGTTTTAAGACATAAATCAGATCATGCCATTCGTCTGCTCAAAACTCTCAAGTAACGCTTTTTCACTCAGAGTGAAAGTGGAGTCCTTCCACAGGCCTAGAAAGCCCCACCGATTCCAGCGGCACCTGCTTCTTCGCCTCTCACAGCTCCTCGCTTGCTCACCTGTTGCAGCCACACTGCCTCCTAGCTGAACCCTCTCACAGGCAGGCTTTCACCTTAGAGCCTTTGCACTTCTGAACCCTTGCTGGAACCCTTTTCTCCAGAGTACCATAGCTGACTCCCTCACCTCCTTTCCTCACATAATGGATGACTCCCTCACCTTTAAGTTTTTGCTAAAATATCACCTTCTCTATGAGACTGACCCACTTAAAATTGCAACCCGCTCTGCTTACCCCCATCCTGCTCTACTTATATTTTCCCAAAGTACTTATCGCTATACAAGGTAATAAATAATCAATAGCTCACAATGTTTACCCTTCATTCTGTGTCTTCTCTGCTACCATATAAGCCCTGGAGGGCAGCCGTCTTTGATTTATTCATTTTTTTCTTAAGCACCTAGAGCAGTGTCAGGTATATTAATGACCTGCAATAAATAGGTTGGATCTTTCTTAGAAGTCCAGGATATAACATCAATAAAAGAAGGGCTGCTACAACTGAAGGGATTTGTGAGCTCAAAATCCCTCCTGCTATCTCTCTACGAGCAAGTGCAAAAACTGCTGACATTTGTTCTTGTGTGTGAAACCAGTTTTGAAGTTACAAATTGCTACTTGATGTCAGGTCCAAGGGCCTACACAATAGCTTGCACATAGCAGGTGCCTAGTGGTACAGATTATAAGGGGAAGGGAAGTAACATTTGTTGAGCAGCTACCAAATGATAGGCAGTGTCTGTGCCTAGTGAACTATAGAAGTGATTTCATGAAACTGTCAACCCTTCTACCATTGTCTCTCCAGGACCTCATACCAAGCCTGGCATGTATTAAGTACTCAGTAAATGCCTGCTTATTTCCCTAACAACCCTCTGAGGCAAGTACCATTATCCCCATCTTGGAAGGGCCCAAGATTCAGATTTAGATAGCTTGCTTAATGTCATACAGCTCGTGATCAGAGCCAGGATTTAAATTCTTCTCAGACAAGCTGCAGCCTCTCTGATCCTTTGAGAGAATGTACATTAGCATCCCTCCGAGCTTCCCTGAAGCAGAGCTGTCTCCCAGCGACACCGGAGATGAGGGGAGGGGTCTCTTTCTCCACCTGGACTCACTTCCTCCCTTTGTGCATTTGGCTCACCTGGAGGGGTCCCCTGCTACCTTTTGATTAATGGGTCTGCCCTTCCCATCCCCCCGGCCGAATGACCCCAGAGTTAGCTGCAGTTCATCTTGAATCATAAATCAAGTTCTCAAAGACATTGCAGCTTTGTGCTCAAAATCTCACTAGAATTCACATTCTTTGTGAAAGGCATTTGCTTATGAGTAGAATGATGGATTCATCAAGTCTCTCCTTTTAAGAAAAATCTGGATGGTATCTGCTGGTTTCTCCCTGCTCCCTCCAAGAAAAAAACAGCCCTAGTTACTCAATTTCATGTAGTTAGAATTCCCCCAAGGACCTCATACTCAGCTTCCACCCTGGCCATACTAAAGAAGAGCCCCAATCATGTTGCCATTTTACATAGATAGAAATCATTTGCAACTTGCACATTTGTTGTGCTTTCCATATACCCACGATTAGCTCGGATTTTATTTTTTAGCCATTGCTGAAGTGTCACGCGTCAGCTATTTACACTGTATGGGGACAAAACAACCTAATGTATGTCCCAGACCTATTTTATAGAAGCCGAGAGGCAGCCTCTGAGTCTCCGGTTCCCAGAACTCTAGCCCTGGGAGAAAGCATATCCATAAATCTCCCAATGCTTTATGCCAGGTTAGAATTTCTCTTGGGAATTTTGGAGTTTGTATAAGAGTTGCCTCTAAAGGCAATTGATGAACTATAGATGTCAGGCGGGTTTTCATTTTCTGTGTGCTTTTTATTTCATCTAGAACCAACAGTGGCCTTTAGAATTGGATTCTTTTCAGAGACTCTCTCTATAGGTTTCATGTTCAAAGGCTCCAGGTTGGAGGAGCTCGAGGTTCAGCTGAGTGTCAGAAATGACCAATTCTGGCTGGACGCAGTGGCTCATGCCTGTAATCCCAGCACTATGGGAGGCCGAGGGAGGCGGATCAGTTGAGGTCAGGAGTTTGAGACCAGCCTGGCCAACATGGTGAAACCCTGTCTCTACTAAAAATACAAAAAAAAATTATCTGGGCATGGTGGCACATGCCTGTAATCCCAGCTACTCAGGAGACTGAGGCAGGAGAATCCCTTGAACCTGGGAGGCAGAGGTTGTAGTGAGCTGAGGTCACGCCATTGCACTCCAGCCTGGGCGACAGAGTGAGATTCCGTCTCAAAAAAAAAAAAAAAAAAATGACCAATTTCACCAGTACTGCTCTATTAGAAAAAGGGTGGGGGTAGTTCTTCGGTTTTGTGACTATCCTGTGTACTGGAGGACATTTGTACTTGCAGCCTCATCCAGAAAATGCCAGGAGCATTCCCCGAGGCACTCTAACAGTCAGAGGTGTCTGTGGGCAATACTCCAAGCACCCCCGGTTGAAAACACCAACAAGGCTATCTCTGAAAGACGGTGAACTGGGGCAGCACCACTAAGTTTCACCATCAGTGAGGCGTCAGTCTAGATGGGCACTTTCTTTCCACTGTAAGCTGCTTCCTATTCTTGTTGCCTTTGATGATCTTTGTTTGCCTTCAAGTCGGGTTTGTTACATTTGTTTTCATCTCCAATTCCTGCCATATAAAAATGAGGGCAGTGAGAAAGAGAAAGGAAATACTGAAATTTTCCCTCGGACTATAGCCTCCCAAGAAGGGTCGTGTTCTCTGGAATGACTTTTAACTCTTTATCCAGTTAATGATCGGGAAAGTTTACTAGATGTAGGTTCCCAAGCCCAGCAAGCAGAGTATGTGATAAGAGATAGAAACAGGGACAGAAAAAAATGGATCCATCAGGACCCAGACATTGGGGTGCAACCAGTGGGTCTTCTCCAGCTCCACAGCGCATCAGTTCTGACTCGCTTGTAGATTCCTGAGTACTGCTCATCTGCCCTACAAGGCATAGTGGGTTTTCTCTGATTTCTAGAAATGTCAGCATTCTCTGCAAGGTGAACGGCCAGAGTCGGGATCTTCTATTCAGGCAGAGATTATATAACTCCCTGGGCCCTGGAAGAGCATGACTGTCTACCAGGAACCATCCAGAGAGGCTGTCAGATGAATCAGCATCTGTTCATGCCCTGCCTTGCTTCTCCTGGGCATGACTGCCTCACATGCCAACACCCAGGCTTACAGGTCAACTATTCCAACCCTGCATCCTGCCCACCCCACTTGCTGGGGAGTGCTCTCTACAGCTCTCAGTGCATCCTGTTTGTTCAGACCCCTTTGTCTTCCACTGGCGCAACCGAGAGAGGATTCCTCCGAGCCCCTTTGCTTTTGGCTTTGAAATCAGATCCTGGCACACCTGATTATACTCAATAGCTGGAAATGGTAAGGATGTCCGATGGCAGAGAGCTCTTGTTTTAAGTTCTGCATGCCAGGAAGGCAGGGGGCTGGGTCTCCTTCTCAGGGCTAGGCTGGAGGGGCAGGATGCTCTAGCGGAGGAAGCAGTGTTAACTTGAAGGGAAACGCAGTTGAAAAGGAACTCGAAGCACGGGCTGCCAAGCGCGTAGAAGTGGTAACTGACGACACACTGTGGGGCTCAGACCCCTTCCTCTCTGCTCATATGCCCCTAGATGGGAAACATTCAGTTCCTGCTCAAGGGAACCAGGAGAATCAAACCTGTCTGTCCTGCTTTTTCTGTAGAAGTGTCAGCTCTGAGGCCTTGACTAGGTGGAATAAATAGTGACTTACCTCTTAACCACAGTGAAAAACCCATCAAGCATTTGGATATTAAGGGCTGCCCCTGTGTTCTCAAGGGACCCTCAGCCTCAGACACTGCCTCCTTTCAAGCAAAGATGCTGCCCTAACACGCAAGTCCAGTGGCTTTAAGAGTCATTATGAAAATTTCACACAAAAAGGCACAAAGAGCATCCATGTACCGAAACCCAGCTTAAGAAATGAAATGTTACTGATGCAATTAAAGCCGCCTTTGTCCTTTTGGTCCCATCCTTCCATCCTGCCTTCCCCCAGCAGTAACCACTCAGTCATTGACAAACAGTGTGTCAAACATGCACAAACGGTGATGTGTCCATCCCTCTTTGGAATTACTTAACCTTTTTGAACCTCAGTGTATTCATCGGTAAAAGGGGGCTACTGACAGGATGAAGGAAAATGATTTATGACAAATATTTGGCTGTTGTTCCTATAAAAAGGAAAAAGTCACCGGAAAAAATGGGTCAAATGTAAGACCCTTTCCAGCCTGGCCCCAACTTGCCCCGGCAGCCTCCTCTCCTCTTGTAGCCATATTCCCTCCTCTCCTCTCTGCAGCAGTGTTCCCCAGATATGCCACCTGTGTCCATGCCTCTGGGCCAATGTGGATGCTGTGCTTACTTGCCTGTAATGCTGGTCTCCTGTCACCATCTTCCTTTAACACTGGGGTCCACTGTCCCCACCTCTGACAGGGCCCAGATGCAGTGACTCCTTGGTGCTCCCATGGCCTGATACCTCTGTCTGAGCACTTGCCGTATGGCTGTGATGTTCCTGGTATGTCTGCCTGGCTTTTTCACTGAGCTGCTTATGCAGCAAGGCAGGGATGGGGTCTTCTCCATCCAGTGGCCTGGCCTATTGCCTTCTGGCGCATGGCAGGACCATATGCAGTGAATGAATGAATTCCATTAAGAACATTCGTGATTCATAGGAGGAGGTCAAAATATCAACATTAACAGGAGCTTGGAAGAAGCTGATTTCCACCCTCATGAATGACTTCAAGGGTTCAGGTGCATGAGTAAATGACAGTTCCATCAACAGACTACAACTTTCTGCCCTAGTTAACACAGGGCATCTCCATGTCCCCAGTTCTCCCTATGGGCATTTTTCTCTTTGAAATTCCAAATCTTTTCTGTTCTAGAAGCACGAAACTACAAGTTCTCTCTCAACTCTTCAAATGAGGTTGGAACAAACAGAATGGGGGCATGAACTTTTTTCCCCATAACTTCAATAAACAACAGTTTTAGCCTCAGTAGGCTTTATGCAAGCCTTCAACATCTTTTTCTAGGTATCTTGACACTCATGTTCTTTTTCTTCTTGCAGCCTATGGAAATTCCTAGAGACAGATAAATGTGCAAACCTGTTCATCTTGCCAAGAAAAATCCGCTTTTCTGCCACAGAAACAAAATATTGGGAAAGAGTCTTGTGGTGAAACACCCATCGTTCTCTGCTAAAACATTTGGTTGCTACTGTGTAGACTCAGCTTAAGTCATGGAATTCTAGAGGATGTATCTCACAAGTAGGATCAAGAACAAGCCCAACAGTAATCTGCATCATAAGCTGATTTGATACCATGGCACTGACAATGGGCACTGATTTGATACCATGGCACTGACAATGGGCACACAGGGAACAGGAAATGGGAATGAGAGCAAGGGTTGGGTTGTGTTCGTGGAACACATAGGTTTTTTTTTTTTAACTTTCTCTTTCTAAAATATTTCATTTTGATGGAGGTGAAATTTATATAAGATGAAATTAACCATTTTAAAGTAAACAATTCCGTGGCAACTAGATATCATGATGTGCAACCAGCATCTCTGTCTAGTTCCAAATATTTTCATCACCCCAAAAGCAAGACCCATAACCATTATGCAAGTGTTCCTATTTCCCCCTCCTCCCAGCTCCTGGAAACCCACCAATCTACTTTGTTGCTATGGCTTTACCTATTCTGGATATTTCATATAAATGGAATCATATAGTGTCTGTCTTCTTTCACTAGTATGTTTTCAAGTCTCCTCCATGGTGTAGCGTGCATCAGTACTTCATTCTTTTTATGGCTGAATAATATTGCATTGTCAGGATATACTGCATTTTGTTCATTCATTCATCCGTCAGTGGTCATTTGGGCTGGTTCCACCCTTCAACTATTGTGAATATTGTACTGCTATGAACTTGCATACACATGTATTTATTTGAAACCTATTTTCAATTTTTTAAGGTATGTACCTAGGAGTGGATTTACTTGACATATGGTGATTCTATGTTTAACTTTTTGAAGAACTGCAATACTATTCTCCACATGGCTGAATCATTTTGTATTTCCATCAGCAATGTATGAGCACAGGTCAGATTTTTTGGGAGTCACATTTTAAAGTGGCACAAGACCCTTCTAGAGGGCTCTGTTCCATGCACACAAAACTCATAGTCTCCACGTGAAGACACAAATTTTTCACAAACATGCAGGCAGAGAAAGGAGAGAAAGTGGACCCTCAGCAGACAAGTTGAAAGATGGTTCAGAGAAGCAGTGGACTTCACCCATCATCTTGCTGTGCTCTCCATAGCTAAGCAAGGGGCAGACTGGAGATTCCACTGGCTACTTTGTCTTATTTTCACTTCTTTCCAGTTAGTCCCCACTACTCTACCCTTTCCACAGGACTGTAGGGTTACGGTGACTTTCCTACCCCTAGCCAGGTTCCAGTGGTGGGGGACTCTGTGAATATAGGATCTAGTGTTCAGAGCTCCCAGATTTGTGCAGACTGAACTCTACACATGCTACTTGTCAACATCTGTGAGCCAGAAATAGGAGGAACACCTTTAAAAAGAAACCTACAAACACAAAGTTATTCATAGATGCTCTTGAAGGGCAAAGCAGGGCCACCACCAGAGCCCCATGCAATTAGACTCATCAGAGGGAAAGGGCATAACACTGGCTTTTTTCTTAAAACCACCTGGAAGGAGCTGAGACGTATACTAAATGTATATAGAAGTATTATTTGATTGGAAGAAACAAAAAATGCATTGTATTATAATCTGTCTTCCCTTGCCGTCTGGTAGCTTAACTGTCAGCAATTTTGGAGGAAAGCCCTTCCCAGCAGGGGACTGGGAACCCCTGGGCAATGTCTTTCCTATGACACATGGATCTCTATGGTTGAATAAGGGGCTGAAGGAGGAAATAGACAACAGGGGTCAGAGAGCAAGGCTAGAGGAGGCCTTTGAGAAAAGAGAGTTGTGCCCCCTTTTCAGTGAGTGTGGGGCCTCTGGAGGTTGGCAAGAAGAGGAGAAGGTGAAGGGTTTCAGCACTGAGAGAATGATGTTTCTGGTGGGGCTTTGCCAGAAGGGGGCTCATCACATGTGAGTTTTTGCACTCGTAAGCCTAAGGGGCACAATGGGTTTTGAAATCCCAACATATCCAACTAAGAACAGGAAGCCCTGGGACTCAGCACAGACTTGAGTCCCCCATTGGATGCAATGTTTCTTACTAAGCGGAAAGAACTTGTTTTCACTCCCTGCCAATGAGTAAAGAATGAAGAGCTAGATTTTTCTTTGAAGGTGGTGGATCATGACCCCTCCTTGAGACTAAGCAAAGAAGCACTGATGTTACCATGGAGAGGAGTGAGCCCCTCACCCACCCCAGGTGAGAGGTCTTATCCTGACTTTTTAGTCATAATCCAATGTGATATTTTGCAGGGTTAGTGGATGCAGTAGGTTAAATGGTGGCTCCCAAAAAGATACGTCCATGTCCTTACCCCCAGAACGTGTAAATATGGCCTGATTTGTATAAACGGTCTTTGCAGAGGTAATTAAGGATGTTGAGATGAGATCATCCTGAACTACCCAGGTGGGCCCTAAATCTAATGACAAGCATCCTGATAAGAGACACAGAGGAGGACAGTCACAAAGAGGAGGAGGCAGTGTGACTACGGAGGCAGAGACTGGAGTTAAGCAGCCCCAAGCCAAGGAACACCTGGAGCCACCGGAATCTGGAAGAGGCGAGGAAGAGGTCTCCCCAAGAGCCTTCAGAGGGAGCCTGGCCCTGCAGACACCTTGATGTGGGGCTTCTGGCTGCCAGGACTATAGAGAATACATTTCTGTGGTTTTAGGCCACTCTGTTTGTGACACTTTGTTGCTGCAGCCCTAGAAAACTAATGCAGTCAGGTTGCCCAGAGAGATGAAATGACTGGAGAGAGAGAGAATCTGGTCGTCTAGAAAACTGAGTTCAGCCCCTGGACTTGCTGCTGGGGTCTGAGGTGAACTTTCCTAAACGTTGTGCTGTGGAGTCTCTTCCCTCTTGCGTTCCTCATACATTAACTTCTCATGGCAGAGATCGGAGCTCATGGTTCACCTGAGGACACTACTAAGGACCAAGGAAGTTCAATCAGATCCTCACATCTATTTGAAATAGTGGTAGTAATAATGACCACACTCTATAGAATGTTTAACATGTGCTAAGTATGTCACATACATTATCCCATTTAATCCTCGAAACAATCCTACATGGTTGCTATTCTCATCCCCATCTTACAGATGAGGAAACTGAGGCTCTGGGAGGTAATGGAATCTGCTCAAGGTCATTTGGCAAATGCTGGTGGAGCCAGACCTTGGCCCCAGGTTTGCCTGTGCTTAAGCCACAGTATTACAGAAGGCTCAAGACCCACAGAGATGGTCGGGCCAGCAGCCCGTAGCACCCAGCTGTCAGATGAGAAAGGATTTATTTATTGATGTATGTATTTTACTAGCAGCACTGGCATTAGAGTTTCTTTGTCAGTGAGGGTTGGAGTGATGGGTTGATTGAAATGAAGGTTGCTGAGATGACCTGGTGGGTCCTGCTAACAGCAGATGGATGTCAAAACATTTGCATTCAGGGGGAGATAAAGTCAAAACTGGGACAAATCAACTTTCTCTCAGCTCCAGGGCTCTAAGGTCCTTTCTTCGCTCTCAGCCTTGTTGGGAAAAGAGAAGAACCCCCTGCCACATGGTCTCTCTGGTGTGAGAAGCTGACAGTCCACTGCTGAGCTTTCCCTGCTTTGCCACAAATAGAGGCACCTCCCCACACAACTCCCTCTCCTGCTGGAATGGGAAGAGAGGACACTGGCTGTTAAGAAGAGCTCTGGGGATCTCCTGTCCTGGGGCAAACTCAGTTTCTGGAGTCCCCTCTTATAGGGCTAAACCCAGGTGGGCTCTGACTGTTTGGGGTCCCTGTGCCTCTCACAGTCATGTTTTCAGAGTTTTGGGAGATCTGGGCTGGTTTCCCTCTTGCCATGGTTCATGCTGGGGTGTGGCCAACATGGCAGCATCTCCCCTGCCCTCCCAGATTTCAGGTTGGAGGGAGTTCGGCTTCAGAGAGACAATCCACAGGCCTGCAGATTTCCTCCCATGCAGACCTC
This sequence comes from Homo sapiens, assembly GCF_000001405.40. NCBI lineage: Eukaryota > Metazoa > Chordata > Mammalia > Primates > Hominidae > Homo > Homo sapiens. The sequence goes on from NC_000014.9 coordinate 68,501,185, forward strand.
AGTGCAAGATAAAGTCAGGCAAGGCTGTGCCACAGCACAACAGCATAATAAATCCCCCTCTGGCCTCCTCCCAGACTTATTGTTCTATTGCAGTTGTTTTGAATATGATCAAAAGGAAGGAAGAGACTATGCTATCAGACTGAGGAAGAAGGATGCTCTCCTGACCGCTCCTGTTGCCCTTGGCCACCTTATTTTAAATATGAGGAAACCAAAGGGCAACGTGCAGCCTAACCCCATCCACATCATGAGGAGTGATGAGCTGCAGCCAAGGCCCCATGGAGCTTTGGTGAGGCAGCAACCCCTGTGCAAACTCGCTGACAGCTACCTTAGATGTCCAGCCCTGTCCTTTTACACACCATGGGGGGCTGGAAGGCCCAAGCACAGGGTCAGCAGCACTTTGAGGCTGGAGCCGGAAGTAGGCCCTGGAGCAGCTGAGGTAGCTGATGTTAACCCCTTGGACTGAGAACTAAGGCTGTAAGGCCACAACCGTTGGAAATAATGGGCCAGAACAGGAACTGCCCAAGCTCAGCTGGCCCGGTGCCCACTTCTCAAGATAGTGAATGGCTCAAGTTCTTTGGAAATGTTGTCAATGTCAGGGCTTTGGCCTTGCCTATGTGCAGCCCAGGTTCAGGCACAGGCATGGGGTGGGCTGTGACATCGGCCACCACTGCTGGATTCCTGCAAGGAACTAGAGCAGAAAGCAGCGACTTGCCTTAGCCTTCAAAGGTAGAAAGGGCGGAGCCGAGTGTTCCTCTTCACAGACTTGCAGGCTCACACAGTCCTCTGCCCTGCCCAATGCCCAGATGCTGATTCGCCAGGTGCCTGGCTGCCACAGCCCGGTCACCTTTATCTGGGCTGGAAGGCCACGTCTGAGCCATCAAAGGAGCCTCAATGGGAGGGGACGTCAATGTGCTTCCTCAACCAGAAAGGTGGTTTGAGTTTGGCCAAAGCAGCCCAACCAAATAAGTAAAAGCCTGTCAATGGAAAGATGGGGGCTGCTGGGAGATCACACGACAACAGAATGAGAACCATTATCAGTCTCATCCCAGCCTGAAGGAGGGAGAGCCTTTGAAGCCACAGACAGGCTGAACAGAACTTTCCACCTGAGAGACGCTGGAGATGGGAGGTCAGGCTGCACTCAGCCCCTACGAAAACTGATCAAAGCCTGCTGCAGAAGGGAGGGGGGCGCACAGCTGCAGTTCCGACTCCCCCCACGGGCCGCCCGGGACTTTCTGAAGGCAACAGGGCTGCCTTTGCAGGGCCCTGTGGGAAAACCCAACACAGATGCACATTGCAGCCAAACCCCCAAGCACTGCTGGGAGAGGGAAAAATAAACCCCTCAATAGTCCTGAAAAGAAAAGGGAGGGAATCAAAGCACACAAAAAATGCAAAGACCACCCACCTGATGAGTGCCTACCTTTCGGAAACAAATAACTCCTGGCTTCCAAGGCGCACTTCTAAAAGAACAGACGGACTGAACACTGCCTCAAAGCTGCATGCACCAGGGGATTTGTGGGAAGCTGTGGCCCCTTCTAAGCATCGGAAGCTTAATTTAAAGTGTGTTGGCCTCTGCGGTGCCTATTCAAGGGCTCCCTTGCATCCGCTGTCCTCCCTGGGAACCTGGGAGACAAGAATCCTCATTTAGAAAAGGACAGGATCCTGTGTGGACTCCTTTATCGTGGTTCTCTCAGACAGGACAGCCATATCTGCCAGGGAACATTCTAGGGGGCATCTTTCAGGCTAGATCCAGGGTGATGTGGGCCCCTGCGAGGGCATCTTGGAAGGCTGTGTTGGTTCTGCCTGGACTGGTCCCTCTGGGACAGCCTCAGCCTACCCTGCCTGGCCTCACCCCTCCTCCCTCTGACCTGAAGCTCCTTTGGAGGACTGACACTTCATGGAGCCTGCAGTTTGATCTTTTCTGAAGTGGAGACAACAAAGCAAAGCCACTTCCACTGTGTGCTCTCTCAAAAGAATAGGAAAGCTCTTCTCTCCTCCTTGGGAATGGATTTGGAGGGAGGGTGGAGGGCGTAATGATGGGGAGGCCTTGGAGGTATTTTGGTGGAGGAGGGTGTGTGTGGAGGAAATGAGCCGCCCAGGAGCATGGGAGAAATTGACATGAGAACATTTCAGAAGCACTGGTTTAACCGGCTGACATTCTTTCCAAAATGGATGGACAAGCCTTTAGGAGTAGACAGAGGGCCTCAGGGAGGAGAAACAGCTGAGGAGGAGGCATCTCCCTTCCCCCTCCTCCAGAGGCTGATGCTACAGAGAAGGCGGCAAGGCCTCACTGAGCGCCTACCCACCACTCACTAGATTTCTATCTTTTTATTACCTTACCCTGGGAGATGAATGGGGTTATCTCCATTTTCCAGGTGACAAACAGAGATTCAGAGAGGTGACGAGAGGCTCTCCAAGGACCCATATGGAAGTGTCAGCTGGAATTCAACCCTCAGGCAGCCTGGCTCCAAAGTTCACAACCTTTCCTACTTGTTTCAGCCCTGCCCTGCCTTTCAGGGCTAAGAAGATGTTAGTAGATGTTCCATAAATATTTATTAAATTGAACTGAACTCAGCAGCTGAACACACGCAGGCCTCTTCCACCCTGACCAAGAGGAATCCTTTGAGGGTCTGCAGTATGGAAAGAAATTCTCTGAGGCGCTAAATAAAATCCTGCTCTGAGGTGCAAGGAGGACTTTTTTGAAATTAATAGCTAACAAAGTTTATGCAGACCCCAAAAGGAAAAACAGAAAGGAATTGGAATCATTTTAAAAACAGAGTCGGTAGATAATAAAACTTCACGGTGGTGGTGTTGTCTTTCATCAAGAAGCACGAAGTGCTCACAGGCTTTAATTACATCTTCATCCCTACGGCCCCTTCTGAAGTCGGTAGATGCACGTTAATAGTACCTTTCGTTTTAGGCATGGACACATTCCGGTACCAGAAGCTTTAGCAATTCTCCCCAAGGCAAGCAGAGTACAGAGCTGGATCGGGGCGCAATGACTCTCCAGGCCAGCATCCCATGCTACCTCCAGTTGTATTTCCTGACTCCGCAGCTGAAACCAAGGACTTCATTGACATATTTAGGGGTAGGGGGATCTGAAGGTCTAGGAAAGAAGGTGGGCAAAACCAAGGAATCAGGCCTCCACTTTGGCCTGCACACCATATAAATCCCCTCTTTGTTCACCCATATGCACATTCTTTAATTTAGGCATGGTTTCCATTTGTGTACATCAATGAGTTTGCTCAGTCACAAGGGTGCCGAAGCCTGAGCTGGACCACTCACTTTAGGTAATGCCACAGCAGACAATCAGTGCCTCTGATCATGAAGACTGGAGAAATGTGTCTGGGCTGGGCCCATGCATGATGCTTGGGAGGGAAACTCTCCCAGTGGACTCTGCGACTGGGATGTGGAAGCTCAGACAGCTAGAGATGGGAAAGGAAACTTAAATTGCAAAGGAGTAATCCTTTTTTTTTCTTTCTTTTTTTTTTTTTTTTTTTTTTTTTGCTAGTTCATTTTCAATCATTCATTTCCTGGCTTAAAAAATAATTAATAGTAATAATCGCATATGGCTTTTTAATGGCTCTCCATTGCCAAATACTATTTAAGCACAAATTTCTTCACTAGACACTGGAGCCCAATCTACACACTTGATGGTGTGGCTCCATCTGGGACCCCAGTCTCATTTCTTGTTCTTAATTTCTGTACAGTTATTCCTAATTTGTGAACTGCAGACCTGCAAGAGGCCAGGGCGTTTCAGCAAGGGGTCCATAACTCTTAGTGCCACACCAAACATGGGCAGCAGCTGAAATCCATAGTATGTAAAACTCAGGCGAATTTGAAAGGCCGTTAAATTCCTAGCAGCTCTTTGTCATTACGTGTTTTCTTGGGTACGAAGTTTGACAATTGTTACAAGAAGGGGCCTGCATTGTGATAACAGTTTTCAACCTGGGATCCAAGGAACCCCACGGAGATTCCCTGAAGTATAGATGGAGGGAGCACGAGGATGGAGCAGGAGCAGATGGGGACACCCCATGCCCGCACACACACAGCTAATTCATCCCTGTAACCAGAGAGACTGTTTTGATCAGTTTTGTACACTGGGCTTTCTAGTAAGATTTTATTTGAAGAAAGGACTCTGCCACAGAGGTGAGTGGGGTAGTTTGCAAGCAATGGCTGCAGACAAAGTACATGTATTTCTAGCCAGTCCCTTGCCACAGTTCAGTGGGGCACAGTGAGAAATCTGTCAGCTGCCCGCTCTGTCCAGATCCACACAGTAAGAACTCTGGGTTTGTTAGTGTCTTAGATGCATTAAGTCCCATCTGGCTCTTAGAAATAACAAATGAACTTGTAGATTAGCCAATCTTTTTTTTTTTTTTTTTTTTTTGAGACGGAGTCTCGCTCCGTTGCCCAGGCTGGAGGGCAGTGGCATGATCTCGGCTCACTGCAACCTCTACCTCTCTGGTTCAAGCAATTCCCCTGCCTCAGCCTCCCGAGTAGCTGGGATTACAGGCATGCACCACCATGCCTGGCCAACTTTTTTGTATTTTTAATAGAGATGGGGTTTCACCATGTTGGCCAGACTGGTCTCGAACTCCCAACCTCAGGAAATCCGCCCGCCTCGGCCTCCCAAAGTGTTGGGATTACAGGCGTGAGCGACCGCGCCCAGCCAGATTAGCCAATCTTATTGTCAGTGCAAAGACAGTATCCACTTTGCATATGTACTGCTGAGGGAATCATTAGAACATTCACTGCTGCTGAGGGTCAGGTGGGGAATTCTTTATATACCAGCTTTTCTTGTGGGCCAAAATCCCTAGAGGGATAGTGGCCACTTGGGGTCCATTTTTATCTCCTTCAGTTTCTACCCAAATGTGTCTTTGCTTATGTGGCTGGGGCCTGCCACTCAGGCTTTCAGGACACAGTGTGCCCCCAGGCAGCCTGGGCCTAGAACAGTTGTAGTAATAAGAGGTGACAAAGCAGGACCTTGAGACAGAACTTCCAGAAATTCTTTAGCTGAGCCTCCGTCCTCCCAGCCAGGTTTCAGACAGGATGACACATAAAGAAATCTCTGAACAATCCAGAGCAGTGCACATTAGCGAGTGAAGCTCAGGCAGGAAATGGGAAGGAATGCCTTTGTCTCTGCTTTCCACCCTGCCACCCATAGCTCATTCTCAAAAGCCACCTCCCCAACACTCAGGCTCGGGGTAAATGCTACAAAACGTGGTGGAAACCTCTCACGACCTCCTCTCTGTTGCATGAACGCCTGTTAGAGGCGAAGGAAAACAATGGCAAACAGACCCAGGCCTGTCACAGCTGTACTGGGGCCAGCTGGAATGTGGCTGTGCGTGCGCGTGCATGTGTGCGTGCACGCCGGTGCACACGTGGGAATATAAACATCCTTGGCTCCCCAGCTCCTGTGTGCTGGATCGTGCTGAGTGGGCGCAAAGTTCTGCATGTGTCCGAGGCAGGGAGGGGCAGCACCAGCACACCTAGGCGCTCTCATTTATACATTGAAAGGCGGGTGGGGGGGACAAAGGAGAAGGTTTGGGAATGGCTGGCTGTGTGCCCGTGTATGTATGGGCACATCTCATTGTTGATATGTCTTGGGGGAAATTGAGGGAAATTTTGTGCTTGGGTATGTGTGCACACATGGTAGGCGCCCACACTCAAGTGTGCAGAGGGGGAAGCTGAAAGAAAGTTTCGAGATTCTGTGAACATTCTCAGTTAGAAAAAAATCTGGCAACTCCCCATACCACAGGTGGGTACACATTCAATGCTTGTGAAGTTCATTTCCTGTACTAGTTACCAGCCCTTGTTTATACAGGACACAAGATGTGCTTGGTAGCAAAAGCTCTAGGTCTCCGGGGTGAGTTGAGGGAGAGTGTGTATGTGGAGGGGGTGGGGAGGGAGTGTGGGCATCACCGCACAGGTGCTCTTGAAGTACACATGAAATCAATTTTCAATATTAATCCATAATTCCACTCATATATGTTCAGAGGGGAGAGAAAGTAGAGCTCTAATTTTAGAATGACCCCCTCCTTCATTGCTCCAGTGCTGTTTTAGCACCCAATCTGCTCGGGCCAGTGGCAGCTCGGGTGTCCTCGTGTGTGTTTATGGGTTTGAAACGCATCTGGCTTGTTCTTCTTTGAGCTTTACTTTGTGAGCCCAGCCCCAGGAAGTGTTTATGAGCTTTTTCACTTTGCTTTATTCTGGCTCAGCTTTGTTTGGTAGCACAGAAGGGTAGAGTTTGACATAAATACTCTGTTCTTTGTGTGAGGGCTTCAGATTGCAGAGGGTCCTAGGACTGGCATTCCATAGGAAAGTTGAGGAGTTTGACCCAACCCCATGATCACACACCTGTAAGCGAACATTCTGCACACCTCAATATGAGAAGAAACTGCACTCTCTAAACAAACTCCTGGGCACGTGACCTCCTCAGAGTCTACTTGCCAGTTTGTTCATCCAGATGGTGACCAGCTCACAATAGACACTCAGTGACTGCTAATTAACCATGGAATATTCCATTCCACTGCATTACCAAAGTGCCAGCATCACTCCTCAGCATAGCTCAGGACCTTGTCCAATCAGCTGTCTTGAACACCCACTTTGATCCACGGTTCACGTTCATGTTATAGTCATGAGCCCCTGCTCCTCCGCCAGTCTAGACTCAAGGAAGCAGTGGCACAAATCTCCTGGCTGTTGGGTTCCATGGAGCAGAGAGCCTGAACCCACCCGGAAACCAAGTCTAGACAAAACAGAGCTTTGAGGTTTACACCCACAACCTTTGTACCGTCGGAAGCAGAGGGTGCCAGGGGATCCACTACACGCTCCCTGGGAAGCAGAAGCCAGAGGTGTCGTGCTATTTCTCCATCTGGCCAAGGGTTTAACCCTGCTGAAGACTATTTCTGAGGGGAGTCTCCATGATGAGGGGACCCAAAGATGCTGATGGGGTCATTTCCCAGGCTCTGTTCTGGTCCAGTGCAGGGCTCCAGTTGTTGATGGTGATGGAAGTTTGCTTTATACTTGGTCCCTGCTTGGTTGGAGTCCTCTGCCACCCTCTGGCAATTCACAACATCTAGTCACTTGGAGACCTCTGAACAATAGCAGGACTCTAAAGACTGGGACCCATGGCTCCTCAGTGAATTCTGAAACTGCTTTGAGGTGCTGCCTAAAGTTCAAGGAGAAGCTTACCAAGGAACGGGGACCTGGGGACAGCAATGGAAATAGAGACAGTGAGGTACAGGCCACTCGCTATCCTTTGTAGGAACTTTCAGCTCCTGTTAGCTAGAGACCGTTGCAGAGTCAACATTCTACGCAAGCCAGCGTGGCACCCTGCTTGTCTATGATTCTATTCAAGGCCCAGACATAACCAGCCTTCATGGGCTTCCAGACCACTGAGATTGCAGCCTGGGGTGACCTCCTACCCTGTCTGGAAGGGTCTCCACCCCAGGCCTGGTCCTGCAGGAAATGGTTCCCGTGGGGAGAACTCCTACTGCTCCAAGGCAGCAGCTTCCTTGGTGTCATCAGTTTACCTGCCAGTCTCATCTCTGAGAGGGTACCAGTTTCTTTGGCTTCCCCGCCTGTCCCCAGAATGATTCCAACACTTTTTTAGCCCCTGAAAGCCTTGGAAGGGTGCCCACTTGCATTTCTAGTGAATAGCATTTCCACTGGAGGCCCTTCACCCAGGGTTCCCTACAAAGGGGTTTGCTTTTAGGGAAGGGCAAGGTGACCCTGCTTTGTCCTCCTGAAGCACCACTTGTGGCTCTCCATCACTGTGCCTGCCATGCAATCATAATCCTCCCCTTTCTGTCTCTGCCCCGCTAGCCTAGAAGTGCCTGAAGGCAAGAGCTGTCTTAGAGGCACACTGGGAAAATAGGGGGCCCTGGGTCCTGATTGAGTGAGGGCCCAGCTAGGGCCAGAGGGCCTGGGCTCACCAGCCACTGGGCCTGGATAAAGGTGGTTTTCAAGGGGTGAGTGTAGTCTGGCCTGTCTGATTCTCATCCCCACTCTCTGATAGTGCTATGTTTTTCACCTTGAAAATGAAGACATACTACCCTGAGCCCTTCACTGGGTTGTCAAGTGGTCGTGTGGCACACGTAAGGGAGCATTGCCATGTTAAAGCTCCCCAGCTCCCTTCATTATGGCCATCCCATGGACAGAGGACCATGCTGTGACTCAGAGGCCCAGCTCTTCCTAGCTGTGCTGTTCCCTGAGTGAACTTCAGTGAGTTGCTTTATCTCAGTGACTCTGTTTCATCTGTGAAATGGGACTGTCGGGTTGTCAGGGCAAGTACTTGGAACCTTCACTGAGTGGTATGGTTGTGGGCATTCCTTCTTATTGTCATTGCTTAAATAAGCATGAAGATACTTTCCTGAAGAATGATGTTTGGAAGGAAGGAACCTAGACTTTGGTATGGGGTGGGAATGGAGTAAATCCTAAATCCATCCCTTGTTAACAGGCTTGTAAGTGGAATTCTTGCCTAGCGAGATCTAGGATAGTTCTCTAGCTCAGGAGTCAGCAAATGTTTACTGTAAAGGGGCAGATAGTGACTATTTTTGGCCTTGCAGGCCACAGGGTCTCTACCACAACTGCAAGGCAGCCATGGACAATACATAAACAAATGGACATGGCCTTGTTCCAGGAGGACTTTATTTACATCGGGCTGCAGGCCGGATTTGACCAGTCGGCCATGGTTTGCTTACCCCTGCTTTAGCTTATGGGGGGTGCCCCGCAAGCACTTGGGAAATTAATTTGTTGAAGATAGGTGAGTAGAGGCCTCTGATAGTCCAGATCCTCGGTTTTAGCTCTGTTTACACAGGACCAGGTTCTGTGTTCTTGCCACTGAGTCACAGCTGCAAGACCCTCACCTCCCCCTAGCCCCACTCCCCCAGCTTTGAGTGATCCCAGGCTCCTTCAAGCCCACTGCTGAGTGGGGAGCAGTTTCTGTGCCTTCCAGGATCTGTCTCCCCTACTGCCACTCCCCATCCAGGGCTTTTTCCCTCCATCCTGAGTTTGTGGGACACACAATTTGTAATCTCCTTAAAACTGAAGAAGTGAGGTCTCTGATTCATGCAGATTAAAATCAGCTGCAACCTATTAATGGCCCAGGGCCCAAGACAGATTTTAGGAAACAAAAACACTGGACCAAATTAGACTGAGCCGGCCTCTGTCTCCAGGGAAGGGAGGTAGAGTAGGAGGCTGGGGGCGGGGGAGTGGCCATGTGGTTTTCATTACTTTGGATTCTCTTCCTGAAGCGAAGTCACCCAACACAAAGTGTATGGAGCGCCAAGGCAGCGGCCAGCCTCTGGAGCCCGGCTCTCCCTGGTAGAAGCCCTGGGTCCTGTTGGGGGGCTCTGGCTGGTTGTGTGTCTGTAATTAACAGGTTTCAAAGTGGTTATTTTGGAAAAGAGAATTTCAGTGGCGCGTCAAAATCCTTTCATCAGCCATCAGCTGCCGTCCCGAGGCCTTCAGCAAGGCCTGAGCCACTTAAGGCTTCTGAGAGCTTTAAATTCCCAGGGTCCTGTTTGAGAATGTGGAGGCTTTTGCCATGGGTTTTATTGGGCTGATGGTTGCCATGATTTTCATTATGTTATTTGGTTCCTGGGATCATAAAAATGTTTGCCTCTTCCTATAGTACCTAGGATCATTGAAAAGAAAAGGGATAAAAAAGCCCCTGCATTTGTAGCTGCTACATAGCATACAAACCATGGCTTCCTTGAGGGAAAAGGGCCAGCTCTGGCTCTGGGCTAGGGAAAATCATCAAACTGGAAGGGACAGGACAAGCAGCCACACCCAGTCTCCACCTCCCTCCCATCCAAGGACACTGAGGCCCAGAGAGATGCTCATCTAAAGCTGGTCTGGAATCCTGGTCCCACTCTCGGTCAGGTGCTCTTTCTCTCCCTGGTGACTTGAGGCTGTGAGTAGAGTTGGGAAAGGTAAAGGAGTCTGAATTCTGCTGAACTAGTGCTTTGGGACACCTCTAGGAGTGGAAGAAATGGTCAGATTTACAGGCAGCATAAAGTGAAATGCTGAAGTGGACAGAGGAATGATCCGGGCCAGCCTGGGCATTCTCATGGCCTACAGGACAGAGCGCTTCTCTGAGGCTGGAAGGGTTACTGCAGCCTTCACTTGGCACCCACAGCCCTGAGACATGGAAAGAAGGGAAACAGGTACCAAATCCCACAAGCCTCAGAGATGATTTCTCACTGCTTTGAATATGAAACCTCTGAAATCTGGTCAAGCTCCCAGAATCACCCTAGGGGGTGACAGGAATTTTGGTTAAGCCCGTATTATCTGATAAGTGGAACACTAACCTGGCTTTACTTCCTATTTTGATGATGGCTACCTTCCAGAACCTTCTTTCATGGAAAACATGAAAAATATTCTGGGAGAATTGCTATTAAATAACCTCTGCTGTTTAAAAACAAGGCCAGACCAGCAGACCTTGCTCTCAGCAGGACACATGTAAGAACTAGTCTACAATAAAGAAGCTATTAAGGCGTGTTCAGAGAATTAGAGAGTGTTGGAGCTGAGAGGGAAATTGGAGTTCAGCTAGGCCAGGCTTTCATTTTACAGATAGGGAAACTGAGGCCTCAGGGCATATCCAAAGTGATCTAGGGGGCATAGGGAGTCCAGGATTTGCTTGACTATCTCATTCTTCACAAGGCCACTGTTCCCCTTTTGGGTTGATATTGTAATTCATTCATTCATTCATTCATTCATTCAGTTTTTACTACCTCCTATGTGTCAGATGCTTCTAGGCACTGCTAATTTTGTTTCTTTGAAGTTTCTAGAGGTGGAATAAAACAGACACATTTCTGTGGACTACATTAAAGAAGGAAAGGACTTTTCCCCCCAAAATCTAGGTTTGGGGAAAGTCTGGTGACTTTTGTGAGCCTGGGGCATCTTTGGGAAACGCCTGCCCTCTTGAGTGTGCCTTTCAGATGAGTGCGAAATATCATTGTCAGATAAAGGGGTGACTTGCCTAGGCTGCCCCCACTTGCAGTGACCCCCACTCCCAACAGCCACCTGGCAGTGTGGCCCAAAGGAATCTGGAAGTGAACATCAGCAGAGATTCTCTGGATCCAAATTTGAGTGAGGGCTGGCGGGAACCCAGACTAGCTGGAGGCTGCAGATTGCATGGGTCTCTCCGTCTGTTTCTCATCATTCTCCTCCTACGGTTTGCTTGTCAGTCCTTTGCTCTTGTTTACCTCTATGTGGATAATTCCTCGATTATAAATCAGAGAACTTGGCACTGAGTTCTGGATTATCTGTGATCTTTAACTTTCCCAGGGCAAAAGAAATTAAACCAGCAAATCTCTTTGTTTCTCATGGTTCAGCATCCAAATCATGGAAGTGCGGGTCTGTGTAGAGTGAGACAGCCTAAGCCCACCTCTGCCCTGGCCCCCACACTCTAGGTGAGCAGTCATGCATGCATGCATTCATTTATTCACTCAACAAATATTCAGTGAGCACCCATGTGGCAGCCTCTCTTCTAGAAACTGGAGATACAGGGTTAAAAAAAGGACACTGTTCCTTCTTACCCTGTTTGCATCTTAGTATGGATGACAGTAAGCAAACAAACCAACAAACATACATACTAGTGATAAATGCCTTGAGAAAGGAAGCAGGTTAAGAGATGGCAGTGAGGGGTGCACTATTTTACACACAGTGGGGTCAGGAAGACCTCTCTGAAGAGGTGACATTTGAGCAGAGATTGGATGAAGAGAGAGTAAGCAATGTTCAATCCAGAAAGAACATTTCAAGCAGAAGGAATAGCAAGTGCAAAGGCCTGGAATAGGAACAAGTGTGATGTGTTTGGGGAACAGTAAGGAAGCCAGAGACTGGAGTAGAGTGAAAAAAGGGGACAACTGTGATACATTAGGTCAGAGCAGTGGGCAGGGGCCAGCCATGGAAGTGGTGACTTTGGGTTTTGTTCTGAGCTTCACAGGATGTCCTTGGAGGTTTTGGAGGAGAGTGATGCAGCAAAGATGAACATTCAGAGGCTATAGAGAGGCTCATGGAACAACAATGGGCCAGCTTGGGTTAAACACTGGCATTCAGACACATGGCAATGGTAGCTGCACCTCATGGGTGGTGCTTCCAGTGGGAACTGTTGAGAGCTACATGTTTCGACAGGGTGAGGCTGGGCCTGGGAGCTCACTACCTCTACCAATTAGTGTTAAGCCCAGAAAAAGGAAATGCTGCAGTTTAAATTGTAGGGTTGGAACCTGTGAGTCATATAAGCCCCAGCCAAATGGGCCATGGTGGGCTCTGGGAAGTTACTGGTGCAGGGTCTGAAGCCCCCAGCTGGGCTGTTTGGCCACCCATGGGGGCTTCCAGACACATTCGGAAGAAGCAGACTCAAATACAGACCCCACCTTTGGGGTCTGGCTTTATTTTTGGCTGACTGTATACTGTCTGGTCAGTTTCCTTCCCAGTGTCTTTTACTTTGGAAAAGGCAGGCCACCTCACAGGGGAGCAGAGAGAAAGGGGGAAACACATGGATTTGGGGCTCAATCAGCCCCACAACACAACCCTCACCTCATCACTTCGCTGGCTTTTGGAAAAGCTACTGAACCTCCCAGAGCTGCCAGCCACATGTGGCTGTTCACATTTAAATCAATTTAAGTGAAATAAAATTTTAAAATTTTGTTCCTCAGTTTCACTTACCACATTTCAAGGGCTGAATAGCAACATGGGGCTTGTGGCTATCTATTGGACGTGAGATGTAGAAGATTTCCCTTATGGCAGGAAGCTCTGTTGAACAGTTTCATTTCTTTAAAAAGGAAGCAATCCACGAGAACTGAACAAGTTAACACACACAAAGCACAAGGTGTTTGCCTGTCTCACTACAGGTGCTCAGCAAACGGTGGTCACTGTGATTGATCATGTGAATCTCCATCCTCGCTCTGCTACTGACTAGCTATGTGGCAAGTCATTCAACGTCTCTGAGCCTCTGTTTTCTGATATGTAAAATGGGAATAAAAATTACCGCGGAGCACATTTCCACAGCATAACATGATCCTTTTTTTCTTAGTTCTCTCTGGACCCATGAGAACTTCCTTACCAACCCTCAGCTGACCTATCTAGACCAGAGCTTGGAAACTCCAGTCTTGCAGCACTTAGCAGGAAGCAGGACCTACTGTGGCCCAATAATGCAGTCTGGAGATTTTGGCCATTTTGAAGGGTTTGACCATGGCTAGTGGTATGGAGTTCCAATGAAACAAGTGGACAAATCTGATCAAGAAAAATAATCATTTGACTCAAATCAGATATTTACCCTGCTCTGACGCTCTGAAAGACATCATGCCTTGGGTTCCCCAGCTCCAGGCCCCGGCTTCCCTGGCTAAAAGTTCCTCCTGTGGGCGCGGCTCTCAGAGAGGGGCTCCCAGGCAGCCCTTCTAGTATCTCAGCCTCGAATCAGTCTTCCATTTTCCACTTGGGGTTTTTGTTGTTGCTTAAACGTTTATTAACTGCAGGCATTTGGCGGGTGGAAGTTGGGATTTGCCTGGGGCTGGAAGGAAGTTATTTGCCAGGCCAGGATAAGGTGTGGTTTCAGAGTTGAAACTGGAATCCCCTTCACCTGCTTAATGCATTTCAGGGGAGATTTGTTTTCAACTCCCAAATTACCTGCTAGGAATTCTAGACCTGAGATCCTATCTCACTGGCTGTTTTCTTTCATTTCCGATAAGAAATACAAAGAAAAAAGAGTGAAAGGCTCAAACACGACATTCTTGCACTCTCTTAAATAAAATTACATACAGTGAGTGATTTTCTTCCCTGTCTTCTACAAAGCAGGTAATGGGAGGGCCTGACCTAGCCCAGAAAACCTCTGCTCCTGGGGAGGTGTGCCTGGGAGCTGCAGAGAGCAGGTGATACTAAAGATATTTCTTATGTGCTTGTTGGCCATTTGTGTATCTTATTGGAATATAATTTATTTTCAAATATTAATTTTATGTCCAGCAATCTTACTAACCTTTCCTTTAGTTTAATAATTTATTTTTAATTTTGGGGGTATTTTCTATGTACAAATCATACAAAGGTTATGGGGAGTGTTAAAACTCATAAGGGAGTCTCCAGTAATCTCAAGTTCAGAAGAAACAGAGCTAGAAGGACCTGTGTCCAAGCTTGTGGAGGGTAAGTGAGCAAGAAGTTGCCTAAATGATGGTCTAACTATGAGCAACGGGACAAAGATAGACAGCAAAGACATTTCAGACATATGGACCAATAATTTCTTTTCTTCCTTTCTTCTTCTTCTTCTTTTTTTTTTTTTTTTTTTTAGAGAGATAGGGTCTCCCTCTGTCATCCAGGCTGGAGTGCAGTGGTGCAATCACAATTCACTGTAGCCTCAACCTCCTGGGATTAAGTGATCTTTCAGCCTCAGTCTCTCAAGTTGCTAGGACTACAGGTGTGCACCACCATTCCTGGCTTTTTTTTTTTTCTTTTAGAGATGGGGTCTCGCTATGTTGCCCAGGCTTGTTTTAAACTCCTGGCCTCAAATGATCATCTCACCTCAGCCTCCCAAAGTGATGGGATTACAGGTATGAGCCACCCAGGTGAACCAATTTCTTTCTTTCTTTCTTTCTTTTCTTTTCTTTTTTTTTTTTTTTTTGAGACAGAGTCTCACTCTGTCGCCCAGGCTGGAGTGCTGGAGTGCAGTGGCATGATCTCGGCTCACTGCAAGCTCTGCCTCCCAGGTTCATGCCATTCTCCTGCCTCAGCCTCCCGAGTAGCTGGGACCACAGGCACCCACCACCATGCCCGGGTAATTTTTTGTATTTTTAGTAGAGACGGGGTTTCACCATGTTAGCCAGGATGGTCTCGATCTCCTGACCTTGTGGTCCGCCCACCTCGGCCTCCCAAAGTGCTAGGATTACGGGCGTGAGCCACCACGCCCTGCCCGGAAGCTGGACCCATTTCTTTAGGCTGGCAACTCAAGTGATTATTGTTGTTTTAAGCCACTAGGTTTTAGGATACTTTGCTATACAGCAATAGATAATTAAATAATTTACCATATTAAAAACTAAAACCAAAAATAATATTTGTTCATTTAATATTTATTCATTGTTAATGAATAAATTAACATTTAGTAATTTATTAAAATGCATATATTCATTAATCCATTTAAACGTTAAAAATAACATTTTATTATAAAAATAACTTTTTTAAAAAATCCAAGTGAGAAGAGTGACAGTGTTTTACATTTTTGCAAATCTCTTGACTGTCCGGCTTAATAGAAGACAGCTGGATTCTCATATCGGCTTCTGCATTCAATCAGCTGTGATAATGTTGTTTTGGATAAAGTATGCGAAGGAAACCCAGCCTCACGTAGTTATTTTGTTGGAAAAGGGAGGAATATTTTAATAGTCTTTTCAGATAATTGTGAATATTCTTCTTTGACATTATACCAAAACTCAACCAATAGTAGATTACTAAGGTTAGTTGCAATGTGGAATCTGAAACTATATCAATGAACTTTTTGTGCTCAGTTATGTTAAAATTCAGTTATCTGGCTTGTACTCTGAATAGATCTTTTGCTCATGCATGATTTTGAAATAATATGCATGGGTCATTTGGAAAATATTGCTTCACTAAGTCATGCAGATTTTTCAAATTTGATATATTTCTTGATGAAAACTAAAAGTTCTTATTTGTTAATATCACTGATCTCATCAAAAACCTCTGTAAGTGTTGGGAAGGTGTTAAGTTCACTATGGCAGATACAGGTTTCTAAAAATTCTAATTTTTGCTTTATACTTCTATTTTGGCAGAAAATACTGTTAATTATTGTCTTTCTTGAAGTGATGAGCTCAGTTTGTTCATTTTTGAGAAAATGCCTGTCAAATAACCAAATCTGAATAACTATGGTTATTTGGTCCTTTTGAGTAAACATTGTGTTCCATGAAAGTGACTAGTGCAGATCACAACTCAGGACACTCACACAAGTGCTTTTCCTCCAGATGACCATCATACTTCAGGATGCACCAGAAATGCTTGATACTTTGTTTCCAAGTCATCACACAAAGAAAAGAAAGGGAAGGGAAGGGAAGGAAAGGAAAGGGAAGGGGAAGGGGAAGGGAGGCAGAGAGGGGAGAGGAGGGGAGGAGAGAAAAAGTACCTTTTGGGCAAGGTTTTATAAAATTAATAATTTTTACTGTCTAATTTAGGACATTCTTTGGTGAAACTGGCATTTATTCCCCCTGTAAGTTTGTAGCAGTGAAGAATGCCGTGACTGCCAGCATAGTCTAGCACCAGCAATTTTACCCAGATGTCAACACAGTGAAGAAGGCAAATAACATCTTGGTATTATTATGAAATATTATCAAAATTATGAAAATAATTTTGAGCTTGCAGACACCCTGATAGGGTCTCAGGGATCCCAGGGGACTGCAGACCTCACTTGGAGAATCAGTGCTTTAGGGAGATGGCTGTCATTCTGCTACTTGTAGCATTTACAGGTAAATGTGCTACATGCTAAGACGTATATGTACCAGGTCTTTGTGCAAAATTGTAATCACCACCATTTATTGCATAAACTAGAAAACATATCATTAGGTATCAGCTTATTCTTGTAGATGGACTAGATATGAGAAAGGCGTTTTATTTAAGGGAGATATTTTTATGCTTTTATTTGTCCCACTTGTCAAAGGTATATGGATATTGGTGAGGAAGCTAGGCTCTAAGCCATTTCTGAAACTATCAGTGTTGAATAAATAAGGTACATAAGGAAGCTAACACTTGCACCCCTTCCTTTGTAACTCTTCTACCGCCTTGATCTAGTGAGCCCTGAAAGCTCAGTGGGCTGAGGAAAACATCCTTTTTAGAGTAGCAGGGTGCCCTCAACTCCAGTCTAGAAGTGGGCAAAGTTCTCACGTTGGCAGTACCTGCAGTGTGGGACAAGAGAAGCAGCTGGCCCAGAAGGCAGCGTTTGTTCAAATGGTCATGGCACCTGTGAGCATTGTATTGCCGTGGAAGAGCTCAAGTCATTGCCTCTGCTAAAGTGCCTCTGAATTCCTACACAGTGAACTTAGAGCACAACAGGGCGGGAACATGGTTGTTTTCCATTCTTGTTCAGCTAGGCTTACACATCCTCTCACTCCCAAAAGGCAGAGTAGGCTTGCACCCCACACCTGACTGGGCTCAGCTCTTTGGCAAGTGATTGCGTAGCTGTTCTGCCTGTGACTGCAGGCCCCGGTCTGCAGGCGGGAAACAACAGGCAGTTGTGTCCTGAGCCCTGGGAACTGGAGATCTTTCCACATCTGTTCGCCTAGTCGGGGGGCGGGAGGAAATCACCAGAACCTTCAAACATGGGGCCAGAGCAGGGAGACAAAGGGGAAGCCTTAAGCCGATGGTGACCCCAGGTCATATGAGCCCCCCCCCCAGGCCTCCCCCATCCACTTTCATCCCCTCAGGTCCCCGACACTCAGCCTTTTCATCCTTCTCCAGGTCAGCAGGATCAGGTTAATGTGACTTGACCAGAAAGCTTATCAAATGAAGGCAGAGACAGGTGTTTGAAACCCCTTCCCTGCTGAAAGCTGGGTTGAACAAGGTTAGCAGCGTAGCTGAGGCCAACATCCTACACTAATTGCATTTTCTTTCTTGGAGCTCCTTCTCTTCCCCTTCTTTGTTCTCTGGCTTGGAACCCCTCAAGGTCTCCGAGAGCCAGTAACCAAAACAAACCATTCAAAAAACGAAGGATTTAGGGAAAAAAAATTAGGGGATGTGACATTCTGGACCAAACAGTGGCCCTTCTATGCCAGAGCCTAGGAACCAGCATTTGGAGGCATCCGGCCACTTCCACCCAGTGGGCATGCTGAAATCAGTTACTATGGGCTTATCAGAACTGATTGCACAAACCTTTTCCCAACTTCACAATCATGATGTCATATTTGTAGCTTGAGTTGACCAAGGTGGGAATATTTATACCACAGAAATCAGCAAGCTACAAACCAGGCTTTTCCACCTCCAGAGCCAGTTGTTAAACATTTACCGGCACACCAGTGCCTCCACTGTGGCTATTGTCACTCAAAGTATGATTCTCAGACCAATTACATAGGAATTTCCTAGAGATCAGAAATGAGGTGGGGCAGGAGGGTTGTTATTTAACATGCAGATTTCCTGGCCAACCTGAATTAACTGAATCAGATTCTCTGGAGGTAGAGCCTGGGGAAATGCTTTTTAGCAAGTCCCTGAGGTTATTAATAAATTCAATAAAGTTTGAGACTTCAGCCTTAGGGAATAGGAGAAAAGAGTGGGCGTGCATCTGACTCTTGGCATCTGGAAGGAACAGCTGGCTTCAGTCCCAGTTGGCCTAAGAATGGACAGCTGTTTTCTCTCGAGATAGAAACTTCATGACAGGAAAAGAGGTGGGAATTTTGGGGTCTCAGCTACCCACTGACAACACGACTGGTTCTGCCTTGGATCTCAGGATGAATCCATTTTCCAACTTGAGACTTTGACCCAAGACAGCATGAGCAAATGCCCAGATGTATGTAGAACGTGGAGAAAGTCACCGTCATTTGCACCATTGGTGGGACCAGTGGAGCCCAGGGAAAGCCCAGAGTCAGTTTTCTGTATTAGATTGCCCAGGACAGCATTTTTCTTTCAGATTTGTCTAGACATTTTCAGGATCTTTCCCAATCAGGCATGATTTTGTAAAGCAAAGACCTTGTTGACTTCATCCCACTGAGCTGGAAGAGAAGGTCTTCTAAGGCAGAAAGAAAAAGAGAAAAAAAGGAGAAGAGAGAACGTTTCTTTGCCTAGATGTAAAACAGAAAGTTCATAAGGAGCTTAACTCTGCTTTCGCCTTGTTTTGCACCTGCCTGAGGGAGTGGTTTAGACGGGGACAAGTAGTGTGAAAACAGAGCTAGTTAGTAAATGCAAGAGCTGGGGTTTGGACCCCAATTTTTACAGCCAAAACAAAACAAACAAACAAACAAACAAAGACCAATGCACTTTCCTCCTAAGCACAATGCAGTATTTTTTCCACATGCAGTTGGAACCCAGAGGAATCCTTAATGGGCAACTGGGGTAGTGACATAGGACATATATGCTCAAAGTACTGTGAATTCCTAAACCATCAGAGCCCCCATACCCTGGTGCAAATTCCAAAACATAATCCAAAGCCACATGTAAAACTTATGGGATTATAGGCAAGTAAATTATGAACTATTAGATTACTGGCTATTAGATTATCCACTGGAATGGATAACTGAGAGTCAACCATATTGATACATATCATTTAGGCACTCCCCATATTAGACAGTTAAGCTTGTAGCTGTTTGCTAAGTTCATGATCATGTGATCATTTCCTATACATTTGTTCTAACTGTTCAGGGCTTTAATTAAACATATAACTTCATCAAATAGGAGGAGGAAGAAACCAAATAGCTCCTCAGGAAAACAAGATATGAGCTCATATGTATTTTTTGCCAGGTTTCATGGCCTTTCTTTGTGCCCAGAAACTCTTCCTCACCCTAGGACCCATCTTCACTTTAATACTATCCATTCAACAAATACATAGTGAGGACCTACTGTGTGCCAGTTAGGGTGTGGGGAAGAACAGGAGACAAACCACCTGGTCTCATTCTCATGAATTTTACAGTCTATTGGGAAACAGGTATTACACAAGTCAATATGAAAATAAGTAAGTGATTATACATTGTCCTAAGGGCTGTGAAAGAAAAGTACAAGGTACAAAGAGAAACGTCAATAGTCCTGAAAGGTTGACTGCATCAAGAACATGTCCATGGAGACCAGGCTGATGGAGTTTTTGTTTGGATTGTTTTGGGTGGCAGGGGGTAGGGGTAAGGGCACATGGAGCGTTTTGTTTGAGGTACTTGAAAGGGAGATGTCAAGTAGGCAACTGAATATCCAAATCAAGAGAGTCTGTAGTGGAGTGGTGACTCAAGCCCGCACCTGGATGAGGTCATAGGGATGGAATGTCTGAGGAGAGGCAACAGCTGGGGCCTGCTCTCTGGGCCACCCATATGCAGAGCTCACGAAGGAGGCACTCCCAGAGAGGAGGGAGTCCCAGAAGCCATTTACAAAGGGTATTTTATGAGTGGGCAACGTGAAAGTACCAACATCAGAAAAGCACCTCAGGACCTCCAGGTCCTGACTCCCCACTCCTCCCTTCTCATGAGCCAGGCAGGCTGTCTGCAGGCCAGCCAGTGAATTGAACTGGGGCTCTCAGAGTCTGAACAGCTGGCCATGTCTTGGACAGTGCTTCATGACTCTAAGTTATTACTTTCTGTTCCTTTCCTAGTCCCTAACTCAGACCCAAGCTCTTTGCTCCCTGGAGTTTCTAAGTGTGTAGGTATTAGGAAGAGAGCAAATAAACCAGTTCACACAGATGTATGAATAATGTTTAACCAGCCAGTTCTCTTTGAGATATATTGTTGTAAAGAAGCAAAACTAAATGTCTAATCTGTGGAATTTCAGGCAACCTTATACGTTTCAGGTGGTGCCCTTGAGAGGGAAGACCTTTTGAGCTGGGGCTGCCACCCTGTTCCCTTCTAGCTTCCCTGCACTGTTCCTGCAGCAGCTTCTTTTCTTCCTCCATTTCTGAATCCCCAGAGTCTTGAAAACCTCCAGAATTTTCAGAGTGGTTCCTTTGGCACCAGTGGCCATGCATCTGACAATTACAGTAGCTAACATTTATATGTAATTGTTAGCCCCTCATATTAAACCTACATTAACCCTATGTTAAATGAAGTTAACCATAACATAGGGTTGCTGTGACTTCACAGCAAACTTCAGCCCTATGTTAACTGACTTCACAGCAACGCTATAAGGTTGGGTCGGTTACTCTTCTCTGGGTGAGGCTGTGGCTGGATGAGAGATGTTTGTTAGCTGCCTGTGGACACACAGCTGGCAGGCTGAAATTTGAAGCAGCGTCTTGCTCCCAGTCCACACTCAGGGCCGTGTGAGTGGGATGTGAGCCTGAGTCTGCCCTCCCTTGGGTTTGCTGTCCTGAGAGAACAAAAGCAAATCCGTGTTCTGGTTCTCTGAGATAGCTCTTACTAGA
The DNA here is from genome assembly GCF_000001405.40 of Homo sapiens. NCBI lineage: Eukaryota > Metazoa > Chordata > Mammalia > Primates > Hominidae > Homo > Homo sapiens. Next base: position 68,522,213 of record NC_000014.9, read on the forward strand.
CCTGGCTCAGTTTGACCCCTTTCTGCTGCTGGAAAGGAGGACAGTGCAGGTCAAAGCCCTGGTTGCTGATTACAGACAAGATGGGAGTCATGTGGGGTGTCAGCTTCTGTCTCCTGAGAGAGAAAACCGAAAAATGCTACCTGAATTTCCAGGATGAGGTTGAAGGCACAATCTTTTCAGGCCAAATCTCTTGGGCAGAATTGAAGAGACTGCAAAAAAAATATGGAAGTTACCCTCACCGTTTCTGGGATGTCTGAATTCCTCCCTCTCTGGAATGGAGCCGCTGGAAGGCTCCATAATCCTCCCTCTCCTGGCTCAGAGGCCCAGCTACACTTTCTAAAACAACCCAGAGCCATCTGATTTCAAGCATGTACCGGCTCGTGTGTGGAAGACAGTAATTACCTCCATTCCAGTTAGGAAAGCTGAAACCTGCCTTTTTCATGCCTCAAACAATTATCGAAGTGCCTTTTGAAGCTCTGGATAGAAGAGAAAAGCAAAACAAACCAAAGAGCCAATTAGAGCCTGGGATTTGAGGGTGGCTTAGTTTTGTGCAGTGGGACTTGGGAGGAACTGTGGGAGAGGGTCAGAGGTCACCCCAAACCTCCAGCTGCCAACCAACTTTGCCTGTGCCAAAAGAACATTATTTTGCATTGAAAATCAAGGCTCCTCTCCCTGACTCAGGAACAATTTGCAGGAACAACCTCTGCATCAGCTGTGAAGAGGGCTCCCTGATTAAATAAGGCCTGGAATGCATTTGATGTTGAACAAAACAGTTCTCTGACAGCTTTTCTTACTTGCCATTAGAATGCTTCCCCTTCAGCTGAAACTTGGTAAGATAAAGTGAATCCCCGGGGACCCTTTTGTTTTGGTGTACATATTTGAGGAATTTTTGTGGCCTGTGTTCCATTTGGAGTTAAGGTTCTTGGTCCCTGAAGTTCTTCCAGGCTTGGTGGTAGAAGCTGGCAATTCAGAGGCAGGCTGTGATGAGAGTAGAAAGCGGATACCAGGCATGAGGGCAGAGGAGAGCAAGTGGCCCTGCCCTGGGATGGGAAGCCTGAGGGCTTTTTTACAGTCCCCAAGGAGAGTTCCCTGACATTCAACACTGCCACAAGGCGCAGAGTGGAAAGTGGAGTTGGGGCATGGTGGGGTTGAAGCTGGATTAGAATGGACTTGGCCAAGATCTGTTCGTGATGTCTGGGGTGGCCTTTTGGATTAACAGGATTTGATTCACTGTGAAGGCAACGTAGCACTGTCTGGGAGGTTCCCTTTTGAGTTTGGGTGAGAATCAGGAAGACAGCCAGCACCAAAGAGCCCTGAGAGAACCCACTATGCCTTATTTACATCCCTAACCCAAACTGGATAGAGGAGCTTTCTCTTGGCCCTGGCATAAGTGCCCGGCTTTCCATCTGCCTATCATTTACCCCCTCAACAGTGGGCTTTGATGTCTACCCTCCACTACAAGAAAAAGCATTTGTAGGAATGCCTCTTGGTGTATGTGGGGGACTGCCCCTTAGTATAGGGAAAGTTGTCCTCCATACACAAAGGTTTTGTATCCTGCAAGTGCTGTATTTTCTATCTGTGTTTGGTTGAAAAAACAAAAACCTACATATAAGTAGACCCAGGCAGTTCAAGTCCATGTTGTTCAAGGGTCAAATGTATTCCTATAAAGCAAAACAAAGAAGCATATTGCTTAGGAATGTGTCTGTCGTGCTCAAAATGGAGTGAATATCAATGGTCTGGTGGCATCAAAATGGCCAGTTCTGTGACAGTAAAAGAGGTTTGTGTCTTATTTAATCTTTTGATAATAATAACAGCTATGGTGTATCACAGCTTTACCAAGTACCAGACACTGTTCTAAGGGCTTTGCATGGTTCACTCACTCCTTACGTCATCCCTCGGTGGCAGGTGCTGTAATTATCCTTATATTGCAGACAAGGACATTGAGACAGAGGTCAAGCCACCTTCCCAAGGGCACACATGGCATCTGCACTGCTCCTGACCGACCGACAGAGAGAGCTGCTGTCACGATCCTCAAATGAGCTATGCATGTCAAAAGTTTAAAAATAAAAAAGATAAAAACATGCACAAAATTTAAAAAGTAAACCATTTCAGGCTGGACAGACTGAAACTGAGAGATGGCCAGAGAAGAGTATGAAAGATAAATCTATGGACAGAGTAAACCCTGACTGGCTTGAAATTAGGGCCCTTACTCCTCCACACTCCTGACGGGTTGGTTCAAGACCAAGAAATAGAAGCACATTGTGAGTTCTACGCTGCTGCCCTGGGAAACACACAGGCTAAACACACCCACAGGCTCGAGCTGGCTTTGAAGTTGTGCCTAACAGATCCGAGATGCATGATGAAGGAATGTTCTGGATGCGTTCTTCTGAGATTTTAGAACTGAGTTAACTCACGTTCTCCTACAAACTGTCCCTTGTAGTCGCTGTTCAGAAGGATTCCAGGCTGCCTGTGTCAATGATTTGACCCCACAGGATGGTTCTTTTTTAGGTTCTGACAGGGAGCAGAAATGAGTTTTTTGACTCAAGAAGATGGACGTAGCTGTAGTTCTTTAAAAACCATTTATGTGATTTCCAGTGTTTTCTCTGAGGCAGGTCTCCAACGATTTCTCTCCAGCATGTGGCAGAGACCACCAGCTGCTTAGCAGGCCCTCAACTGGGCCAAGAATGTTCGTGATAGGGGTTTCCACCCTTTCCATCTGTGGCCTGTGATAGGCAGAGTAATGGCCTCCCAAAGACGTCCAAGTCCTGATCCTTTGAACCTGTGCATATGTTACATGGTGAGGGAGAATTAAGGAAGCAAAAAAGGTGCTAATCAGTTGGCTTTGGGATAGAAAGCTTGTCCTTGGCCAAGCATAATCACAAGGGTCCCAGTATGTGGAAGAGAGAGGCAGAAAACTCAATGTCAGTAAAGCGATGTAAGAAAGACTCAATGGGCCATTATCAGCTTTGGAGATGGAAGGGGCCATAAGCCGAGGACTGAGGGCCACCTCTAGAAGCTGGAAAAGGCAAGCAAATGGATGTTCCTCTAGAGCCTCTAGAAAGGAACATCGCCTTCCAGATGTCTTAATTTTAGCCCAGTGAGACCCATGTCAGACTTTTGGCCTCCAGAATTATAAGATAAATTTTCCTTGCTTTAAGCCATTCCATTAGTGGTAACTTTTACAACAGCAATAAGAAAGTAATTCAAAGTTATCTGGGTTTTCAACCCTCAGGTCATAGGACCTGGAGGACATTGTCCCATGAGCTGGGAAGTGAAAATCATGGTGGTCACCTTAGCATCCTTCCCACTGACCATCTGGGAATTCTCATGGTTCTCCTGGCTAAGCCCCACCTGCATATGAGCACTTCAGCCATCAGAGTTTCCCTGCAATGGGGTCTCTTCTTGACGAGTGATGTTCCATTTCTTAGCAGTGTTGCCAGGGCCTCTCCTTAGTGTGGTCCAGACATCCTATAGCATTACAACAAGCTGCTTTTCACACCCACACTCGCCCCAAATGCCAAACACTTCCAGCCAGCACAGGGTCTGGGGGATTTTTCTCCCCTTCCAGATAGCCAGCCACAACTTCAATGAGCTCCGGCATATGGAATTAGCATGATAGAACCATGACATGCCAAGTGCCGGGAGCCAACCTGAGCCATTCTTGGGTTTGAGAAGTTATCAACTGGGAAATACTTGTGATTTACAATTTTCTTCTGTCCTCCACCATTCCATCACATGAACATCCAAGTCAAACTCCTGAGCTGGGTTAAGAAATTGGAATTCCTGAGGCTCTGGTTCAGGTTCTTACTACCTCTGTGACATTGGGAAAGTTGGTTACCATCATAGCGCCTCAGTTTTCTTATCTGTAAAATGGGGAAAATACATGAGTTAATATATGTCAAGTGCTTAGTGAACTGTCTGGGTCATGTTCAGTGCTATAAAAATGTTCATTGTTGTTGTTGCTGTTGTTTCTATCGTTGTTATTATTAAATGGGTCCCAAATCTTGAGGCAAGTCATTTGGAAAACCAGCTTGTTCGTGCTTTGCCACATATAGTCATGTGCCACATAACAATGTTTTGGTCAACAACTGACCACATACAGGACTATATAGCCTAGGTGTGTAGTAGACTATACCATCTAGGTTGTGTAAGTATACTGGACGATGTTTCCACAGCAACAAACCCACCTAATGATATATTTCTCAGAACGTGTCGTTAAGCGACATGTGACCGTATTATACGTCCAGCAATTGAGATGAATTACCGTTGCACACAGTGCTGAAGCTCAGGTGTGGACACCCTCTTTTAAAATATTTTTCCCATGAACATGTCCTCCAGGAAGCAGGCTCCAGTGTGTCACAGCCAGATGAGTGATTGTTAGGGAAGACAAAGCCTGTGTTTAGAGTTATGCAAGTATAGTGGGGAGAGGGCATCTTATTGCTGACTCACGCCCACTGGCAACCCAGCCTGATTCATCTAGACTGCTGCAGACCACTCTGCATGGAAGACCTCTGCTCAGAGGATCTCAGCCCACTGCATGGCCCACCAAGAGCCTCTGACATTCAGGCCGCTTGGTTCTTCTGGATTCAGTTCTTAGGTCCCCGAAAGTGGTAAAGGAGAGAGGAGAAAACTAGTTCATTTTCAGCCAGGAGTGGCCCCTGGCACACGGGACACTGCTTGCTTTGGACAGAGGCCACTCACAACAGGCTTCCCCTTCTGGGTGTGGTGGCCAGCCTGCCCTGACAACAGTGCGGCCTGAATCTGTGACTCTTAGCGGCTGCTTGGGACTGCTGCAAGACTCTTTGGTCTGTGACTTGCCCAAGAGAGAAGTTTCTGGGCAGAACGGGGAGCTCAGGAAAGAAGAAAGTTACATCCGCACAAAGTTTCAATTATAAAGCCCAATAATAACGATGACCAAAACAAAACAAAAAACGAAACAAAATGAAAAAGCCTACATGCTCTTTGGTATTGTTGGGACTGAAAACAATGGAACTGAGTTTCTTGACTTTTTCTTAACCTTATCCCCATGAAAGAGGTTTGAATTACAGTATTTTTCAAAGTAAAAGCCATCTGAACAGCTGCCTGAACTAACCTGGGAGCCTAGACAGTTTAGCTTCTTGACCTCTGGGATGTGGGGGAAGGGGACAAAAGGAAAGAGAGAGTAGGGGAGGAGCGAGCTCCTTCTGTTTTCTGGGCTGGCCATTTGAGGCCCATGAACCAACTGAGCTGATGTCAGACTCTGGCACTCCCACTTCCAGGAGTCACAACAAAGTGGCAGGGATCAGGGGCACCCCTGGGTCTCAGAGAAGTAGCACATTGTAGGAGAAAGAGAATATGCTGTGCAGACACACCCAGATTTGTGTTTTGCTGCTCCTTTCACTCCATGTGATTTAGACAAATTACATAACCTCTCTGCAAATAGGAAAACTTCCTTGTGCCTGTTGGTCTTGGAAGGACTGGGACTACATAATGCACCAATAGAATGTCTGGAGCACATCAGATGTACAATATATGAGCAGTAGCTATTTTTATTATTAAACACAACAACCACTTGGGCCAAAGGCCACCTAATTTGTAGAATCATTGAGCCAGAAAGAACTGCAACAAGTCAGCTCATAAAGTATGCATAGAAAGAAGCCTGGAAGGAAGTTTACTAAATATTAACAATGATTATTTCTGAGCAGTGGAATTGTAAGGATATTTGTGTTTTCTTCTTTATACTCTTTCAAATTTTCCAAATTTTCTTTAGTAAATGTGTATTTTTTTATACTGAAAAACTTTAAAACATTATTTTTTTTAAAAGTCTTCCATCTCAGTTTGTGGGCTCCAGTCAGATTGCACTAAGCCATCTAAAACCACAGTCGTCCAACCTGTTGCTAAAGCCATGAGAAAAGGCTGGCACCAACCAGTAAAGAATTCCCTCCAGTCTTCCGTACCATACATCCTGAATGGAGCATAATCCCTGCATGGTTTCTAGCCCATCATAACCTTGCTACACTGTTTCATAGAAAAACTTCAGCCATTGAGAATGATGTCATTCATCATATTTCCTCTTTCTTTGCCTTTTGCTGCCAGGAAGCCTTAAACAAATTTAATACTCAATTACAGTAATAATTAACTCAGATTTTGGGCATAATTATTTTCCCTTCTTCCTCTATGGTTTAATTTTCCCTTTATTATTCAACCAACTTATTGCATATGTGACTTTCATTGTAAACTACCTCAAGTACACTTTAAAAGTTGGACATAAATCATAAAGTATAAATAAATTAAGTTTTATCTGATCTCTTGTAAAAACCCATGATCAGCCTGTTAAAATTCATATTACTAAACATCTTGACCAGTAAATGTCAGGAGGGTGGCATGAAGAGCAAGAAAGAGAAAGCTCTGAGTCAAGGTCCATATTTAGTGGGAAAAAAAATCCTGGCAAATATAGATTTGTTCAGAACTAATTATTTACCTTTTTTTTTTTTTTTTTGAGACGGAGTCTCGCTCTGTCGCCCAGGCCGGACTGCGGACTGCAGAATTATTTACCTTTTAAAATGGGTTACTTAATACTTATTCTAGTATGTCCTGTGAGCATCTGTTGGGTGTCAGGCACAGTTTTAAATGTTATTTCATTAATTTTGTGAGGTAGGTATTATCATTTCTAGCTGAAGAATAAGAAAACTAAGAATCAAACAAGTTAGATAACTTGCTCCCAGTCTCTCAGTTAGTAAGTGATAAGTCTGCAGAAGAAACCCTGGTCCGTCCAACTCCAAGGAATTCACAACCCTATTCTGTTTCATCAAATACAGGTTTTCTTTCTCTAGGTGGGTTATGTTGAAATGGTGAACCAGGCTGAAGCCACAGGTTGACTGAGTTCTAAATCCAGAAGCACAGCTAGAGGCTCCTGTGGAATGAGAGGGACTAAAATTGCTTCAAGTGCAGTGGATTACTGGGGTTAGACTCACTTCTAAAAATGAAACACTGAAGTGGGGCTTTCTTTTTTTCTTTGTTTTTGAGACAGGATCTCACTCTGTCACCCAGGCTGGAGTGCAGTGGCACAATCTTGGCTCACTGCAACTTCCTCCTCCTAGGTTCAGGCAATTCTCCCACATCAGCCTCCCCAGCAGCTGGGACTACAGGCGCGTGCCACCACGCCAGGCTAATTTTTGTATTTTTTGGTACAGACAGGGTTTCGCCATGTTGGCCAGGCTGGTCTTGAACTCTTGACCTCAGGTCATCTGTAAGGTGGAGCTTACTAGGAAAGAACGTTGAAAAACAGCTGCTGATGATATATCTGAGACTATTTCTTATAGGAAACTGTAGGTCTATGGAGGCAGGAGAAATAATCACAGCCCAGCAACCAGAAGCTAGGATGCTTTCACTACTAAGGGAGAGATCACTAACACCATAGCTGGGAAAGATCTTAAATCATCACTTGATTCTGAACCAGAGACCTCTACAAAATCTCTAGGATAGAAGAAAATGAGGAGAAAGAAGAAAGAAGACCTTACTCTCTAAATTAGTATCCAAGCAAAAATATTCAACACTAAGAAAACCAGTCAACAAAATCAACATTTGTTATCTAATCTTGTCCAAAAGAAATTAAAATAATGGAACAATCTGACTAAAACTTTAAACTAAATTTGCCTAAATACTCAAAGAGAAATAACATCTACTTTAAAAAGGATATTGTGAAATAAAGCAGGCAGAAATAAGAATTGGCAAATATGAAAAAGAATGAATTAAAAAGATAAAATACACAGATAGGATAAATTCTAGACATGAAATAGATGAAGATAAAATTAGTGAATAGGAAGATAGTATTTAAGAAGCCACCAAAACGTAGTGCAAGTCAGAGTTAAGGGCATGAAGATATACTGAGAAGCTCCAATTTTTATACATACATATGAGATAGTAAACCTATCTACCTCAAGGATAAAAATGATAGTATTAAAAGTTGTGGCTGGGCACAGTGGCTCACACTTGTAACCTCAGCACTTTGGGAGGCAGAGGCAGGAGGATCTCTTGAGCCCAGGAGTTCAAGACTAGCCTGGGCAATGTGGCGAGACCCCATCTCTACAAAAAATTTAAAAAAAAAATGCCAGTCATAATGGCATGCACCTATAGTCCCAGCTTCTTCGAGGGCTGATATGGGAGGATTGCTGGAGCCCAGAAGGTCAAGGCTACAGTGAGCCATGATTGTGCTACTACACTCCAGCCTGGGCAACAGAGAAAGACCCTGTCTCAAAAAAAAAAAAAAAAAAAAAAAGAGATAAAGAAAGAAAAAAACAAAGTTACCAGGGAGAAAAGAGAGTTATTTATAAAGGAATGATAGCTGCATTGATAATAGACATCTTACTAACAATAGATTCCAGCAGACAGTGGAGTAGTATCTTCAAATATCTGAAAGGGGAAAAAAATCACTTGTAAAGCCAGAGTTTTATACCTAGCTAAACTAGCTTTCAAGAGCCGATTTAAAAGAAAGACAGTTTTAGGATTTTTTTAAAATGAAGTTTATATCAGTCTTGAGTCTTCACTGAAAGAACCATTAAAATATGTATTATATCAAGAAAAACTCAGTTTCAAGGCAGGACATAGAAATCAAGAAACTATAGTGGACACAGAAATAAATAAGTTAAAATAGACTTACTTCAACTGACTATAAAATAACTAAATCTAGAGTTTAAAATAAAAGTTAAATAAAAAAGTAATATGTTGAGATAATATGTTAGTAGAAAGAGTATTTACTGGGTAAAGTGTGCTAAGAGTCTTGCCTTGTTCAGGGAGGAGGATAAGATATTGAAAATTTCAGACTTTGAAACATATATAATTAAATGTGTATGGTAAAACTTTAAGGTAATTATGAATAGAAAAGAACATCAATCTATAGGTTCTAAACCAACAAAGGAGAAAGCAGAATATAGAAAATCTCACCAACCTAAGAGAAGACAGGAAAGACAAAAAAAAAATGAAAGAAGACAGGAAAGAAGAAAAAAACCTAAGAGAAGATAAGAAAGAAAGAAAATAAATAGAAAACTAAATAAAATGGAAGAAGTAAGTCAAATATGATGGTAACTACAATAAATGTAAGCTGATTAAATGTGTCTATTAAAAATTGGAGAATATCAGATTAGAATTTTTAAAGTATTCAGTTATAAGCTATTTTCAAAAGACCCACTTAGGCCAAACCACACAAATAAAGAGATGACAAAAGACATACCACAAAATGCTAACCAAAAGAAAGGTGGGTGGTGTCACAGTAAGGCAAATGGAATCTTGGGAAATATATGTTAATAGGGATAGAGAGATATATAATGATATAAGAAAAGATAATATTCATGAACCTATATGCCCCTAAAAACATAACCTTGAAATTCAAAACATGTAAAGCAAAAACTAAGAAAATGTAAAAATGTAAAATTGTGTTAAATTTAAATTTATTTTTACAGAAATTTATTAAAAACATAAAAGATATAACCACAAACTGATATATCCTTTACTCAAAATCCAACAATAGGCCAGGCATGGTGGCTCACACTTATAATCCTAGCACTTTGGGAGGCCGAGGCAGGAGAATCACTTGAGTTCAGGAGTTTGAGACCAGCCTAGACGAGATAGGAAGACCCTGTCACTACGAAAAATAATTTAGAAATTAGCCAGATGTGGTGACTATTCTGGAGGCTGAGGAGGGAGAATTGCTTGAGCCTGGGAGGTTGAAGCTGCAGTAAGACAAGGTGACATGCCACTGCCCTCCAACCTGGGTGACAGAGAGAGACCCTATCTCAAAAACAAATAAAAACCAAAGTCCAACAATAGAGAATATATGTTCTTTTTTGAAAATATGTTGAACATTTACATAAATTGACATAACAGGCCACACAAAGGAAGGTCTCAACAAATTTGTAAGAATTGTTAACTTATAGAGATATTTTCTGACCACAGTGGAATCTGATTTTTAAAACTCAATAAAAGATGTGTTTAAATCTAGAAGCAAGGAGAACAATAGATTAAGCCTAAAAAAAGCAGAGCAAAATAAAACTATCAGAAATTAATGGAAAAGAAACAACAACAAAAGAATGAACAAATCCAGAAGTTGATTATTCAAAATTACTAGTAAAATAGATAAAACCCTAGCAGGGCTGCTCCAGAAAAAAAGAAAATGCAATAAATAATATTAAGAATTATAAAGAGAACATAATTTATAATGATAGATACAATTGGAATGAAAAAATCATAAAAAATAGAATGAGCAAATCTATGAACAACTTAATACTAGTAGAGGAAGTTAATGATTTTTTTAGAAAAGTAAATTTTGAAAGTTGAATCAAGAATAATTAATTAGAAAATCCAAATCAACCAATAACCCATGTAGGAAATGACTTGCTACCACAAATCAGAGCCTTCTACCCAAAAAACATTGGGCATAGGTGGATTTCTGGGATGTTTGGCCAACCTATCAAGAACAGCTAACCCTTATGTTACACAAACTGTTTGAGAGTGTAGAAGAAAAGGGAAAGTGACTCATCTTATTAGGCACTTGATACCAAACCTAAGAATACAAGAACAGACTAATCCATTATAAACATAGATGAAATTTTTCTAAATAAAATATTAACAATATTAACAGAGATGACATGTCTTAATATAGATGCAGAAAAAAATTATTTTCTAGAATTCAAAGTCCCTTTATTACATAAACTCTTAGCAAAGTAAGAATAGGCAGGAACTTCCTTAACTTGATAAAGAACATATAACCAATACCTTTATAGACAACACACTCAATGATAAAACTTCAGAAGAAAGATGATACCTACTATCACCCTTATTACTCAATATCATTCTGGAAGTCCTACCAGTGCAATGAGAAAAGAAAGAGAAATGAGGTATAAGAATTGAAAAAAAAACAGACAAACCTATCTTTCTTTAAAGATAATATGATTATTTACACAGAAAATCCATTGAATCCACTGTATAGGAAAATTATTATAAATAATAAGAGATTTCATTGAGTTTGCTGAATACAACATCCATATACAAAAGTCAACAGCATTTTCTAGGCACTAGGTAAAACTAATTGGAAGGGAGACAGAGACTGAGATTGTAGCTGGAGGGGAATGTATCAAAGTAGGATTTTTAAAGATGGGAGATTCCTGAGCACTTTGTTTGCTGTTGAGAATAATCCAGTAGAGTGAAAGAAGTTGATTGTGCAGAAAATAGAGGTGGATGACTTAGGAATAAGTCCTGGAGACATCAAGAGAGGATGGGATGCAAAGCACAAGTAGAGGTGTTTGCCTTTAAGAGAAACAGAGCTACTTCTTCCATTGTAATGAGAAGGAAGACAATTCCTATGCCAGTAGTTGTACAGATGTCACAGTGGAGGGATGAGGGAGTTTCTGTCTGATTATTTCTGTTTTCTCAGTAAGACATAAACTGAGATCATCAGTTGAGAGGGGATGATCATTGGAGGTCTGAGGGGAGAAGAGATAAATAGTGACCTCAGAAAAGTTAAAATAAACTTTACTATGGAAAAAAAAATGTAGCCTTTCTGAGCAATGTTGAGTACTCATTTGAGGACTGCAGTCATAGATTTAAAGTGTAATCAGTCAACTCAGTGGAATTACTTTCTCCATTAATCTTAAATTGCTTCAGGACTGTTTCAGCCTAAGCCAGTAGCTGGGTTTAACCAAATTTGAAGATTTTTCTAGGAGAGTTTGGCACGAGGAGAGAGGGGCAAAGGCGTGTAAGGCAGTGTTTATAACAGTGGCCCATGGAATTGATCATGGGTAAAGAGAAAACAAGGACATGCGAGGAGGTGATAAATAGAACAAAACAAAGCAAAACAAAACAAACAATAAAAACAGACAAGCAAGTGAGCTTAACTGAGTGGTCAAAAAATTATTGGAGTAGAAATACTACAGAAGGTTGGCTGGAAGGATGAAAATGGTGGTCGGCGTATAACAATTGAAATCTAGACTTGAAAGGTGGTGATGACAAGGCTAGGCTATGGCCATTTTAATGTAGCTGAAGAAAGTGGAAGAATAGATCACTGGAAGTGAGAAGGTCAGGAACTCAGAGACCAAGGATGTTAAAGTCACCAAGAACGATGACAAAAATAGGGGTGAAAGGAAGGAGTTGTATGCTCAAGTGTTTAATAAATGAATAATAGGTTATTGATGACAGCAATTCAGTGGGAGAAGGGTTATATAATGTGAAGGAATGAGCATCCAAATAGCTGTGGTTTTTAAAGGATAAAGGAGGAGAAAGGGTTTGGAAGTAGCAGTGGAAAGCAAGGAAGCCCATTTCCCTATCTACAGGCTCTGGGATATGGGACAGTGAGATAAAAAACAACCACACTTTTGGGTGCTATGGGGAAAAACCACATCCTCAGGGCCAATCAGGTTTTGGTGAAGGCGCGAAGATGAACAGAATGTTCAAAGAAGAAGATAAAGATTTAGAGGATTTCCAGAAAGCTGAGTGGAGTGGGTGGATATTGGGTCAGATATTAATAGCAGTACCAACATACCTTATCATCTGTCCTCCCGCTCCCACCCCCCCTAGATTGTAAATTCCACAAGGGTAGAGATCTTTGCCTATTTTGTTCATTGATCTGTCCCAAGAACTAAAACAGTGCCTGGAACATTGTGGATGCTCAATACATATTTGTTGATTGATTGATTAATAGTAGCTAATATTTATTGAGCACTAATGTGCCAAGGGTACTAGTAAGTGCTTTATATATATTATTATTGTTATTATTATTATTATTACTCTCCCCATTTTATAGATGAGAACATTGAGGCACAGAAAGGTTAAGTAGCTTGCCTAAGTTCATGGGACTAGCAAGTTGTAGAGCCAAAGTTCAAACACACTCTAGCTCTGGTTTGGTTCTGGAGCCTCTGTATTCTTAAATTCCAAATTACCTCACCTTTTCATGGTTGGTGGATGTACAGAACAATCTCAAAGTAGAAGCCCAGGTAATGGTAAAAGACCAAGGAGGCTAGACCTCTAGTGGAGACTGAGGTTAAAAGTTAAACAATAAATATGAACACTGATTTCAAAAGTTAGTCTAAAAGCTAGCCTAGGGCATTTGCTGCCTCTAATGTCCTATACTCTTGTTCATCTCCTATTGTGATTGTGATCAAGGCACCTTCTACTGTCAGTTCCCAGATCTTTTTATTTCCCACCCCCACCCCTCACCCCCCACATATTGCCCTTCTTCATTATTTTTAGTTTCTGCATATTCCCATTCCGACACCTGGCAAACCTGCCACTCTTTTCCACTGACTTCTCTTAAGGGCAGTCAGGTGCATTGGGACCTAATTTCTAAGCATGTGAATAGTGACACGTCGAGCTTACAGCAGGCCTTAGGATCACCAGGCTGACTCACTGTCATACAGATTCCAACTACAAAAATCATCTGGGAGCGCCCTCCGAAGTGCTAGGATTCTGCTGGCTGTTTTATGAACAGCTCATACTATGAAGTGGAAAAGTAAAGGAACATTCCAACATTTCAGGAAAACCAAGGAAAAAAATGAGTATGTGTAACTGGATGGAGGAAGCCTGGGATAGTACCACTATTTCTGTGTGAAGCCTCTCCTAACTCTCAGTGAGATACATGCTCACTAGGGTCAGGCACATGAAAGGTCTCTAGGAGCACTTGGAGGTTTGGACCAGAGATCAGGACCCACAGTGCACTGGTATTGTTGTGTGTGCTGAGGTTCTTTGGGTGCATGCAACAGAAATGCTTCTGGCTAATGTAAGCCAGAGTTTAAAAGAAGGATATAGAGGTCCCACAGGATTGAGGGAAGGCTGAAGAAGCAGTCTTAGAAATGGGTAAGAAGCAGGCAAATTCCAGAAACTAGGAAGCAGGAAACACAAGGCTCACAAGAGTCCCACAGGTCTGGTCAGGACACTCCACTTGGATGGGATGAAACTCCTGACATCTCCATTCTTTTTGTCCCTCTGTTCAAAATTCACCTTCCATTGAAGGGAGCATCTGATTGGCCCAACTTGGGTCAAAAACCTCCTAATTGCCAGCAATATCCACAGACTGTATCCTACTGGGAAAAGATAATCCGCCAAAAGGAAATTAGATTGTTATTAGGAAAGGGAGATGAGTGCTAGGTGCTCTGGCAGCCACCATTCCCAACCCCTCCCTGGATGTTTAAGAATATATAAAACATTTCAACTTGAGAAAGCAGATTGAATTTTTTTAGAAAAGAATATGTAAAACTGTATTTCTTCTCCAGCTGTACTTTCCGAGCCCTACATTGGTCTAAATGGAAGGATACCTTTCAGTACCAGCCCAGTCATGCTTTTGCATGATTACCTCTATCAAACTCTATTTCTTTGGAAGGAACTCTTAAATTTACTGTCACATAAATGTTTCCTGGTAGCTCAGGTTATCCTTTGTAAAATTCTGTCTACCTCTACAGCTTGAAGTTAATTTTCCTTAAGTCTTCAAAAATAAAAGTTCAGTCTTGTTATTGATTTAGATCCTTGTGGAAATTTTTTAGTATTTCCTTACTCTTTTAAATAGTCTTTTTCCCCCCTTTTGCTGCTTTTCCTATTGGTTTTCTTTCATTAAAAATTGAGACCCAGCCAGTCGCAGTGGCTCATGCCTGTAATCCCAGCACTTTGGGAGGCCGAGGCGGGCGGATCCCTTGAGCCCAGGAGTTTAGGACCAGCCTGGAAACAGAGATGCTGTCTCTACAAAAAAAAATTGAAAAAATTAGCTGGGTGTGGTGGTGAGCATCTATAGTTCCTGCTACTCGGGAGGCTGAGGTGGGAGGATCACTTGAGCATGGGAGGTAGAAGCTGCAGTGAGCCATGCAGTGAGCCATGACTGCACCACTGCACTCCAGCCTGGGTGACAGAGTGAGGTCCTGTCTCAAAAAAAAAAAAAAAAAAGGCACCCAAAATTTTTAGAATGACTGTCACAATAATAGCACATGTCCCTGAATAGAGATCCTACCTTAATGTTGGTTAAAGGGGGTTGCTCTTAAAAAGGAACCATGGCCAGTCGCAGTGGCTCACGCCTGTAATCCCAGCATTTTGGGAGGCCGAGGCGGGCGGATCACGAGGCCAGGAGATTGAGACCATCCTGGCTAACACGGTGAAACCCCGTCTCTACTAAAAATACAAAAAAATTAGCTGGTCGTGGTGGCGGGCGCCTGTAGTCCCAGCTACTCGGGAGGCTGAGGCAGGAGAGTGGCATGAACCCAGGAGGTGGAGCTTGCAGTGAGCCGAGATCGCGCCACTGTACTCCAGCCTGGGCGACAGAGCAAGATTTCGTCTCAAAAAAAAAAAAGGAGCCATGAATCACTGAAACAGATTTTATTTTTGTTTTTGTTTTATTTACCTCTGCAATATCCTTTTAAGATCAGTGTGATAGGAGACCCATCCTAAGGGATTGTTGGAAAAGAGGAAAAACCCTTAATGAAAAGTACTATCATTTTAGTTCTTCTAGATTTAGCCCATATCTTGAGATTAAAAAGACAATTAATGGGATATTTTGAGTGAGACCTTCACATATATGCTCCCTTTGATAAAATTTGTGTCTATGGCAGTTTTTTTTTCTTAATCGACCTTTTCATTTCTTTATTTATTAGTTTAAAATATTTCCATGTGTAATCTCATTTTAGTTTTCAAACGAATTGGTTAGAAGAGGTATTTTGTCCCCATTTTAATTATGTAGAAACTGGTTCACGAAAAGATGATGATTTACCCAAGGTCATGTAGCTAAGTGGTCAAAAAACTAGGCTGAGCATCAAGATGTCTTCATTTCTGGGTGTTTATTTAAGTCAGCGATCTCAAACTGGGGCCAGTAACACACTTAGGTCTTGCTAGGAGGGGACCCTGACTTGGAACCCACGCTTCAAAGAGCCTAACTCTGGCTCTTTCCAGTCCCATGGGCCAAAGAGCCAAGACACCTCACATTCTGGGTCCCAGGTTCCCAGAGTCCTGTCAAATGTCACCAAGTCCATTTGAGTCTGTCCTCCTAAGGGCATTCTGCACCTTTGATGTGAGCAACATTAAGCCAGAGGGACAGCCAAGGGGAGGCTGTTTGAGGAATCAGGGGATAGACAGAGCTTGACTCCCACAGGTGTGCAGGCTGGAGCTGGGGTGAGAAGGGGAGGGCCGGGGGCCAGGAGCCAGCTCTTCTCTGCTGCCCTGTATCTGTGTGCAACTCCAAGATGTCCCAGGACTCTGAATTCTCACACCTGGCTGCCAGGTCTTTAGGAAGGCATATTTTTTCATTGTAGGCAAACAGAATATATTTTGTTTAACAGTTAGTGAGCTTGATTTATACTTTTAAATATTTAGACATATGATATGGGGCCTCCATTTGTACTCTTGCTCCAGGCCCTGCAAATGTTAGGGGTGGGCTTGCAGAACGCCAACATAGTTTGTTTGGCTAGCACACCGCTTTTTTTTTTTTTCTTTTTTAACATCTTGAATTAGTTTCTAACACTAACAATTGGGAGATTTTGAATAAGAATAGAGATTTCTGATTTCTCTTTTTTAAAATTACAGAAAATCATGGGCCTTCCTACTTGTATGGCGAAAAAGAGCTGGGGCTGAGCAGGATCAGCCTGCCCTGGGTGGGGCTGGGCCAGTGTTTCCTGATTGGCCACAGTTCCCACCTGTTTCCCTTCTCTCATTTCGGTAACCTCTGATCTCTCTGGCCACTGAGGGCATTTGAGTTTGTCACCCTTGATTTACATCCTTCTTTAGATATGTCCTTTCTGTATAAAGCCACCATGCCATCACATTTAACACATTGTTTTTGCCTCTTTTCTACAACTTCCCTCAAAGAAAGTTTTTTTCTCCATTAGCTAAGTGTAAATCCCTACATTTTAGTATGGATAAATGCCTATAATTTTGCCATCTTATTCCCTAACTTCTGAATCTTGGGAAATCATTAAAACAACAGCTAGGAACTTCAAGAGAGCAGTTGCTCTCCACAGGGATCCCCCCTTTCTCCATGCCATGCGAACTGGAAACCCAGTGCAATGGATTTTCTCACTTTGACCCCAGTGAGGGAGGGAGATTTTTGATAACTGACAAAGAGCTTTTGTTCAGGTTTGCAACAGGATGGATCAGCCAGCCCCACCTCATGGCCCCATGCTTCTTCCAGGTTCATCTTCCCCTTCTGCCCCAGAAAAGCCCCCAGCCACAGCCTCCTTGCCTCCAAGTCGCCAGCACTCCGCCCCCTCCTCCGCCTGCCTCTCAGTCTGGAAAACAGCTTTGCACGTTAACCTCCAGGGGCATTCACTGGGTTTCCAGAGGGGTCCCCAGCCCCACAGGCTGCCAAAATAGGCTCTTTACACTCCATAGATGGGAGAGAAAAATCTGCTTGTTCGGTTGCAACTGTCAAGCAAAGGACATGCTGAGCTCAGATAGAAATAGCAGCAGGGTCAGGGCAGGGCAAGGCCCCAGCATTTCATTAGCTCGGCCCAGCTAAGGGTGATTGAATGCACACAGTGGCCCATGAATGGGGCCATGGAGGGCAGCCACACAGTGCAGCACAGAAAAATCATTCTTTGGCCGCTGTCAGCTGGCTCAATGGGACTTAATTATTGGGATAATGAGAACTGATTTTCATTGTTTTAATTTTGGGGAAGGGGTGAGAAAGGAGGGACTTTTCTTCCTCATCTGGGTGAAAGGATGCTAAACTGTGGCCTCTAACGGTCCCGTATCCTCCAGGCTGCTGTTGGCTCCTGTGTTTGCTGTTCTTTATCAGTGCTGTAAGAGAGTGTTAGGATGGTCATCTGTGTCAGTGTCTCCTTTAGGGCCTATAAACCTGGCAGGATGTGTCCTCAGAAGAGCATTTCTGTGCTGGCATCCACGGTGAGCAGCTGTACCAAAGCAATAGAGGGACAGAGAGAAGCCACTGGACAGAGCTGCCCATGCTCAGCCCCTTCCAAATGCCTCCAGGACATGAGGGAATCCTACCCTGCTCCTTTTTTTTTTTTTTTTTTTTTTTTTAAATACAGGATCTAGAGAATTCAAATGATCTGCTCGAGGCAAACATAGGATCGTCTGAGTTCCTTGCACCCTGTTCAAGGTTCAAGAGCCTAGGACTCTACTGCAGACCACACCACAACACTGTTGGATCATCAGACCTCTTCTAGCTACGAATCCTTGACAATTGAGATAAGGTCCACTTACATGAACCCTGAAAGTCATTACATATGACTTATTCAGCCCTCCCTTATTCAATTTGATTCACTTGCCACCTTCCCAAGATCTTACTCTTCATGTGGAAATGAGAGACTTATTTATTGCTCAGCTTGTTCCCTCATTTCTCTAGGTAACATGTACTACTAGTGGGATCATCAAACAATAAGTATTTGCAAAACTGGGCTTAGCGTGGTTCTAGGTGCTGTGCAAGTATATAATGACACCCCCCAACCCAAAGAAAGTCACCTGGGGAGACCTGAAACAATTAGAGAAACACACAAGGGGACCCTAATTGAATGTGAATCTCTCTAGCCAACCAAAAGAAAGAGAGGGTGGGTTTAAGGGTAGTGAGGGACACTTTGTGAAGAAATGACAGCTTGTGAGGACTCCAAGGTTGAGTAGAATTTCAACAAAGAGCAAAGAATGGAATTGGATGGTGTGTTCGAGAGAAGGAAACAGACATTATTGGAATAAAGATTCCATGTAGGGAAGAAGGTTGAGTTGAAGAGTAGGGCCAGATGATGTGAAGTTTGGAAAGAGAGGCAGGGCATGCTTTCTTCACCCACAACTATAATACATCTTTGACCATAAAAAGTGGTTGTTATTGCTATCATTTGTTTTTGTTTTCACTTTGCCCCTTCAAGTTCTTGAAAAAGATAGTCATAAAAGAAGAGGGTATGCCCTCATTCATGGAGCACAGAGAAGGAAGCCCTCTGTGATGTTTCCAGATGTGTAGGTTTAGGCTCTAGACCAGTGCTGGTGCCTTCCTGGGACTGCCCAAGCCAATCACCAGGGAGAGGCTGCAGATCCTTTCTCTGCTCAGCTCCGTTCGGGCTCCTCTTTTCTTGAAGATTTGACAGATATTGGTTAAGTTCTTCAAATCTGACAACTGGGTTCTTTGTGGCAAAGAATAGGTGGCTAAGGAGAACTGGCTCTAACAGGCTAATAGCCTACCTGGCCCCTTTCCAGCAGGAGAAATGCCATAGTCCTTCCCAGAAGCACATCTTATATGCACAGTCCTCACAGAGTGTGTCTGTGCATCAGAATCAATTAATCATGCCTGTCAGGAGGGGGAATGGCCCCTCTGGCTGAAACAGTGGAAGGAGCCCTCGTGATTGAAGACCACTTTGCCTTGGAAACTCATGCAGGTCAGAGGGGAAAGTTGAGTCTAGATGGCATGCGGTATTCCTTGGGTATGTTTTCTCATCCCTGAAATTTGCCCATGTCACCCAACTAACTGCTTGTAGCAAAGCTGTATTGTCAGTGCAATCCTTTGGGGCCTTGTTTGGGCCTGAAGAAGCCATTCATTTCTTAAAGAAGAAAAAGCTGGCAAAGTGGAATTTGTAGTAACAGCTGTTAGTATTTAAAACTTTTGTTTCAAGATCTTCAGGCACTTAAAAATGACTTTAAATGGCCACTCTGCAAGAGTCTATCTTTTACAAGGCAGCCTGTGAGATCTTTCTCAAAACAAGCCTCATCTCATCTCCTCTTTTATTGAGATCCCCATTGGTCCTCTATTTTGTATAGAAGTGGTTCCCAAACTTTTTTGATTTAACACCCCATCAGTAAACAATTTTGAATAGGTACTCTCAATATACATATATTTCTTTTTATATTATACACATGTATTACTTTCCTAATATATTATGTACATTATAAAACATATACAAAAGTAATTTTTTTAAAGGCTGAGATAAAGATGAAGTAAGCAATAGTTTAAAATGTCTTGTCAATTATGATGGCTTCATACTGTCATTAGCTAATATGTCAAAAGCACAATAAATATGTCAGGGGAGTTCCATTTATATCATTTGAATGATATAAATCCTTATATCTAGTAGTTTTCATGGAAATTTCTAACTGTTTTGGCTTGACTTCTTGTTACATGCAAATATTTGGTCATTGTCTTCACTTTGTAATATGGCCGAAGAAAACTTGTTCTAAGGGCAGTGTCAATGCTATTATTCTTATTATTTGCTTGTGCTTATACTACTAATATTATCTTTGATCCATTGTTTCCATGCAGGAATATTTTAATCCACTTGTCCATTTTGTGTGTGTTAGATTAAATTTGATAATATCCATAATCCAATGAGTCAGGAATGTGCAAATTGTAGTGATTCATATGTCATTGAAAGCCCCAGGGGAGTGAGGACTGAGGACACCATTTGCCGCCTCTGCAATGTGCAGGTCCTAATCTTGCCACAAGATATCTCATGAACAATTCATGACACATAACAATGGCTGTGAGGAGCCCGTTGTCAATATTTATATCAAATGTTGTAAGTCCATGTTTTTTATTTCCTAGAAAAAAATAAGTTCAAATTCTAGTACTTTCTGACTTCTAAATTCTAATGGATCATCTTGTGTATCTCTGGGGCATGCATCCTATTTCGAGACCAGATGTCTACAGGATGGATTTCAAACCCATTAGCCTTGACTTACAGGGTCCTTCTCTGTCCAAACTCAGCCCATCTTTCCAGCCTCATCTCCCATTGTTCCCTGTCTTATACCAAGGAGACATCCCATTGCTTTTTAAACATGAAATATTCTTTAATAACTCCATTCTTTTGTGCTTACTCTTCCAGCCAACTGGAATGCCTTTCTCCCATTCTCTAACCCAAGTTAAATCTTCGTAAGATGTCTGATTCCCTTAGAGCAGAGGTCAGCAACCTTTCTGTAAAAGGCCAGTCGTAAATATTTCAAGCTTTGCAAGCCATATTGTCTCTGCCAACTACTCAATTTTATCATTGTAGTGCAAAAACAGCCATAGGCAATATGTAAACAAATAAGCATGGTTGTGTTCTAAAAAAAATTTCTTTACAAAAATAGGTAGTGGGCTGGATTTGGTCCTTGGGCTGTAGTTTGCCAACCCCTGCCTTAGAGAACCTGTCACTCTTCTACTACTGCCATCCTAGCTTTTTCTCCATGATTATCTGTTTACAAGCACATTTTGCCAAAATACTAAATTCTTTGAAGTCAACACTTTTATTCCTATTCCCTAAAAGCTAGAAATCTGGAAATAGAAATGATTCAATAAAGACATATTATTGAATATCAAGAATTATCATTATGTTGCTGGTGGAAAAAAGTGGAGAAAAATTCTTCGGTTGGGTACAAGATTAAATGGCTTACTTCTAAGATTTATCTAAAATAAAAGATTATATAAAAATACAAATTAATGAGATGGAAGGATTTGTCTTGAGTTGGAACTAGGTCTTCTAAAAGGGCAGTCAGTGTCCTGCTCATCTGATCACCCATGTTCATATTCCTGCCACATTGTTTTGGCCCACAGCTTCGATGAGACCTAGAGAATCACTTCCTTTTCAACCATACAGCCACCGCTGGGGCCAACCACTCCCTACGTTTGTATAATGCTGTATGGTTTTCAAAGCAAGTAGCACAATTCCTATTTGGTAGATAAGGCAATTGAGGCATATTAAATGACTTGCCCTATGAATGATATAACTGGGACTTCTGATTCCTAATCTAGGACTCTTTTTGTTACACCAGACAGCCTCTCAGGAAATTAGAACAAAAAAATGACATATTGCAAAATTAAGTCAAAGAATAAATTAACCCCATTTGAAAGTCCAAGGAGACCTTCAGACAAATGTGTATCAGAATTTCAATGGTATTTGGCAGAGTTGGCCTAATGGAAGTGTGGACACCCTGCCAACTTTGCATAAGATACATAAATCTCAAAATCAATTTAACTAACTTTCATTTATCTTGGAAACACAAAAATTTAGACTAGAACTTGGCAGGAATAAAGAGATTTACACCAAGCCTGCATCCCCACTACTCTTGTAAACTGTTTCATGAACCCCAGTGTTGAAGACCTCACTGTTTTGTTTGACTCTGAAGGCCGCCTACGCATACTTGCTGCTGGAGGAAGGTTAATACTGACTCAGAAGCAAGAGGACCACTGACTGAATCACCACCACTTACTACAGTCCTCTGCTCTGTATTCCTTGGAAATCTCTTGCCTCAGCTTGGGCTTAACCCAACCCACTTAGAAGGAGAGAACAATTTTACAGCCCCGCATGGAGTGACTCCAAGCCAATCGTATCTGTTTCCAAGTGATCTGACGCAGCAAGCAGATTGTATTTCCTTTGGAGGCTTGGCTGAGAATTGTTGGGTTGGCAACACTGAACCAGAGTGAATAAAATAAGACTGTCAAGAAAAATCTGAAATGGCCCCTAAAGAGATAGGACTAATGAAATGCTCAGGTCAGGGGTGGGGTGCTTTCTGGGCAGACTGAAAAAAGAAAGGAGGACCAGGTGACCATGTGTGAAATTCAAGAGTCAACAATGATCTAGGTAAGCCAGGCAGATTGGCACATGCCCAGTACTTTTCTGAGAGCAGGCATCAAGCCTAAAAAAATGCACAAAATCTACCTCTTATTTTTATTCTTACCTTTAATCAGATTTTTTATTGAAGTTTTTTCATGGTTGGTTACCTATCCACCTTCCTCCCATCCTGCCAAAGAAGGCAGGGACTCCAAATGCATTTGCCAAAAACCAACAGACCCCTGTGTTCAATTATTGTGGGCTTAGGGAATAGTAATTAAGGAGTTCCAGGGATGGGATGTGGGAGCAGCAAAGGAGTTAGGTTTCACTTAAGGTCCTTGGGAATAAATAAATATTCTGTCACTAGGATGAATGGGGTTGGTTCTTCACAGATCATGTAAAGGGACAGGCTTAGCCCTAGAACCAACTCATGATCTAGATGAGTTTCTGTTCAGATGGATAAGGGCATATCTTTGAGCACCAGGTTCCATGGGCACATATCTGGTTCATTATTCTTTGCTTTGCTTGTGCAAAATTATTTTCAAAGGCAAAGACACGGGGACAAAGTTGGGCTCTTTGAGGCTGTTCCTTGAGCAAAGAGGTGTATGCCTCTGGCTGCCCACTTGGCAGTGGATATCTTCATGCTTCTTTTTTCCACCCAAATATTATGGCCACTGGAGTATTTGTAGGAAACAGTCTAAAAAAAGACAACACTCACTTCCCCTTGCTTCAGGCTCTTCACAGTCAACTCCACTGGCATGTTTCAGGCACCTGCTGTGTGCCAGGCATTTTTTTTCAGAATGGAACAATATTGCCCTTGTCTTTAATGCCTTAACTGTCTAGCAGGAAAGACATTATTATGAGTACCTGGGGCAGAAACAGTGTGAGAAACATTTTGGAGACCCAAAGGAAGGGGCCATTGTAAAGAAGTTCCACCAGAGTAGAGGTAAGAACGGGGACAGGGCATGCCTATAGACACCTATCCATCATTCGCTTGTCCACACATTGATTTCCCTAAATATTTATTATCTGCTTGTTATCTGCCAAGAGTGAAGGGCTTGGGATTCACAGATGAATAGGACATGGAATATAGAGTAGGGGGTTGGGCAGAAGAAGGGAGTGGTGGGAGAGGGAGTTGAAAAATAGATTGGGCCGCATTAGTAAGACTTTTGCTTGCCAATTTGGGTCTGAACTTTGTTCTGTAGGTAATGAGGAGCCTCTGAAGGTCTTTCTACAAGGGGTGGCACAGATACCTGCCCCACCCCATTATTTCCTACCCTGCAACTTAGAAGTATTTTATTCATGTATCTGTTTTTTAGCTTGCTTCTTGTTTGATTTCCCTAACTGGGATGTGAGTTCCACGAGGACAGGGACCCTACTGTATCCACCACTGTATTCCCAGTTCTGGGCACAAAGTCTGGCACACAGTGGGTCACCAGCAAATATTTTACTTACTGAATAATCAGATCTGTGTTTAGACAGTTGTCTCCAGTTGATACCATGGAGGGACATCCAAGGTTGGGAGATCCTGGAGGAAGGACTGGTAGCAGCAGAGAGGTGCTGAGAGCCTAATCCGGGGCTATGGTGGCATAGAAGGGAAGGGGAGAGATTTAGAGGACTCATCAGAGTTAACATCATCAGACCTTGGTGAGGGAGAGGGAGGGTCCAGAGGTTTCCATGTGGATGTCTGAGTAGCTGGTGATATCGTTGACTGAGAGAGAGGAGACAGGGTAGGAACCTTCAGGTGAAGAGGGGCTTGTTATGGGAAGTAAGGGAGCATAGATAGTGAGATCAGTCTTGGACATGTATGATTTGAGACAACCATAGAATGTTCCACTAGAGATGTCCAGTAGACAGTTGGAAATATACGTGGGCAATTCTGGAAGATGGCTGGAGCTGAGGTCACAGGCTTTTGGTGATAAACGAAGCCAACAAAGAGTAAAGTCACTCAAGGAGAGCAGACAGAGTTGAAAGAAAAAATAGAAGCCCCAAAACTGGAGGAATACCACTGGAGGGTGGGAAAGAGGAGCTGGGGGGAGGAGACAGGTGTGCTCTGAGAGGCGGGAGGAGAAGAGAAGAGGACTTCTGGCTACTATGGGATAGCATGGGCCCTACCTAGGACAGGGCAGAGGTCAGTGGGAATGGGAGCTGTTATCTTGGGCGACCAACTCCACTCAGTTCTTACCATGTTAATGTTAATGGCAAACTCTTGGCAATTCTGGGCAAGTGAGAAGAGCAGAAACACCTCTGTGCAGTTTATCAGGACTTTCTCCTTCTAGCACACCCTGAGGGTGAGGCCAGAATTAGTCATGTGCTGAATGGTCTGCCTATTTCATGATGTTCTCAGCTTGGAAACATTTTTTTTGTGCAACTCCAACTCAAGCACCAGCAAATCCAGCCTCTCCTCACCTCCTATTACAAATGGCTGTCATGGACTAGACCGGTGCCTAACAAACAGCCCACACTTCGGGATCTGAGTTCAGGTTCCGGCACGATTAGTGCAGGTGGCTTCTGGCTCTAAATCTCTCAGAGGAGACATCTTCTTCTGGGGGCTGATTCACACGTGAGTGCTGATCATGACCTTGTGTCGGGATTAACCTCCTTTCTCAGCATCTCCTGCTACATTCCATCTGTTTCTAAAGACACCTCATTCTGCCTTCCTTCCGGCCATCCACTGTTACCTTTCACTTCCTGTCGGCACGTACAGGCCAGGGACTTTACTCAAGTCACTGAACATTTTGGGGAAATGAAATGAAAACATAAAGAGAAGGCCAGTCCACAAAACAGCTCAAAATGGAGATGCTCTGGCTGAAGGAAGGAGTGTTGGGGTCCAGGAGCCCCGCTCACTCCTCAGCACCCGGGAGCATCACGGAATCTAAGGTGAACCTCCGGGGCAGGAGACACAGCACTGGCCTTAGAGTCCACAAGCCCGGGTTCCTTGGCCCTGTCTCTTTCCCTCTCTCTGTTGTCTGTAGCTCCCTCCTAGCTCTGAAACTCCAAGTACAAGTGAGCAGGTCATGAGTCACCAAGCCTCTTTTCCTGGGCGTTTTTCCTTCCGGGGAGAGAACAGCCAGGCTTGGACAAAAAGTGTTGGGACACCCTGAAGCAGAACACACTCCCTGTCATTCCTGGCCTCACTCTCCTCCAGAACGAAAGCACCCAGACCTGCAGGCCTTTTTTAGGAATGAAGTCACTGGTCTGTGTAGGTTGACAGAGTGTCCTTGGAAAAGGCTGCTTGGGAAGGAAACTCACAAGGCATGGGTATCCCCACTGGAAGAATCCAGAGCAAAACCCTTCTGGAAATCCCCCACCCCACATATACACAAGGAAACTCCATGGAAGGCATCCTGTCTTGGAGGCCTCAGTGGGTTCCTCCTGGAGAGTTTAAGGGGAGGGAGGCAGAGGAGGAAGGAGAGAAACCTAAAGTCAGCAGGATATTCTCATGTTCTCTCTCTGTTAATTGCCTCCTCTCTTTTTCTAAGAAGGCTGAGATACCGAGGCTTCCTCACCCACCACCCCTTCCTCTACCTCCCCTTAGTGCTGGGTGAGTTCATCCATCAGGACCCCTGCCTGGGACTGTCCTCACTCTCCCGCTGTGGCTCACTTGCCCCCAGGGCCCATCCCAGCCCAGCCCAGCCCTGCCCAGCCCAGCCTGCTGCATGCTTCTACCCCGGCTCCCACTCAGGCTCGTGCGTCACTGCTATTCATCTTGTTTAGTGCTTGGCTTGGCTGCAGATGCTGTAAATATGGTAATTTTAGACTCCCTGATTGGAAAGGATTGCAGAGCGGGTTGTGGGGGAGGACGGCAGTTTGATTTACTCCGCAGGAGCTGGTTCCGAGATGGCTCTCCACCCTCTGTGCACGCCTCTTCTCCAAGCTGTGCCCCATCAGGCCCTACTCTTAGTGTTGAGTCCTGACTTCTTGGGGTCTTGGGAGAAATGAGAGGGACAGAGTGGATGTCTGTGCGTTCTGGGCCTGAAGAATTGCTGGTTAGCACAGAGCATCACATGCAAGGAGGCCGGAAGTGTAGTCAGTGATGCGCAGGGTGGGCGTCCTGACACTGCTAAGACAATGCCCAAGGCTGATGACCCAGGATTATCCCCCCACCCAGGGCACACTGGGGATGAAGTGGGGGCTGCCCGAGGCCTCTGACCCCTTCTGAGCTCTCTCCCTTTTCTGTTCTCCTTTCTTTCCTGACCTCCCTCCATGGGGGGCCATCAGTCCCCAGGGCCTTCTGCCAGGCACTCACAGGGTTGTCAGCAAATCCCTCCTCCCACCCCTTTGTTGAATAAAGACCTAATTTGCATTTGATTACAGGACCCCTGAGTGGGTAGGGGTGTATTCAGATCCCCAGGGAGTGACTGTGAGGCTGGCATTTCAGGCCCTGGGAGTCAGAGTGGGAGCTGAGGGTTTTGAGCCCCAGGAGTAGGTCAGGTTCTTCAAAAGCCACCAGATAGTCTCCCAGCTGTCTGTCTTATCTCCTCAGGACAACCCTAACTCCAAGGCTGGTGACTGAGTCAGACTTGGAACATCCCCGTTTTTGAGCCACAGTCTATAGTCACAGAATGTTCCAGGGGGAGGGATGGGGGGAGAAAAGGAGGGCACAACTCACATTTCTTTGAGCCCCAAACTTCATTTGACCAGTGAGGAGTGGCTTGCACCAAATCATTGGTGCAGCTAACCACAAGAATGTTAGCTCTTATCTAGTGCTTCATCCATGCCCTGGACACATTTTTTTTTTTTTTTTTTTTTTTTGAGACGGAGTTTCGCTCTGTCGCCCAGGCTGGAGTGCAGTGGCGCGATCTCGACTCACTGCAAGCTCCGCCTCCCGGGTTCACGCCATTCTCCTGCCTCAGCCTCCCGTGTAGCTGGGACTACAGGCGCGCGCCACCATGCCCGGCTAATTTTTGTATTTTTAGTAGAGACGGGGTTTCACCGTGTTAGCCAGGATGGTCTCGATCTCCTGACCTCGTGATCCGCCCGTCTCGGCCTCCCAAAGTGCTGGGATTACAGGCGTGAGCCACCGCGCCCGGCCGCCCTGGACACATTTTTATAGAAAGATCCAGATGAAGGGAAAAAGAAGTCTGATAGGTATTTCTTTTTACTAAGTCATGTGGGAAGCTACAGCGGAATCCTGCCACTCTCTGCTGACTGATGGTGAGCTTATGTTTGGTGACAGGAAACTTGCCATCTACAAGGCAGCCTCTTAAAACTTCGGTCAGCTCTGACCGTTGTCTAATAATTCTTCATTGCTGCAAGTTTTCCAGCTGTCCCCCACATCTGTTTTAGTGGTGGTGGAGGATTGGGGGACTCAGAAGGAGGGCGTAGATTGTCCTGCTACAGAAAAAGAACTAGCAGGACTCCTCTGAGGGAGCAACATGGAGAGACTTTCTCACCCCTCTGCAGGCAGGCTCTGCCCCCTTTCACTCACTGGAGTGCTCACTTCCTGTGCACACGCTGCGCCGTGCTCCCTCCTGGCCCATGAGGTGCCAGTCACCACACACTTGGATTTGTTTACTTTTCCTCCTGGAAATGTGGACATGAGGGCATTATACTCACTTTTCAAAGCAAAGGATTCTTTCCTGGAGGGGTTAATAGTCCTTAGGTGTAAGTACCCCTCCAGTGGTTGTATAGCAGTTGTCTGTTGGGGGACCTTAAGTGATTATTCATGGAATCTTTCATGCTAAAGATGCATTGCAGCGAAACGTCATTGGTTTGGACCAAATCCGGTTATGGTCTGAAGAACCTCAGGTATGGGACATCCCCAGCAAAGCAGTCTTATTACTCTTTATCCTGCAGAGTCACAGCTTACAGAATCTTCCCTAGAAGAGGTGTGCCTGGTGTACTTTTAAAAATAGATGCGCCTCTTGTGTAAACAGCATTTTGCCTGTTGGAATGTAAATGAATGTTGTTGGAGTGCTTGGAGACAGTTTGTTCTTTTAGTGGATTAGCAATTTCCCCTGCAAATGTTGTTTCATGGTATTTGCTAAGCACATCCTTCCTTCATATGCAATATGGAATTCCCTATCAGCCAGCCTAGATGGGCGAAAACTCTGGAAGTTCTGCTGTACCCAGTCCATCAATAACCCTAGCAGTGATCTGTGTTCTAGAAAGGCAGGGGTGGGGGATGAGTCCAGGTTTTCTAAAGACATTGGGAAATAATAGCAAATTTTCCAGAGAAGGAGTTGCTTCCAAAAATTTAAAAAATAGTTAAAGAGAGGCATTTATAACCATGAAGAGTAGTCAACAGAGAAAACAAACATGCCAGTGAATGAACATCCTAGCAGAGGGTGGAGAGAGCAAGCCAGAATAGTGTGGAGGGGGTACAAAAGTTTCAAATTATCTTCCCTATATAAAATTCCCATGATCCCCCAGGCAGTCAGTTTTAACTGCTTACCCCAGCACTCCCAAATTCCATTCTTCCGGAGGCCTGGCAAAGCACCTCCTCAGCACTCACTACCCAGTCCCAGGCCTCAGGCGTGCTCTCCCCACACGGCTGCTGTCCCCATCTTCACTTCCACATCATCCTTGGATCCTAGATCACTGTCCCTACAGCTCACTTCCTTGTTTCCACTCCCTGTCCACACATTAAATATCCATGCTCTGGCCTGGCAGTCAGCAGTCCCATGACCTGGCTCCAGGGCCCCTTCAGCCCCAAGTCGCGTCCCTCGCAGGTTTGATGCCCAAGCAGCAGATTTCTCCCCAACAGAGGCCTCAGAGAGTGCCTGGCTGTGATAAGCATGTGTTGCTGTGATTTTGTCATCTGTCTCCTTGCTTTTGCTTAGGCTGTTCCCCTGCCTTCCTCTCTGCCTGGCAGGATTCCCCCCTTCCCAAGAAGTGCCTGCTTCTGATCTCCAGTAAGTATCTGACGTCAGTCATATTCTTAAATCTGACCAGCTCACAGTATTTACATCCAGGATTTCTCTCTTTTTCTAGAATGAAAACACCTCCAGGTCAAGGGCTTTCTCTCACACTTATTTACACCTCAGCACCTAGCACAGAGTGCTGTACACAGTAGATGCTTATTTTAGACTGTGATATCCTTAATAATAATAATAATAGCTCTGCATTATTAATCATTTTCCATGTGCAGGCACTGGGGTCTCTCCCCAGATGCATCTTCAGCACAAACCAAAGAGTGTTACCATCAGTTACATTTTATGGAACTTGCCAAGAGCGTAGGTAATAAATGACAGAGCTGCGATTTGAACCCTTATTTGTCCCCTCTAGGACTTGCATTTGAAGTCATAAGGGTGCTGTTCTATTACTCTCATGAAGACAGGGACCACGTCTTTACCTAAGGCAGTGTTGCAAGTGGAGACTAAAGACCAAATCTGCCCCATAGATATGTTTTGTTTGGCCCATTCTGTGCGTGTTTGTTTGTTTCTTTAATCAGGAAATTTTACATCCACATCTAGATTTCTGGCTTTGCTGGGAAGCCCAGGAGATACAGTAACCCTGGATTTAAGCGTAGTGATGCTGGCCAGTGCTCGAAACCGCTGTCCCCACTTCACTACAGCCTCTGCTTGCCTGGCCTGAGGGTAGGGGAGCATTAGAGTTTGCGTCTTCCGCACTGTACTGTCTGGTTCCATGTTTCACCTCCCAGGCATTGGGATTGGGGTGGGTCCGTTCTTGGTTATATAGGACTGCCCCATATATTGCAGGGTGTGTAGCAACACTGGCCCTCACCCGCTAAATCAACAGCACCTTTCCTTCAGTCATGTTGACAATCAAAAACTCCCCCAAACATTTGCAAAGCCCCTAGTGAGGGATGCTGCCCCATTCCCTTTTGAGACACAATGGCAGATAACCCCTTGTCTCACCAGTGGTGGCACACAGTAGGGCCTCCATTAAATAGATTTAAAAGACCTAAAATGCAACATCCATTACCAAATAGTTCCCATGTTAAAAGTTCCCATGAAAGGAGAAGCAGAAAAATGCAATAATCATAGTATTTTTTTAAAAATAAATTATCTGGAGCAAATTTAGTGCATTCCCTTAAACACCTGTCCCATGATGGAAAAAAAAAGTTAGTAATAACACGTTTCTGTGGAGGCATTTCCATTCTCCACGCCTCAGTTCCCACTGTAATGTTAATTGGTTATGGTTTTCTTTGCTTCTAGTCCTTACATGTGCAGCTGTCAACCAGGCACCACCCCAGGAAATGCTGCACTTAAAGGGATAAGTAAGAGGAACTGAATCACATGCAGCTTTTCTAAGGAGAAATGATATTGTTAATATTTTTGCTTGTTGTTCTAATTATAAAAATACTATGTGCTTATAGTAGAAATTTCAGAGTAAAGTACTAAGAATAAGTAAAAATCCCTCATACTCTCATCATCAGAAGATAATCACTGTTTCTATTTTTGTATATTTCCTTCCAGTCTTTCTTCCTCTATCGCACATATTTGTGTTTGTTGTTGCTGATTTCATTTTGCTTCTAAGAAAATTGGGATTGTACTATTGATAAAGCCCTCCTTGCCACTGCATGGCTGTACCATGATCAGTTTAACCAGTCCCCTTTTGTTGAACATATGGTAGCTTCCCAGTTTATGCTGTGATCAACAGGACAGCAATCACCTTCTTTATCCATAAATCTTTTGGGATCACTTGGATTATTTCTATAGAAAGAGTAATATGGTAAGCAGTGTAGAAAGAAACCATCCTCTCCACAAGAGAGATGTTATTGGCTCTGGCCCTAGAAGAGATGGGCAGAGCCAAGGGTAGACTGAGTTCTGGTTAAGGAATTTCCAGGCAGGAAGAAGTTCATATTTTTGAGCTGGCTTCTCTAGTGCAGCTGAAGACGAGCCATCTACTGCGAGCAAAGAGAGGCGAGGTGGGGCTGGGGACTTGGGGAGGGTGGAGTTGGTTTGGAGCTCCCAGTGCAGGAAGCAAACAAGGGCTTAACCAAAGGATGAAAATTGTTTGGCAGCATTGAGCACCTAGGTCACACTGTGTGATTTAGGAATAGAGGCCATTAGCACAGATGTGCAGCTCTCTCCAGTGAGGCAGAGACAAAAGCAGAGGTGGGGTGGAGGTGGGTGGGGGGAGGGTGGGGATAGTAGGATCATCTCAGGTTTGGGAAATGGCCTGACAGATCCAGCCAAAGGTCAGAGGGGCTGGTGAGAGCCTCATGAAATCTTTTCCCACCCAAAATAATAAGATTGCTATAACACATAAGTAAAAATCGTCTCTGCAACCTAGCAAACAGAGCTAAGAAATGAGCTTTGTCTACTAAAATGGCTTTACAGACCCAACATGAGCTGGACATAGACCCTGAGTTACTTTTAGGGTATAATAATAACAACAATGAAAACTTTCTACAGCAGATCACAGTTACAGAGTGCTTTATACAATACATAAGTCCAATCTCATAGGGTATTACTAAGTGGGTCCCCCATTTTCAAAGGAGAAAACTGAGGCTTAGAAAGGGTGATGATATGTGTAAGTGTAAATAGGTAGTTGACTGTAGAGTCAGGCTCCAGACCAGCTCCAAGGACAGATTTGTGATAATTAATCTATTAATGTGACCATCTCTTCTGTCCTTGCAAGATGACTTTTGTTGGAAAACAAAAGTCTCAAAACAAAAGTCACACCTGTGACCTTGACCTCCTAAGCAAGACAATTAACCAAACGAGCTAACAGGAAAAGCCAGTTCTTCCTGGGTGTAAAGAGTGGTCTCAGTGTCCTACCTACCAGGCTGGTCTCCTTGCTGTTCTCTGAACAGACCTCACACAGTCCTCCTGCCGGAGGTTTCCCTTGGTGAGTGGTTTCTACACCTGGACTCCTCTCCCCCACATGCCGACACAGCTGATTCTCTAACCTCTTCAAGTCTTTGCTTCAATGTCACCTTCCCAGTGGTGCCTTCCCTGGCTCCTCTACCTTAATGGCAACCCCCGCCCCACTGCAAACTCCCTCCACCAGCACTTCTTGTCTTCCTTTCCTGCTCTTTATTTTCTTCCATAGCATTTATCACCTTCTAATATACTAGTATTTCATTCATTTTCTTGTTTCTTTTTGTTTTCTCTACCATAATGTCAGTGTGACAGTGCAGAATTTTTGTCTGTTTTGTTCCCTGCTGTTTCCCCATGCCTAGAAGATGTCCAGAATATGGTAGGTACTTAAAAAGTAATTGTTGAATGAATAGCAGCCGAGGTATTAGGAAAAATTAAAAAGTTTTTTTTTTTTTTTTGAGACTCTCACTCTGTTGCCCAGGCTGGAGTGCAGTGGCATAATCTCAGCTCACTGCAACCTCCACCTCCAGGGTTCAAGTGAGTCTCCTGCCTCAGCTCCCTGAGTAGCTAGAACTATAGGCACCTGCCACCACACCCGACTATTTTTATATTTTTAGTAGAGACAAAGTTTCACTATGTTGGCCAGGCTAGTCTCCAACTCCTGACCTCGTGATCCGCCCGCCTCAGCCTCCCAAAGTGCTGGGATTACAGGCATGAGCTACCGTGCCCGGCCAAAAAAATATTCTTAAGAAGAACACTAGCACAGTGACTCACTCATAATAGGACATCCGTATGTGCTGGTTCCTTCTCTCTTACCCCTTGTTCTGTGTTAAATGTTATGTGCTCAGCACATCCATCTTTGGAATTAAAGTATTTCTGGGAAAGATAACACATTAAGCCTTAACATCCAGTCCATGAAGCTGATATCACAGGGGAAGAAACCCACACTGGCTCTTAAGGAAGTGGGTGAGTCGTACATGAAACGCGCCAGAGTGTCCCTGTCTGTCTAACGGGGTGGGACACATGATCTTGGAGGGTATTTCCAGTGCTGCCTATGATTCCACCCAGCTATGAATCAGGGTGGGCAGAAACTGGAAACAGGCATGTGGGACCCAGGTGGATCACAGTCTCCCCTCTTCCACCTGCTGGCATTCCTGCCTTTGGGGACAGCAGGGCGGGTGAATCCTGGGCTGTTTGCTCACTGACAGCCATGGGGTTGCAAAGGATCCCTTCTCTTCAGCCGGGGCACTGCTGAGTTACTTACTCACCCATCCCAACATTCATTTATTCAGTAGAAACATATTAGATGTCCCCAGTGTGCTCAGTGCTGAGCTGAATAAAACAGACAAGACCCTGATTGACAGCTGGGTGAAATCATAGACAGCACTGGAAATACCCTCCGCATCCCACCCCTCACCATTAGACACACAGGGAGACCCTGGCTTGTCCTGTGTACAACTCACTCACTTCCTTGAGAGCCAGTATGGGTTTTTTCCCTGTGATACCTGCTTCATGGACTGGATGTTAAGGCTCAATATGTGCTATCTTTTCTGAAAAGAATTCTAAAGGTGGATGTGCTGAGCACAAAACATTTGACATAGAAGGGAAGAGAAGAAGGGAATCGGCACAGTGAGTTCCTATTATGAGCCAAGTCACTGTACTAGTGTTCTTCTTAAGAATACTTTTTATTTCTTCTAATACCTCAGCTGCTATTCACTCAATGGTTACTTTTTTAAGTACCTACTATATTCTGGACATCTTCTAGGCATGGGGAAACAGCAGGGAACAACACATGGCCCCACAGTCAGGCAACGGGGACAGACCTCAAACGTGAAAACCCACCCAGACCAGAGCCATCCTTGGGCACCCTGATGCCTGTTGGACTTTCCTATCCTACTTTGGGACTCTTCCTTCCCAGGGCCTTGCTCAGGCCCCTACCTGGAACCAACAGCCTCCAGCTGCTCTCCTTGTCTGAAGCGTCCTCAGCATGCCCTTCCTCCCTGCAGATCGCTCCCAGATGGCTCCTAAAGCCATCAGGTGGAGTTCAGCCCAGGCTACCCAGAGGACAAGTGAGGGGACCCCTGGGGGATGGGGAGAGAGCGGCCTGAGAAGAGGAGGTGGCTAGAAAGAGGAAGGGAGGAAGAACAAGACTGAGGAGTCTTTTAAGAGCGTGAAACCTGAGGAGCAAATGTCCCAGAAGGTTTGAGGAAAGGTTCACTGGGAAATGCACTGCAGGAAACCCCTGCATGGCCTCTCAGGAAACCCTACCATGGAGATCACATTAGGCCTGAAAATATTTGCAGTTACATATGTTTCTTTGAATGCAAGACCAAGTGGAGGCCATCTTCCAGGGAGGGCTGGTCACACCAACTGCAAGCACAATTTTAATCTGTCATCCACAAAGCATCCTAGAGGATGGCGCCTGCATACCCTTCCTGCCTTGTTTCCTACCACCCCACCCCACCTTCTCCACACACCCTGAGTTTCTCAGTGTTCCCTGAATAAGCTTCCTCACACCTCATTCCATGGCATCCTCAGGAGTCCCCGGCATTGGGGCACTGCCATTTCTCCTTCCTGTGTTCCCCAGCCCTACCTAGCCTTCAAGCCTCAGCTCAGAGCCTTCACCTCTTCCAAGAAGCTTTGGCTGGCCACCTGGAAGCATCTTCGGCTCCTTTCTACACTTTCAGGAGAACACTTTTTATAAACTCCCTTGTATGGGGTCATTATTTTATGTACATGGGTTAGCTGTTGCACCAACTACAGATGAATCTCCACTCATAATAAGTTTAAGTTCCAATAAACCCATCGAAAGTTGAAAATATTGTGAGTTGAAAATGCATTTAATTCACCCAACTTACCAAACCTCTGTAGCTTAGCCTCGCCTACCGTACACATGCTCAGAGCACTTACATTAACCTACAATGGGCAAAATCATCTAACACAAAGCCTACTTTATAATAAAGTAGGGAATATCTCATGTTTATTGAATACTGTACATTGTGTTAAAATTGGAAGTTTCACACCATCATAAAGTCAAGGAATCATTTAGTTGAATCATTATAAGTCTAGGACTGTCTGTAGATGTAAATTTGTTAAGAATTAGGACTCAAGAGTAGAATTCCTTTAATCCACATAGACTTACAATGGTGCTGTGCACATGGAGCCCCTAAATCATTGCTGACTGAGTAGATTTCCCAGGGTAAGCCCAAGAAGTTACTCCTAGAAGGGGCTGGTAGGGGAAAGAGCCAACATCCCACATGCCTGCCCACTTTGGGTCTGGTCCCAAGAAACAAACTCCAGTGGCCTCGAAAATTTAATATTGCTGTCAGAAGGGCCTCCCCTTCAAAGGAACAGGTCCTGATAGCTCTTGTTATATGCAAAGTGGAAAGGTAACGTGACTGTTCTCTGCATTTCCTGCCTTTCAATTGAGTGAAGACAGACAGATGATTTATTGGGCATTTCCTAGCCTCCCCTTCACCATAGGAAACCAGACTGAAAAAAAGGTGCAAATTTTAAAAAGATGTGTGAGTATCTTGAGGGGGCTGGGGGAGAATTCCTGTGTACCACTAAAGCAAAAAAAGAAAACTCTCTAACAGCAGGACCTCTGATCTGGAGGCATATTGACCATAAATTTACGCCACCCCATGAGAGCTCAAAGGCTGTGCTGTTCTCGTCCTCTCTCAGTCCCCATTTCCAGGTGATCAAGCTTGGGCTTAGGGTAGTGGCAGTGTGGCTTTAGCTGTCAGCCATCACCATGGAAGAGCAGGAGGTTTAGGGGCCTTCATAACCTTTCAAGTGTTGGTTTCCGTTGGAAGTAGTTGAATATCTCCACCCCACCCATGCCCCTGAGAGAAAGCCGGGAAGAGGGGCCACCATCGGGGGCTCAGCACCTGCAAGCCCAATGCTGACATGAAGGCTTCGCTTCATTCCATTCGGCCACGAGAGCTATACTCGCTTCCTAGGGCTCCCCTAGCCACGCGGGTACTTTACTGAGTGTCTGAAAACAACAGAAATTGATTGCATCGTTGTTCTGGAGGCTAGAGGTGTGATATCAAGGTTTCGGCAGGGCCATGTTCCTCCTAAAGGCTGTGGGGAAGGGTCCTTCCTTGCCTCTTCTCAGCTTCTGGTGGTGGCCGGCACTCCTCCACATTCCTTGGCTTGTAGCTGCCCCACTCCCGTCACTGCTGTCATCTTCACGTGGCCCTTCCCTATGCATCTGTGTCTTCACATGGTGGTCTCCTTGTGGATGACAGTGTCTGTCTCTGTTCCTCTCCCCTCTTCTTATAAGGACACCAGCCGTATTGGATTGAGGGCCCACCCTACTCCAGAATAATCTCATCTCCACCTACATCATAATTACATCTGCAAATATATTTTTATTTCAAAAATAAGGTCATATTCACAGGTACCAGGGTTAGGACTTCAGTGTATCTTTTGAGGGTGACACAATTCAGTCCACCATGGGAGACACATGCTTTTTGTCCATGGCCTTATAGGGAATCCTTGGGTGACTCCGTATCTGTGTGTAAGTATATGCCTGTGATTTGTATTCATATAGTGTCATATACACACAAATACCTATATATTTACATGTATATATATATAAATATGTATATGACATTTACTAATACATATCTCTAATAGGTATTTGTAATATATATAAAAATACCTGTGATTTGTATTGATATAGTGTTATATATATGTGTGCATATATATATATACACACAAAAAAACCTGTCCATATATATGTGTCTATAGAGACAAATACCTATAAAATAGTAGGTAATTACCTATCTATACTTATAATAGATATTTTTAATAAATATACAAATATCTGTACAAACACCTGTAATTTGTACTCATGTAGTGTCATACATGTAATATAAATACATCTAAATATAATCTGTCATACATATGACACGATATGAATTTGTAAGTCATTAACCTGTGATTAATACACATCCCAGGGGCATTTTTTTTTTTTTTGAGATGGAGTCTTGCTCTGTCACCTAGGCTGGAGTGCAGTGGCGTGATCTTGGCTCACTGCAACCTCTGCCTCCCAGGTTCAAGTGACCCTCCTGCCTCAGCCTCCCAAGCAGCTGGAATTACAGGTGCCCTCCACCACACCCGGCTAATTTTTGCCTTTTTGGTAGAGAAGAGTGTCACCATGTTGGCCAGGCTGGTCTCGAACTCCTGACCTCATGTGATCCACCTGCCTCAGCCTCCCAAAATACTGGGTTACATGCGTGGGTCACTGCGCCCCCAGGAGCAATTCTGAGTAATGCCCTGATTTCATTAATCAAAGGAAGACTGCAGAGGTGTTTGTAGTCCTTTTTCTGCAATTTTCCCACTAAAGCAATGGCAGGAAAGGTCTGTCGTCTTGACCACAGACACACACGCTTGCCAGGACTGCACCCCGAGGAGGACTCCAGCATGTGGAATGGGCAGAAGGCAGAAGCCCTATGTCTGCCCTGGGGTCCCCAGTGCTGAAGGCAGCAGCTCTGCTGGCTGCGCGGCTCTTCCCTACCTTGTTTTGGATGAGAAGACCCAGACCCAGAGTCCTGAAGTGGCTTGTCCAAGTCCACATGGACACAAACAGTTCTAGAAGTCACACTGCCACATACCCAGCAGAGCTACTTCTCTTCTCTGCCTCCTCCTTGCCCCATTTTCCCAACTAATAATCAGATTTTTCCTCGGAGTGACTTCTGACGAGCATACTCAGATGTTACAGGTAGTCACAAAAATAGCACCCTTTTCCCATCAAATGGGCTGAGAAACGATTTTTCACGGAGGTCTTGCCACATTCAAAGGTTAAAGTACTTTGTGTTCTGTTGTTTTGGAGCTGTTGGAGAGGCGGAAAAAAAATTCTTTTTCAATTTCATAAAGGATTTTTGTTTTCATTTTCTCAGACTCCAGACTGACTCACCAAAAGGTTCATCTCATATTCGGCATACAGTGGCCCACCTGGGAGGTCTTTTATTAATGAGTCTGGGGACTTGGGGGCTGCTGCTCCCCTAAATCTACTTGAAAGTGACCTTCAGAGCTGGGCGCGGTGGCTCACGCCTGTAATCCCAGCACTTTGGGAGGCTGAGGTGGGCGGATCACCTGAGGTCAGGAGTTCGAGACTAGCCTGGCCAACATGGTGAAACCCCATCTCTACTAAAAATACAAAAATTAGCCGGGCATGGTGGTGAGCGCCTGTAATCCCAGCTACTCGGGAGAGTGAGGCAGGAGAATCAGTTGAACCCGGGAGGCGGAGGTTGCAGTGAGCCGAGATTGCGCCACTGCACTCCAGGCTGGGTGACAAAAGTGAGACTCCATCTCAAAAACAAAAAGTGACCTTCAGAAGCACTGACCTGGCCTCCCCCCGCCCCACACACACTTCTGCCCCAGGATGTCCCCCTCTCTCCATCTCCACCCTGCTCTCTCCACACTACAAGGCTACTTGACTTCGCTTCTGGAAGCCCTAGGGCCTGATTCTCTCTCCCTCATGCTCACTGGGATCATCCGGCAGGGAACAGAAGGGATACTGCTTCCGGGCAGAAAATGGGCCAGATTCAGGAACGCCTGAAATGGGGCTCTGGAAGCCTTTTGCTTGGAACTTTCTTGGAGCATGTTTTTGCCAGGGCCATCACCCATCTAGGAGTTCCAAATGGTTTGGCAGAAATATTGCCCTGCCTCCTACACCTTCCTCTGCCACTCCTGACTTCCTTTCACCCCAGCCTCCCCAGCTGAGAACTCCCATGCTGGCTCCCAAATACACAACAAGCTCTTCGCATGGTGCCCGCTTCCACAACGTCTGGTGATCAACGTATCCTAATTCATTGGAAAGCCTAAATTGTGGACCTCAAATTTAAGGATCATTTAGGGGGCTTATTAAAAATATCGGTTTCTAACCCCACCACTCAAAGTCTTATTGAGGTCTGTGGCAGAGCCTGGGAATCTGCATTCTTAGCGCACCCCAGGGGATTCTGAGGTTGGGCATCTAGAGGGCCCCCTTGGAGAAATACAGCTTAATTCTACAGCAGGCATGCTCACCTGGGGCCTCTGCTCTGCAGAGCACCGCTGGGGACACTTAGGCGAGGTGACTAGGAAGAAGAAAAGAATAGCAGTGTGAGGATTCAGGCTGAGGTATAAATATAAACCAGGTAGGTCAAGGCCTGGGCCTGGGAGGAGGGCAGAGGAAGGCAAGTTCCCCGTGTGGCTTCTCAGGGACCAGCAGCGTGAGGGTTCCACGTGGCAACGCTGCTGGAGAGATGTTTACATCTGGGCACTGGCAGAGCCTTCTGGACAGGCCATCAAGCCAGAGGGAGCAGGCCCTCGAGCTAAATGGCATCATTCTGAGACGGGAGCTCCTTCAGCTTTGTCCTCAAAGGCACTGCAGCTTGGTGAATGAACATACCGGCTTTAGAGTCACACTGGTGGCCCGACTTGTCTGGTCTCTGTAGTTTCCTCTGCTGGAAAAGGAGGACAACAGTCTTCCATGCAGAGGGCGAGTGGGAGGATGAAATGAGGTCATGTGTGCAAAGTTCTCAGCATGGTCCTTGTGGCAGCAATGTACACGAGCTATTGTCTTTGTCCTCAGAGCTGCTCCTGTCTGCCTCACAGCACGTCTCTGAAGCTGTCTTTGCAGAATTAGACCACATGAATAATTTGGAGAGTCCATAACTGTCCTAGAAAGCTTTTGGTTTGTCCTTTTTCTCCCTGTGAAAGCCCTCGTCACCCTGGAAATGCCAGTTCTGAAGAGGCAACGCTTACAACGCATCAAATTTTCTCTCCAAGTGACCCTGCCTCACCAGACATTTGCAGCCCTTCCAGTGATACTGAAAGAACCACTCAACAGGTGGGGGCCAGATCTTTGCAACGGAAAATGCCACTTTTGAACGCCAAACCTCTGCCTGACGAAGGCTGTGTGATCTACAGGGTGAGACAGGGAGTTTAAGGTGGGAACCAAAGGCTCTTGAGCAAATGCAGAAAGGAAATGGACTTATGCAGAGGCCCATACAGCCCCCAGTCAACCCTGCCTTTGCCATGTCAGCTGTGGGGGATTTTGTGCTGGTCTCAGCCTCTGAGCGCTCTCTGCCTCAGTTTCCCTCTGCAGGGTGGAGCCAGCACCCACAGCCATGTTTTGGCACGTGGCAAACTAACTCCTTTTGTGTACTGTGCAGTCTTAGGAGTAATGAGGCAGCAATATTATTGTTAGTTCTCTGTTCTAATGATCAGCTGTGAGGACCTAAGCAAATGAGAGTTGCTATAGTGTTATGAAGAAAAGACCCTGACTTGTTAGAGTGGCCATTTGTTTCCCCACAGCTATTCATCCCCCTGGTGCCCTCATCACCAGGGCATATCTAAAAGATGCCATGCTAGATACCCATCCAGGGTATGGTACAGACATCACAAGGTAAGTATTCCAAGGCCAGAGAAGTGAAAATGTTCACAGCAGCTCTGGAAGAGAGGAACTCAGAAACCTCTGGGCACCTTCTGGATGGAGCCCATTGCCTCCACATCCAAACATGGACCATGTATTGCTACAAAGGAAGCAATAGTGTGCTCCACGGAAGGCCCGGGCTGCTGCCGGTCCCTCCAGAGTTCACGGCTGGGCATGATGAGACCAACCTCTCTCACCCTGGCCGCTTCTCTAGCCAGTGGGAGGGCAGAGGCTGGCAGAAAAGCCTCCGTCTGCCTTGTTGACTCTGCCGGGTTCAGAGAGGGCTTCACATTTGACTTGGCGAAGGAGAGAAGTTCTTTATTTCCCTCAGCCTCAGGTCTGCCAAGCCCAAGGCTGAGGTGAGCAGTTTTCTCCTCCGTCTCTCATTGCCACATCATTACCTGCAGAGTTCAATGAAAAGCCCCATCCAGAATGGGCCAAGCCGAGCCTGCAATGGGCTTGTTCTCTCCTCGGGGCGTGCTCCTTCTTCCCCTCCAGCTCAGCCTGCCAGGCCTTCCCAGTGATACTGCGAGCTGGGTTTTTCTTTCTTCCCGCCCCCCAAGTCCAGAGCCCAGTTATTTACCCAAAGAAAACAGGGAAGTGACAAGGTAACAGAGTACACATGTTGTGAAAATATGCAGGCTGGGGCTGAAGAAAAGAAAACATTCTTCCATAAGTAGCTGCCTTGTTAATTCATTTTTTTCTCCAGATTAGAACCAGCCATTTCTTGTGTGCCTTCAAGCACCTTCTGTGGTTTCCTGACAGCTGCCTGCAAGGGGTGAGATTTGGCTTGAAAAATGGGCCATCGGTCATGCTTCGGGGGAAGGGCAGAAACCAAAATTCCCAGATTGCTCAAATTCACTGCTCCTTTTCTAAATGGGAACGAAAGAGGGAGAGGTGGTGGGGAGAGGACTGTATAAACTCTGAGGCGTAACCTGATTTTCCGTAAGAAACGACAGCTCGGTAATGAGCAGTCCTTGGAACGTGCTTTTTTACCTCCTCTTGAAGTTGGTTTCCGATCCCTGGCAAGCCTGTGCTCTGCAGCCTTGAGTAACGGCCACAGGCCGATTCTCGGCAATTAAAAATAATATTGGCCCTGATAGAGAACTCTTGGGTGCTCCCCCACACATACACACCCTTTTCATTATGTGCCAAAGATCACTTTCCCAAACCTGTTTCGGAACAGCTGGCCGCACTAGAGGGCCTGCATGGGCTGGGGGAGGCTGGGGTTATTAATAGCATTTGCTCTGCCCGGTGTTTGGGGCAGGAAAGGGGTGATTTGCGTCTTTTTGGAAGGCTAGGCCCTCATCAGTTTGGGCCTGATTTTTCTGCGCTGGATCCTTTAAACCTCAGGGCCTACCAAGAATGGTTGAGAAAGCCTGAAGAGAGGCTCTCTGCGGCCAATATCCCTTCGGTACAAATCTTCGTGCTTCTCATTATTTCCCTCGTCAACAGTCTCCGTCTCCTTTGCAGCCTGTGGGTATTGGCCTGCAGCTTGGCTGGTCTCCTTTTGGGAGAGGTCATGCCGCACAGGCCTAGCCGGCCCCTGTTAGCATTGCTGTGGTGCTTTCTGTTAACGAGAGGCCACTGAAGCTGGGCGATGCCTCCCAGCAGGGGACGGGCTTGTGAGAAGGAGCTGCTTGTTGTTGCCCTTCCCCAGAGAGGAAGCCGAGTGCAGGCCTGAGCGGGCAGCTGGGGTTGGAGAAGCTTCACGATCCCTTACTTATGGCCACAGAGTTCATCAGCTTCCCACGACCAGCACCCATAGCCTTAACCCCGGGGTGGGTGGAAACTCTGCTATCTCCTCACAGGGCTCCCCACCACCACAAGGGCACCTTCCCAAGAGCCCAGGAGAGGGCTGGCTTTCAGGCCTGGTGTGGTGTTGATAATCAGGTCGGGTTGAGCTGAAATGGAAAACCTTGAGAGTGAGGTGGATGGTGGGCTCCAGGCTGGCATCTCCCACTGAAAGAGCCGGGTCGCAGAGACACACTCAACAAGTGCCAGTGGCCTGGCTGGCTGAGGGGACCTCAGAGCACCAGTGTTTGGGACCGGGGCTGGGAAGGCCCTGCCATCCACCCTAGTGACATCCGTCATGTGGCCACCAGGTTCCCACTGGGTGAACACAGCCTCTCCCCTCACTGAGCCAGATTCCAGCCTCCGGCCATAGGTGAAAGACAATTTCCGATTATTGTTTTCAAACATTCTACATCCAGCGCATAAAAACACAATAGTGACAGGAAAAATACACACACACACATACACACACACACACCCCACATGCACACAACACAAAGGTTTAAGCGCTCACTATAAGAAGGTCAGGGGACCCTTTTCTCATTCCAGTCCTTGATGTGGATCCAAGGGAAGCAGTGCCTTTGAAGTCAGCAGCAACCGCAGCAGGCTCAGCTGTGAGGGTGTGGACAGGGAGGCAGACAGGATGTGCTGCCTTATCAGGGCCCAATCTAAGGCCCTCCTGTAAGGACCAAGCTTCCTCCAGCAAAAGGTGACTTAGAGGTGTTTGTTCAATAATGCGAGGAGACTCATTACAACCCTGGGGCACTTGGGATCTGGCTCTCTCAGAGCCAAGCCTTTCTGTTTGGAGTTTTGCACAGCCCTTTAAGAGGAGACTTCAGAGTGAGACTCTGTCTCAAAAAAAAAAGAAGTTCTTTCTTACATTGAGGTGGAATCTGCCACTCCATGACTTT
The DNA here is from genome assembly GCF_000001405.40 of Homo sapiens. NCBI lineage: Eukaryota > Metazoa > Chordata > Mammalia > Primates > Hominidae > Homo > Homo sapiens. The sequence goes on from NC_000014.9 coordinate 68,565,546, forward strand.
GATTCATTGACCCAGTTTTGCAATAATTCTCAAGAGCTGGGAAGAAGTATAGCCAGATTTCAATACCAGGGAGAGCAGGCAGAGAAAGAGAGCTAATCTCCTTTACCCCATCCTTGCTGCTGTCTCTGTCTCATGGTTGATTATTAATATATTGATTACATTTTGAACAGACTGACACTTGCTTTCACCCTAATGTATTTTCATGAAATACTTAACATCTTCATGTCAATATTATCTTATAAAACACTGCTGAAAAGGTGCATGTTGGAGAATGGTGTCTCACTCCATCCAGTTCTCCCAGTGCAACTGGGGAGGGTATCTGGATCTTTTCCCTGGAGGTGTCTGGCCACTCTCATCCCCGCCGGGCTCCAATGTGGCCACAAGCCACTCTTGCTGAAGGAAGTGTGTCTGCTTTTATACCTTGGGTATGTTGGGGTAGAAAGCTTTAGGACCATTCTTCTAGAATAAGGTAAACTTGCTCCCTCTTCTTGGTGCCAAGCCACCTCACTTCGCTGGGCCTTGTCACTCTTCACCCTCTCTCCTGATTTCTCCAGGTTAAGCAGCTCCAGGACTCATCTTTCTCTGTACCTGCTGAGAAACTAACTTTACATAGCTTTTTACTAGAATGTTTGCTCTGTGAGGTCGGGGAGTGTGTCTGTTTTCTTTACTGCTCTGTCCTCAGAGTCTACAAGTATTTGCTGAATGACTGCTGACTGGTTTCCCAGGTGTAGCTGACAAAACCCTATCTTCAGCTCTTACACTCTGTGAGGAAACTCTGGAGAATTAATAAGAAGGTGAACCTGGTCTATTTCCCATAGAATTGTCTGATTCATCCCCTTTGTTAGTAATTAGAAGAACAACGTCAAGGCCAAATTTCAAACAGCAAGTCAGCAGCAAATCCAGGCAAACCCCTCAAACTTGAGCACTGCTTGTCTTGTATGCCCTGTTATGCCAGCTTCATTCAAATGGTGACCTTGATCCAACTGAGGAAGCTCATACTCAGGAAGCACTATAGGATCTCATTACCACTGCCAGATTGACCACTGTCTTCTACAGCTCTGTTCATGGACAGTCCAGGGCTCACAGCATACACCTACCAAGCTGGGAGAAACCCCCCCGGTGCCTCAGTGACTGGGGGCATGCTTGGATTGCTTTTCTCTCTGAAGTCTCATCAAATCCCACTTTCATGATGTCACTTCTCAGCCCTAGAAGCTACAAGACTTCCTTGTGTTCTCCAACACCAAATCCCAATTTCTCTGCTTGGCTTTCAAGATTCTTCATTATCTGGCCCCAACTTGCCTATCAAACCTTCTTTCTTATTACTCTTCAATGCATTCTCTCTTCTACCAGCAATGGCCAGGCCATGGGTTTATTGCTTTCCCTGTGTATTTTGCTTACTTCTTTTTCAATATGCTTGTTTTGTTAATATCCCAAATAGGCTCATACCTTCTTTTTTAAAAATTCAACTTTACTGGCCGGCACGGTGGCTCACGCCTATAATCCCAGCACTTTGGAAGGCCGAGGCGGGTGGATCACGAGGTCAGGAGTTCCAGACCAGCCTGGCTGAGATGATGAAACCCTGTCTCTACTAAAAATACAAAAAATTAGCTGGGCGCAGTGGCAGGCGCCTGTAATCCTAGCTACTCGGGAGGCTGAGGCAGGAGAATCGCTTGAACTTGGACAGCAGAGGTTGCAGTGAGCCAAGATCGCGGCCACTGCACTCCAGCCTGGGTGACAGAGTAAGACTCTGTCTCAGAAAGAAAAAAAAAAATTCAACTTTATTTTTTAGAGTGGTTTTAGGTTCATAGCAAAATACAGCAGAAAGCACAGAGAGTTCTCATATACCCCTGTCCCCCAACATGTACAGCCTTTTCCTCTCTCAACATCCCACACCAGAGTGGTACATTTGTTACAACTGATGAACCTACACTGACATCATTGTCATCCAAAGTCCATGGTTTACATTAGGGTTCACACTTGGTATTGTATATTCTATGGGTTTGTTACCACATGTTTATATGGTAACACCATGTATCCACCACTACAGTATCATACAGAGTAGTTTTTCACTGCCCTAAAAATCCTCTGTGCTCTGTGTATACCTACTTTTTATCATCTGTTTTCTACCCCAGTCATCACGGACAATGCAAGTTCTACCTTCCTCACGAAGTCTTTCCCAGTGACTGTAATCTGCATAGATCTCCCTCTTCCCAGGATCCTTGCTGTACCCACAAGAAGAACACCCTTGGCTGTGCCATTATTGTCTCCTCCTTTCATATTAGCCCCATCTCTGTAAGTAGATTTTAAGCTCCTGGTACTTGGATTCTACCATAGTGCCTGGCCTGTGGCAGGAGTTCCATATGCAGGGCTGACATATTGCATAGTTCCAGGGGTCCCGTTCACATGATATGAATGGGGCCCCTGGAGTTACACAAGTTATAGCCCTGTCCATAAGTCCTTGGTGATTGAATAAAACTCATTCCAGGACCTGAAAAAGAAACAATTATTGTGATCATGGTTCAGTTCAAATCTTCAGGTGATTATTGAACAGCTACTATGTACTAACCACCAATGATACAAAAAATGAATAAAATGGCTGTTCCTACCCTCTGAGAAACTATAGTCTTGCGACACAGAAAGGTAAGCAAACAGATCACCATAATACAATGTGAAAAGTGCTAAGATAGAAACATGGGTAAAGGAGATGGCACTTGATGTGTAGCCTGAAGGATTCATAGGAATTTGCCAGGTAGGTGAGTGGGTGGAGAATATTCCAGCAAAAAGGGACATCATTGGCAAAGTGAAAATACATGGTACATTTCAGAGAGCTGCAAGTGGTACAGCTTATTTTCTGATGATAAAACCAGAAGCCCAGTGGTTAAATTGCCTGTGGTCCCCAAGCAAACCTGTACCAGACCATTGGCATGATAGGATTGTGTGTATCACCTGCACTTACTGCTTCTGGAATCAAAAAGAAAGAATAGAGCCCTATCTTTCCTGGCCATCCCTTGCTCTTCCAAGGGCTGGGTGGAGTTAAGACACAGAACTTCCTTGTATTTTTTTCATATACACTACCCTGTGTTGCTCTGTGCACAATAGGGTGTACCATTCAAGCAGTGGAATTGGATCCCTCTAGAACCCTCACTGGGCAACCTCAGGAACGGGCAGCCATTTTCAACAAGCTTTCCTTCAAAGCTTGCACTGTTTTTGGCCTACCTCATAAGTTCTTCTTCTTCCTCGTCCTCCCTTTCTTCTTCCTCTGCCCTCTCTTTGCCTTCTTTCTCATCTTTTTTGATATTTTGGATGCAAGAAGTCTGGTTAATTGATAAAACCCAGTGTGGGCAAAAATAGAGTTGTTTCTTCCCCCTGCATGGCTTCCTCTCCCCAACCCAGTTGCTAAGTGGTCATTGGCCACCATATTGGAATTTAGATGTGGCTGGGCTTCCACAATGCATGGTCCAATCTCAGAGTGTGTTGAAGGGCTTTGGGGTCTGGTTGGATAAAACAGCTGAGGCCCAATGTTGTGGTTCTTGGCACCTCTCATTTCCCCTTTCTGTATTTCCCTTCGGCATCATCAGCAGGATTTTGTTTAAGGCTTCTGGAGCTTGTCTTTGTTTCACCCGGGAAAGTCCCTGCAGGGAGAGCTAAGATCTCCCCGGAGGAATGGGCCAGAGCCCTGACCTCTGTCACCCAAATTGTTTAGGAGAAGCAGCCCCCATAGGGGTTAGGAGGGTGATCAATTGGCAACTTAAGGAGTAAAGGCCTCTCTCTCCCTCTTCTCCCTCTGCTTATTGTGCTCAGAAGGGCAACAGGGTCAGCAGCAGCAAACTGAGGGGCCAACTCACCACGCCTTGAAAGAGGCTCGTTTTGTGTTTCAGTAATGAGCGCTCTTTCTCCCCTTGGATGCACTCAAATTTCACAAGTTACAGGGAACCTGTCAACTGCTGTTTTCATTGTATGGGGCTCACAGGGAACTTGGATATAGGGCAAGCTTGTTTCAAAGAAAGCAGGGGAAAGAAAAGTCCTGAATAGCTGCAATGTGCTGTCATATGCAGATCACAGCCCCAGTTGCTATGGGACACCTCTGCCCGCAGAGAGGGCAAGATGCCGAACGTCCCTTATTGATGTGATTGCCTCCTTGGAGATGGGAATGCCCCTCTAAAAGGGCCAGGCTAGGAGCCGACAGCACCACGGGCTCTCGGGTTTGCCATGGAACCGGGCCTGAAGCAGCCTGCATCCCAGCAGCCTCTGCCTTCCCACTGGCTGTTCAGTAGGGAGCCCCCCAACCCAGGGGCTGAGGGAACAGGCCAAGCTAACCCTGGAAAAGTGAGGAGAGGCAGGTGGGAAGGGTCCCTTTTTGCGGGGCACAAGCCTTTGCTCATAGAAGGGCTACTGGAGGGCATGGTTGTGAACCAGGCCTGATGTTAAAGACAGGTTTCACCTTCTTTGTTTGTCTTGCCCTCTGAGAACACTTGGCAATAACATTCCTTTCCTGACAGGCTCATTTTGTAGCTGACGGACATTGTTTTCTTTCCCCTGTTTACCTAATGTGGCCCAGAGTAACAGAACAGGCTGTGCCAGCGAGAGAGGAGAGTGAGCCTCCCCAGTGGCTCCTGGGTCCCCATACCCAGGTCCCTCTGCCCTGAGCTCCTTGTCTTGCATCTGTTTGCCCCACCTGTGGGAACAGGGACTACCCAGAGGGCTGTCCTGCCTGGAATCAAGCACTGGCAGGACCTGGGTCAGGGGAGCCTGCGATTAGGAGAGGGCCCAGAATTATGACTCTCTCCCCGGGGTCATTTGACTGCAAGGTTAGAAGGCCTGAGATCAAACAAGGCTATGAGAAACCAGCCTTGTCACTTTGCATAGGATAGACCAGTGGGAGCCAAGATTGGAGGCATCTGAAGGTCACTGTAGGACCTTAAAAATACCAGGGGAGGGTACTGTGAGAAACAGATTCCCATCAACTGTTTACTAAACACTCTATGCTATTTAAAGGGACAAAGGCATGGCCAGGTCCTATCATCAGGGAGTCTAAATCTGGGGTCTGCAGCTGAGCCAGGAGGGGGGTCCAGTGCCCTTGGCAGCCTGCTGTAACCTTCTGACCCTCTGTGTCCAGCCCCCATCCCCATTTTTACCTCCAGCCAAGCTTCCCCCTATGGGGGTTAACAGGGTAAATACTGTCCAGGCCCTTCCCTCAAAGAAGCTGCAAATCTAGTAAGAGAATAATATGTGCGTATATGAAACTATAATTTAAGACACTGTGATCAATAACCTAAAGGGAAAGGCTCTGAGGACATCCAGGGGTCTTGGGCTCAAAGGCTGGAGCGCCACACACACACACACACACACACATGCACACACACACACATGCACACACACACACATCAAATCACATATTAGCTCGTGTCTTCATGAGCTTTCCAGTTTGCAAACCGCTCACACATACAGCATTTCCTTTAAACTTCACATCAGCCAGTGAAGGGGCTTTGTAAGCCTGACATGTAAGATCTAACAACCCTCCCAGAATGATAGAATTGGCAGAGGGGGGAGGCAGAGACTGTCAAGCAATGGCAAGTTTTCTGATTGGCTGGAACACAGGGCAGGTGACCCCGTGAGCTAAGGTGAAACAACCAGGCTGAAGGCCTTGCATGCTGCAGTGCTGGGTACAACCATGTCAGTTCAAACCAGATTCAATTTGGTTGGTTAATGTGCCCATTTCCCATTGCTGCCATACAAACTTAGTAGCTTCAACAGTACAAATCAATTACCTGTATAATCCTGGAGGTCAGAAGTCCAAAATGGATCTCACTGAGCTAAAATCAGTGTCGTCAGGGCAGTGTTCCCTTCTGGAGGCTGCAGAAAAGAAAGTGTTGTCTTGTTTTTTCCAGCTTCTAGAGGCCGCCCACATTCCTTGACTCATGGCCCCCTTTCTCTGTCTTCAGAGCCAGCAACATCACAGCTCTCCGACCAATCATTCTTCCATTGCCACTTCTCCCTCTGACTTGGATTCCTCTTCTGCCTCCCTCTTCTTCTTTTAGGACCCTTGTGATTACGTTGGGCCAGGACAATGTGCCTGTTTTAAGGTTAGCTAACTAACAGCCTTAATTCCCTTTTTCCTGTCAGGGAACATGTTTATAGGCTTCAGGAAATAGGCCGTGGACACCTTTGAGGGGCCGTTATTCTCCCTACCACATATAGTTAGTTGGTTGATTGTTAGTTGTTCAGTTATTGGTTGTTTGGTGTTGGATGGCTGTTTTTTGTTTGTTTGTTTGTTTGTTTTTTGAGAATCTCCTTGGCTCAGGTCCTCACCTGAGAGCCAGATAATCACGTTTGTTAAAAGAAGAGAAAAAATGAGAGTGAGCAGCCGCTAAGGGGAAGAAGGAGCTACAAGAGGCGGCACAGAAAGTGGACATCGATTTTATTTCGTTGTCCATCATTATCAATCTATAAAGCACAATCCCCAAAACTACAGCACATGCCATTCTGGGGAAATTTGTTAGCTCACGGACCCCCACAGACCCCAGTGTGTGGCTGTTTCATACGTCATGCAAACAGGCCCTTGGACTCTGTCTCATGTCCTCTGGCTTAGAAGCAGGGATGTTTGTAATCTACAAACAAAAGGTCGTCTGGCCAACCTTTTGAGATGTAATCTCGAATCCAGATATACTAGTGGGTTCCGCTAAGTGTCTATTGGTCCCCTAGTGTCTCTCAAACCCACGGTGGGCTTCAGTCTCTCCCAGGCATCAGCCCTAACCCTGTGGCATGGGCCCTGCCCAGCTGCCTCCCAGACGTCACACCTTGCAGGCTGGACTGTGTCAGCAGCTGCCTTGCTTTCCTTGCTGGAAACCTAAACCTGCTTTTTAAGGAGCCCCTCAAAACTCTTGAAATAAGATGTGGGCATTGCTCACTTGCCCTGAGCTGCCCCTTGCAGCTGGGGGGCTGCTTGGTTTGCTCTCTTGGCAAAGCCCCTTGTTTTTACTCTGCTGGGGCCCAACTCCTTCCTTCTCTGTTTCCTTGCCTGGGGCTTCTGATTCCAGTAAGCCACCCCAATAACTCCTGCGGTGCCCCCACGGCTCACCTGCCAAAGCCACTCCCACCTGATCCCAGACTATCCACTCATCCCTGGCCTGTGACTTGTCCCGACCTCCCAGTGGGTCCTGGCTTCTATCACTGACCTTCTAGGTGGTGACTTCAATCTTGATATGCTCTTCCCCTGCTGACCTTGACTTCCCATCTCCAAATTGCCAGTGTCATATCAATAGCATCACAGCATAATGGCTAATGCTTCTGAGCTCTTACTACACCTCAGGTACTGTACATGTTTTCGCTCATTTAATCCTCATCACAACCCTAGACAGAACCCTATGAAGAATGGGTAGTAGCCCATCTTACGCGTGAGGAGACAAAAGCACAGAGAGATGAAACAGCCTACCAAGGGTGCCACAGGTCATATGTGATGGAGTCGGGGAATCAAACCCAGGCCAGGGAGTGTCATCATCCCTCACATCTGGATTTCTGCTACAGTCACCTCATACTACTCTATCTTATTTCCAGTCAACTCCCAGCAGCCAGGGTGAACTGTATGTACAATGGATCATGTCCTCCACTGCTCAGAGCCTTCCAGCAGTTCTCACCTCACTCACAGCCTTCCAGCAGCTCTCACCTCACTCATAAAAGCCAGAGGCTCATGTGGCCCACAGGCCCACGTGGTCGAGCCCTGCTCCTTCTCTACCCCACCTCCTGCTGTGCCCCCTCGCACTCTCCTCCACTCGGCTGCACTGGACTCCTTACTGTTTCTCAGAGAAACCAAGCACATCCCTGCCTCGGTGTCCCTGTACTTGCTATTCCTTCCACCTGGATTGCTCCCTGCCTCCTCACTGCCCATACTTGGCCCATTCCTTTCTTAAGGAGAGCTTTGCTGATGTTCTGCATTTAAGAAACTTAAGACCTACCTTTGCCGACATCCCTACCCAAAGTCTTCCTATCCCCCTTACCTGGCTTTATTTTTCTCCATATATTTGTCACCAAATAACACATGAGAGCTACCTGTGTTGTTTATTATCTGTCTCTCCCACGGGGAATAAAGCTTCAGGAGGGCAGCACCCTTGACCACTGCTACGTATCCAGCACTGTGTAGGGCGCCTAGCAGGTCTTTGTTAAATGAGTGGATGAAGTCTCAGGACTCCCCTCAGGAGCCTAAGGTTCTGGGAGGCTCCAGACCACCATCCAACCTATATCTGTTCCTGGGCCACCAAGGGGGCAGGCCTTCCATTCAGCCCGCAGATGAAGACTTTAGCTTCACTTTGGTGCTCAGTTCCCTCTACAGAGCCCGGCAAACAAGAGCATGCAGCACATGAGTATGGGCTGAGCTTGAGCTTTTGTTCTCATTGACTGCTGTGTGTGTGGGGGTGTGGGTGTGGGTGTCAGTGTGTGTATGTGTGTGTGTGTGTGTGTGTGTGTGCTCACTCACATGTTGAAGGAACTCCATTGCTCTCCTCTCCACCCCCACCCCTACTCCAGCAAGCTGAGGGTGAGAAATAGCTACTTTTTGTTTGTTTGTTTGTTTGTTTTTGTTTTGTTTGAGACAGGGTCTCGCTCTGTCACCCAGGCTGGAGTGCAGTGGCACAACCTTGGCTCGCTGCAGCTTCAAACTCCCAGCCTCAAGCAATACTGCCGCCTCAGCCTCCTCAGTAGCTGGAACTACTACTGGCTTTTATTGGCTGCACGCACCAGCATCTCACTGTGTTGCCCAGGCTGGTCTCGAACTCCTAGGCTCAAGCGATCCACCCGCCTTGGCCTCCCAAAGTGCTAGGATTACAGGTGTGAGCCACTGCACCCGGCCACAGCTACTTCCTTCACTATCAGCACCACAGAACACATAGGTCTTAATTCTCAGCCCTTAAAACCCAGTCCAGCCCACCAGACATTATTTAAAAATAATCCAACTGAGACATCTTTGTGGATCTCTACCAAAAAGATAGCTTTGTCCTCCCACCCATTGCTTTAGCAGCCTGTATAGGGGCACCCAGAGGGCCAGCCCACCACACCTGGGGCCTCCACTTTGAATCCACCAGGCCCACTCTAATGGGACAGGGACCTTGGGCCAGCGAAGCAGAAATGTATTACTGCAACAGCCCCGTGGTTTCAGATCCTTGCAGTAGCAGGTTCTGGGCATGTGTCCCCATCACCCTTCTCCAACAGAAAATAGTTTATTTTTATTTTTTCATGGCTGGCAGCAAGGCAGCACCTGTGGTAACCTCGTTAGTCAATTCCAAGAGCTCCTCAGAGAAGGGGGAAAGCCTGCCAATTTAGCAAGGATTTTTGGTCTCCAGTAGCTATGAAGTGTGGGGGGGATTGGGGAAATAAGCCCAGGAGCAAGAGAGGTTGGGGATGAGCAGTCTTCTCATCCAAATCCACTCTGAGGTTAGAGAAGAGGAAAGCACGCCATTGACTGGTTTTCTGATTGCCTTCATACATCCAAGTATGTTCTCCACAATGACTTTTTCTCTAGTGGGAAGCCATGGAGATGGACTTAGATAATACCAAGTACCATTTCCTGCATGCCTTTTGCAGGCCAGGCATTGTGCCAAGCCCTTCAGATGGTGCTCCTCAGTGGGAGCTTCTCAGCCAGGGTTTTCTGTCAAAGATACTGACTCGACAATCCTAGAGGATATGGAGTTTATTTATTCCCAACTGGAAAGTGAGGGACTCGAGTCTCTGAGGGGTTAGGTGACTTTCCCAAGTTCTCATAGCTTCTAAATGGTAGGGCCAGAAATCAAATGCTGTCTGATGCCAAGGCTTACATGACAAGCTCCCTCCCTGCTCCCTGCTCCCCCTGCCCCTCATTTCTCTGGCAGTCACCAGATTTTATTTTCCCCAGGATGAGAATCTGTAAAGGTTTGGGGTCTGGCTGATTTGGACTGAAATGGGCTCTGTGGCCTCTTCCCTGGGTCTTAGGCCCCATTTGAAAAATTGAAATGGACCGTTGAATCCCAGAGCCTTGCGGCATGGTAGATTGTGAAATAATTCCATCTCCTCCCCTCTCCCTCCCCAACGCCACACACCCATGGTGAATGGGGATTCTCCCAATGAGGAAGGCTCAGCAACTCCCAGGGCCCCTGACCTGTTCATTCTAGAAGCTTCAGGAGCAGCAGTCCCTGCACCCAGGCTCATGCCCCAGTTGGCAGCCAAGTTCATCCTCTGGACACCAACATAGCTTCAAAAGAGTCAGTGTCAGAAAGCCTCATACTTACCTTACCGTTTAGGGTAGTTTTTATTTTGAAATACATATAGAAAGATATATTAATCAGGGTCCCAGCAAGAAACAGAGTTCTTTTCAAAAGGATTTGACTAAGAAGAATGTAGTGAAGGCACAACTTATAGATGGACGGGCAGGGTTCAGGGCAGCAACAGGAATGTTGAGGCACCCAGGAACTAGCAATAGTGGGAAGATGATACCAGCCCTCAGCCAAAGGAGCAAAGAAAGGAAATAGTGTGACTGGGGCCTGGTGAGTCTTGGCAGCATAGAGGTGGCCACCTGGTGAGAGCAGTGGTCCCAAGGGCCACAGTCCCTGCCATAGCCAAGCACCAGAGCAAAGAGGGAGCAGGGGAAGAGACACCCTCCTGACCTCCAGCCTCCTGCCTGTACCTCACATTTGCCGGACACAAAAGGAAGCTAGAGGCAAAGGAAGCTGGTGATTCAGCTCCTAGCACTCAGCCCCAGGGGTCACAGAGCAGGGCACCAAAGGGAAGAGAATGAACATGAAGGGAGAAGGCAAATGGAGAAAAATAAGCACAGGGGACACCTTCCTCCTTTTCGTGATTAGGATTGTTACCATTGCAGACCTGCCTGCCACCCCCAACCCAGAGGACCTTGAGGCTTTGGGGAATGAGAAGTAAAGCCCCCACTAGAAGGTTGAGGATGCATAAAGCTTAAAACCCTTGTTCTAGGGAAAGTGTCTTTGCAGCCTTTCCATGGCACTTAGTGAGGAATGAGTCTTGTTTCCAGATGGAGATGCTAAAGCATCCAGGCATGCCAGCCCTGGGGAATGCAGGGAAACAGTCTTAGGGATGGACCCAGGCCTTGGTACTTTAGAGCTTCTAGGGTATGAGTCATCTTTGCCTCTTAACAATCAGATCAGTGGTACCCTTCTGACCTCTGTCATTTGGCTGCACTGGAGGCAAGAAATGGTTTGGACTCACGCAGGGGCATGATGTTAGTAAGGAAGGGGTCAGAGGTGAACCTAGCTTGGGTGCTCCACCTCTTGACTCAGAGTCTGTGCTCTTTGATGAACTTTCTGTTACCTTGGGATCTTCTACAGCAGGTCCTGGTGTGCAAGTATTTCAAGATCAAGATAAAATATTTCATTGTGTTTTATTTAGGAAAAAAATGGTAGATGAAAGCGGAACCAACAGGGGCATTCCGTTTGTGGTTTGCTGAGATTCCCTGGAAAGCAAGCTTGGGAGGCCAGGGTCTGTCAGAACACAAGACCAATGTCTTCTCCAAAACTTGGATGAACAGAAGGTGCTTACAAGCTGACAGGGAGTTATGGGGAAGGAAGCAGAATTTCCAGTTTGGTTCCAAGTCTTTTCTGGTCTTGACCTTTAGCCTAAAAACAGAGGGCCCAGTTGTTCTCCATTATTACTGTAACTCAAAAGGAGACACATGGGTCCGGGAGAGAGTTGGGAGGCAATACTAGGTTTGCACGTTCTGAGTTCATGGACACCCAAGGAACTGCCCCTCCCTAGGATAACTAGAGCCAAGCCACTGGACCCTTCTCATCCTGTGGCCTTGTCTACAATTTTAATCATTTTGAAGATGAAGGTTTTGAAGATGAAGGCCCAGCCTCAAAAAGGAATAACCAAGAACAACCCTCTCTCCCTCCTTTAGTTTAGATGCTTCCACAGTCAAATGTAAAATTATTCATGTGCTTTTACTCATTATTCATCTGATTTTATGTAAAAAAAAAAAAAATGGAATCCTAGGCTGGTCACTGCATGGTGTTCTCAATCACAAGCCATGAGCCAGGGTTCAACATGCTCCCTTCACTTCAGACCTTCCTCACAACTGAGCCTGGATCCCACTCTGGACCTCATGATCCGCCTACCACGGCCTCCCAGCGCGCCCAGCCCCTGCTTTATTTTTCTATATAGCACTTATTGTTACCAGATACATTTGTGTTTATCACCTCTCTCATCACACACACACACACACACAGTTAAAGGCAGGGACTTGGTCTATTTTCTCAAAGTTGTGTCCCCGGCACTTAGAATCCTACCTGCCGTGGTGTACATGCTCAATAAGTACTTATTAAGTGAATGAATGGAGTCAGACATGTCCTCAAGGGTAGGTTCAAATCAGGGAGAATGGTGGGTGTCCTTACTGCTTTATAGGATTTCATGCTGGCCCCAGACTTGAGTCATTTCCATCAGGCAAATTCCTGAAATACTTACTGGTCTTCCTGATTCTGTGGTATGTGCTTGTCAACAGCACATTGTCGAACACGTTGCTGCCTATGCAACACTATGTGGCAATGGCTGTTGAAACTCGTTGCTAACAGAAGTGAAAGCAAAGAAAAGCAAAGATAAAGAACGTAATGGCTGGGCGCGGTGGCTCATGCCTGTAATATCAGCACTTTGGGAGGCTGAGGTGGGCAGATCACTTGAGGTCAGGAGTTCGAGACCAACCTGGCTAACATGGTGAAACCCCTTTTCTATTGGCTGGGCGTGGTGGCATGCACCTGTAATCCCAGCTACTCGGGAGGCTGAGGCAAGAGAATCGCTTGAACCCGGGAGGTGGAGGTTGTAGTGAACGGAGATTGCACCATTGCACTCCAGCTTGGGCAACAAGAGGGAAACTCCATCTCAAAAAAACAAAAACAAAAAAAGGAGAAAGAAAGTAATTTCCCCGCCATGGATGATATGACATGGCAGCTTTCATGGAGGTTTCAGAATCTGCCGGCCCACCTCACACATGACTTCCTATGCAATTAGTATAAAGCAAAGAGACAACAGACAACACTTCACACCTGAGCCCCAGGTCCTGAATGTCTTTGGATAGCCTCTCTCCTTGAAGGATATATTGACTCACAGGCAAAGGGCCCTTATAATGATATAAAGGAGACCAAGTTGGAAGGAATAGATCACAGGAAGGTGAAGCCCAAAATCCAGAAGGGAATTTCAGGGAAAGTGGTCTGGACTCAGGTACCCTGCCCAGATCCATGTGCCTTCCAACACGTGGCAGACAGAGAGGTGACAAGACAAAGGAGGAAAGCATGCTCAAGGGATAGCTAATGGGTGTGTCATTCGACCTTCCCAAGACCTAGCTCTCTGGAAATATCAAGGGTTCAGGGGGCTGGGTCATAGGCTTGCTTTCCTTCTAGCTCACTGTGTGGACCTGGATAAGTTGCTTGGCCTTACCCATCCACCCTTAGTAGCCTCTTCTCTGGCCCCTTCCATGGTTCTGTGCAGAGTAAAGAGGTAGGACACACAGTAGGGCCCAGAAGGGTCTCCTGGCAGTCACTGATGCCAGATTCAGCTCTCTTGACTCTCCATGTTGGTGACGACACCACCAATTTTCCTTTGCACACATGGCCTCACCTTGAAAATTCAAGAGTCTACAGTCAAGTCACTTCTGCTTCTAGGGGCCTCCCAGAAGCACCTAGTATTCTGTTTCAAGTCCTTTGTCCAGCTGCTTTCAAATCACCAAACTCCTCTCTCCCTCCCCTCCATTACTACCCATGGAGATCCAGAGGAGGGACTTCTTAACTTCTCAGACAGTGAATTGAGGGAGCTCAGAGATTTCTTTTATTCCTGGAGCACAGAATGTAACGTAGGTGCACCAGATCAAAGGCATAGCAGCAGCCTGAGCTTCTCTTTGACCAAGTCCTGGGAGGCAGGCTGGGTGTTTGTGTTTGAGGATAGAGTGCCAGATGTTGCAAATAAACATAGAAAACACTCATTTAAATTTAAATTTAAGATGAACAATGAATACTTTTTTTAGTATAAGTGTGTTTTATAAAATATTTGAGCCATATGTATACCGAAAAATGATTCCTTGCTTGTCTGAAATCCAGATTGTGTTGGGTGGTCTATATTTTACCTGGCAGCCCATTTGCATGTTTCCTAAACACACCGGCAGCTCCCAAATCAGCCTGGAGAGAGCTGAGCCTGGTGCGTGGGGCATACCTTACAACCCCAGTTTCTGTTCCCCACCCATGTTCTTTCCAAGGAGGCTGGCTGCCCCACTGTCAGAGTGTCCAGGAAAGAAAATAGAAGAGAGAAAATGGTCATGGGGTTCACGGGCATTGTGCCCCCACCGTCGGCTGCAGCAGAGACTCAGTGTGGCAGATGCCTCCACGTCTCCAGCCCAGGCCCAGTCAAGCAAGGGCCCTAAGATCTGCCCAGAAGGAGAAGGTGTGGGAGGGGGCGGTGCCCGCAAGTGGAGGTGGGGGACAGGAAAGGGAAGGGCCCGCAATGCCAGCATGGAGCTTCGAAGGGGACTTTGAAAGGTGCTGCCTATGAAGCACTGCTTTCCTCCAGAGCAGCCATCCTACCTGCCTGCCCTGAGACCCCCGCTGGCTACCATTATCCCAGGACAAAACAGGGCCCGGGCTCCCGGTTCCCCCTCATTTCCTCTTTCAGTGTATTTTCTCTCCTCCATGTTCTGGAAGTTTCTCTCAGTGTAAGCCTTGTCAGGGAGGCCTGCCACTCTGCCCCACCTCTTCGCCTCCTGCTTGCCCTGCGGCCAGCTGTGGTTTGGCCTGATCTCAGAGCTTAGCACACAGCAGGTCTCCCAGGGTTGGAGGTCCATCCTACCTTTGAGTAGCTGTGTGACCTTGGAGGAGGCCTGTCCTACCTTTGAGTAGCTGTGTGACCTTGGACTACTTAGTGCTCGGCACCTCTGCTTCCTCATCTGCAAATGGGCACTCTGGGCAAGATGAAGTGAGTCACTGAGTGGGAAGTGTTTGGGACAGTGACCCGCGTGGAAGAGACATTGTTATACACGTGGGCTTTATTCCACCCCTGCTGCTCCACTCAGCTGTTCCTCAGTCACCTCCACTGATTTTGTTCTTAGCTGTAGCCCTTCTTGAACCCCTGCCGTCCTAGGTGCACACGCCTGCCCCACACCTCCCACTGTCCCCTCCCTGGGTGCCCATGACTCTCTTCTTCCCTTTCAGTTATTTTCCTCTCTCAGACCCATCCAACCAGCCCCATTTCCCCAAGGTTCTGTTCTAACCTCTCTTTAATCCTTTTTCCCTTGGAGATCTCAAGGAACAGATGGGAGCCTCAGCACAGTATAGCCTTGTATGTGCACAGGCCATTTCCACACGGGGCGGGGACGTGGCAGCTGTGCTTTGGCGGTCATCTCTGGAGAAGGGCGGCTGGGGCTCAGGAGGCTGAGGGAGCTCCTGCTTTTCACTTTCTTCCCTCCTGTGAGATTCAGTTTTTTTCATAAGCATTAATTACTTTTATTAATATAGTAGAATTGCAACTGTAATGTAGGATTTTTTTTTAGGAGAAGGGATAGATTACCTTTGACCAGGCTCTCAGGGTTTCTTTATTAAGTAATCTGCCTTTAAGATGGGATAGGGGGAGGGCATTCAAAGTAAAGATGGTCCCCTAGTTGTGATTTTTCGACTTTATGATGGTGCAAAAGTGATAGGCGGTCAGTAGAAAGTGGCACCACATTCTCCCATGATGCTGGGTGGTGGTGTGAGCCATGTCTCCCGGTCAGCCAGCTGGTTGGGAGGGTAAAGGGCCAATGCCGTACAGTGTGCTGTGCTGCTAGGTGATGTTGCCCAGCTCTGGGCTGTGGAAGCGTTCTGAGTACACTGAAGGTGGGCTAGGCTCAGCTGTGATGCTCAGGAGGTTAGGTGGATCCAGTGCATTTTCACTGGTATTTCCAGCTCACCCTGCATTTATCTGGATGTAATCTCATCATAAGTCAAGGAGCATCTGTACAACAAGCAGTCTGAGGGAAGGCACAGAGGAGAGGCTTTGGCACCTGGAAAGAAATGTCGGGCCTCATACTGCCCATAGTAATTTGTAGATTCAATGCTATCCCCATCCAGCTACCATTGACTTTCTTCACAAAATTAGAAAAAAACTACTTTAAATTTCATATGGAACCAAAAAAGAGCCCGTGCAGCCAAGACAATCCTAAGCAAAAAGAACAAACCTGGAGGCATCACGCTACCTGACTTCAAACTATACTACAAGCTTACGGTAACCAAAACAGCATGGTACTAGTACCAAAACAGATACATAGACAAATGGAACAGAACAGAGGCCTCAGAAATAACACTACGCATCTACAACCATCTGATCTTTGACAAACCTGACAAAAGCAGGCAATGGGGAAAGGATTCCCTATTTAATAAATGGTGTTGGGAAAACTGGCTAGCCATATGCAGAAAACTGAAATTGGACCCCTTCCTTACACCTTATACAAAAATTAACTCAAGATGGATTAAAGACTTAAATGTAACATCTAAAACCATAAAAACCCTAGAAGAAAACCTAGGCAATACCATTCAGGACATAAGCATGGGCAAAGACTTCATGACTAAAACACCAAAAGCAATGGCAACAAAAGTCAAAATTGACAAATGGGATCTAATTAAGCTAAAGAGCTTCTGCACAGCAAAAGAAACTATCATAAGAGTGAACAGGCAACCTACAGAATGGGAGAACATTTTTACAATCTATCCATCTGACAAAGGGCTAATATCCAGAATCTACAAAAAACTTAAACTAATTTACAAGAAAAAAACAACCCCATCAAAAAGTGGTCAAAGGATATGAACAGACACTTCTCAAAAGAAGACATTTATGCGGTCAACAAACATATGGAAAAAAGCTCATCATCACTGATCACTAGAGAAATGCAAATCAAAACCACAATGAGATACCATCTCATGCCAGTAAGAATGGCGATCATTAAAAAGTCAGGAAACAACAGATGCTGTAGAGGACGGGAGAAATAGGAATGCTTTTACACTGTTGATGGGAGTATAATTCGTCCAACCATTGTGGAAGACAGTGTGGCAATTCCTCAAGGATCTAGAACCAGAAATACCATTTGACCCAGCAATCCCATTACTGGGTATATACCCAAAGGATTATAAATCATTCTGCTATAAAGACACATGCACACGTATGTTTATTGTGGCACTGTTCACAATAGCAAAGACTTGGAATCAACCCAAACGCCCATCAATGATAGACTGGATAAAGAAAATGTAGCACATATACACCATGGAATACTATGCAGCCATAAAAAAGGATGAGTTCATGTCCTTTGTAGGGACATGGATGAAGCTGGAAACCATTATTCTCAGCAAAGTGACACAAGAAGAGAAAACCAAACACCACATGTTCTCACTCATAAGCGGGAGTTGAACAATAACACATGGACACAGGGAGGGGAACGTCACACACCAGGGCCTGTAAGGGGCTAGGGGGCTAGGGGAGGGATAGCATTAGGAGAAAAACCTAATGTAGATAACAGGTTGATGGGTGCAGCAAACAACCATGGCATGTGTATACCAGTGTAACAAATCTGCACGTTCTGCACATGTATCCCAGAACTTAAAGTATAATAAAAAATAAAAAAAATTTAAAAAAGAAATGTCCTGCCTCAGCTGGTGGTGGCAGGTGCTGTGGCTCACTAAGGCCTCAGGTCCATTGGCTTTACCTGACAGGTTTGTCTACAGCGCCTGCAGACCTGCCAGGAGGGGGTGACACTCTTTGGAGACAGGGTGATCCCCTAATAGTGATGTAAGTGGGAGGAGAAGCTGTAAAATAAGTTTAGGAAATAGAGACTCCCCCACATACTTTTGGGGGTCCAGGTAAGGGTACAATGTAGACCAGCTTTCATATGTCCAAATATTTGAAAGTTACAAATCAAGCTAACAAACTATTACATAGAATATGTTCTCTCCTCTTGCCTTGACAAACGCACCTTCCTGATATGGTGAAGGCCAACCTTGAATTTAGAACCCGTGGACCCCTCAGAGTTCCACACTGGAATGTGGTGGCCTTGGGGGAGCCCGCCTGGGCTGGTTTCAGACCCTGGCTCCATTTAGCACTAGGAAGGGCCTTGAGCACACATGTGTGGGCACTCAGCTCACATGTGCAAGCTCCGCAGTGCCCTCAAGCCACCCCTGGTCACCACCCGAGGCCTATGGGTGTGCACACCAGTAATGTGATCCACCCACAACTTGGCCTTGGGCTTAGGCTCAGGGAATTGACCAGGGAACTCCAGGATCAGAATGCACAAGGCACTGTCCAACGTCCAGCAGCAGGGCATATGTGGGTCCTTGGGGCCATATTCCTTTAACCTGTGGACACTTCACCCACGGCTGGAGGTGAGCCAGAGCAGACTCCCTAATGTGTGGGCCACAGCACCGGCCACTCCAGTCACCAGATGAGGACCTGGCGGGGGTGAGCTTAGCCAATGAAAACCGGAGGAAGGAGCTTTAAAGGTTTCCTAGAAGAGTCCTCCAGATGCCCAGGCGCCCCCCCACCCCCCATGCTGGGGCTGGATTTCTGCCCAACACCTCGTGCCTCAGGGTCATTCAGGTGTCACCGTCTCATGCTCCTGACACAGTGAAGAGCTTGTTTTCCTCCTCACACTCCCTGACTCTAATCCCCACCAGCCTGTGCCACTTGGCTGGCCTCCTTGGCAGAAAGGTGACAAAAGGACACGTCTCTGGAGAGTCAGATCCCTCAGCTGCCGGAATCTAGGACCTCCTTGGGGCCACATAAGCCAATGGCTGAGGGTCCTGATCTTGTTACTGATCTGGTTTCCTTCGACCTCTTATAGCCAGGGTGTTGGTGGGAGTCACTCAAGCAAATTCATTAATCTTAAGGAAGCAGGAGCTATTACAATCGAGCAAGCCTCTTTGCTTCTCTCTAACGCTCATGCTCCCATAGCATTGCCCTCCTGCCCTGATCAGCCTTCCCTATAGAACCTTACCTCCCAATGTTTCCTCACCTCCAGCCAGCTCACCTCTGCCACTGCGCTTCTTGCCTGCTCCCAACATCTGCTCATCTGCACCTACCCAGCTGTTCTTATTTCTATCCAAATCGCTTTCGTCCTTCAAGGTGACTTGAGATTTCACCTCCATAAAAGGTTCCCAACACTTCCATCGATTCTTCCCCTGCTTTATCACCTGTATTGTTTACCACCTGGACCCAACATTTGGCCCATGAATTATGTTCATGTTAGTACTTTATAACATATGGCATTTTTATTCTTCCATGTTATGTAGAAATCATAGAACTAGAAGAGATCTTAAAGACTACCTAGTCCCATCCTCATTTTCTGAACATGAGGAAACCGAGAGAGAGGAAGGTTGTTGTAACTTGCCAGGCAGAGCCCTCAGGGTTTGGCAGAGCTGGGCGTTACACTCAAATTACACTCAACACTCTTAGCCCAATCCAGGACTTGCCACAAGCTCTTGATGCCTCTCTACATAGAAGTCTGCTTCACCCATAGGATGCGGCGGTCAGGAAGGTCAGTCTCAGAATATACTCAAGTGGGCAAATGGGGCCTTCCCATTTTCTGGCAGGACACAGCCCAGAGAGGTGCATTCCCACCTCTGTGTACTCTATTATTTAAGTTATTTGCATTTTAATAACCAGCAGGCAAAAAAGGCAGTGGTCACCTAGATTTTCTCAGACCAGCCTTGATTCCCTGCTGTCTCCCCATGGGGAATTTCAGGAACTCCCTTTTCTTCAGAGGGAATAAGCCCAATTCCTGCTTCACCATGGCAGGGAGGCCGGCTCCTTTTGCTGCCAATCCCCATTATCCCTCGCATTTCCATTGTGGAAGTGCAGAGAGGTTCTTAGCGAGTCTCCCCTCGGACTTTCCCAGGGGCTCCTGACGAGGAGCCCCAGGCGGGAGGCTGATGGGCTAAACAAGCAACCAAGGAATAGCCAAACAGGCTCCAAGTCAGAGCCTATCTTTAACAAAGGTGGGATAAAGGGAGCAACAAACTAGAAGGCAGAAGGGTAGGGAGGGGCTGGGGACAGGATGACCTGTCCCAGGTAAGGCCCCTAAATGCTAAGTAAATTCCCCAAGTCAAAATCAGCTGGAACAGGGCAGAGCAAACATTTTTTTCCTCCCCACCCCGACCCCGGGTGTCCTGCTCACTGCAAGGAAGAAAAACAGAATAATGAGCCACGTTGGAGAGTGTCACTCCAGCAGCTCCGGAAAGACGTGGGCAGACGCCTGGCTGGGCGGCTGACTTTCTCTGTTTCTGGTAGAGATTTTATAAATATTCGGGGAGTTTGATCTGAGGCTGTTGGTGGGGAGGCAAGGAGAGCTGCAGAGGGGGGAGACAACTCAGCCCACGGGGGTTCTTGGACCTCTCTAAAGCCTGCTTTTCATTAGCGTCGCCAAGGCAACGGCTCATCTGCTGCAGATCTCATCAAGGCCCTGCAAAGCATCCACGGCACGTTACGCTTTGCGTTTCACAGTGAATCGGCTGCAATCAGTCTTCCTGCAGCCCTCCCTTACCCCCATCACCTCCTAGCCTATGGAAGAGAAGATCATTAAAGGCGGGTGAAAAACTGCAATCAGAACTCTCCGAGGCTGGCACGGAGAGGCAGAGCTGCGATAGTCCTGTTCCGAGGACAGTAGATTCGCCCTGAGGACTATTCAAAGCTGGGCAGTGATGAGCCTCAAGTAACCCGATGGACCTGTAGCAACTCCCCAGCTCAGTCTTCTTCCATGGTGCACACTCAGCCTTGATTCTTGTCTCCTCCCTGCCTGACCTAACCTTTCCCCTCCACACACCTTTATTTTTTACCAAGGCGAACATTTGCGGTGCGCCCAAGAACCTCACCGGCCCTTGTGCCGATCGGTTCCAGATGCCCATGGAAATGCAAGCTCATGTGTTTCTCTGGTTTTAACAAAGGTGTCCAATGAGTTCTAAGGGTGATGTCAGGGGAGGTGGGGGCAGACCAGGGAGTAAAGGGAGACCCATGTTGGCAAAGCAGTGTGAGAGCAGGTGAGTGGGCCCAAAGAGTAGGGCCAGGTGTCATGCTCAGCACAGCCAGGTAGGGAATGTGCACAGAACACATTAATTCGGCTTCACAGACACTCCCATTCTCAGCATGTACCCCATGGAAATCCAGTCACCCCCTTTAAAAGTTGGCTCCTTCCATGGCCGGGTGCGGTGTTTCACCCCTGTAATCCCAGCACTTTGGGAGGCTGAGGTGGGTGGATCACCTGAGGTCAGGAGTTTGAGACCAGCCTGGCTAACATGGTGAAACCCCATCTCCACTAAAAATACAAAAATTAGCTGGGTGTGGTGGCGTGTGCCTGTAATCCCAGCTACTTGGGAGGCTGAGGCAGGAGAATCACTTGAACCTAGGAGGCAGAGGTTGCAGTGAGTCGAGATCACGCCATTGCAGTGAGCCGAGATCGCGCCATTGTACTCCAGCCAACAAGAGCAAAACTCTGTCTCAAAAAAAAAAAAAATTGGCTCCTTCCAGCTTTGAGATCCTGAGGCCAGCAGCCAGGGATCCTGCTCTCTGCTATATGTCAGTGTTCCAGCACAGTGCCTGCGCATAAGAGGCCCTCAGCAGTGTCTTCAAAGAAGGAACCCCTCTGTCCACACAAAAGAGGGGGAGAGTGGTCAGGGCACTGCAGAGGTTGGGGTTGGGTTTTCTGGTTGTCTTTCTAGCTTGTCTTTGTGCTGGAAAGCAAACCTGAGCTCCAGCCTCTCCCAGCCCCTCCTTTCTGTGGAATGCAGATCACCCCAGCTCTCCTGAAAGATTGGTACTCAGAGCCTTTGAGCAAGCCCTGGGAAAATGCAGAATCTCAGGCTGTAATTACGAGCTGGAGAAGATCCCTCCCCCAGCTATAAATGGAGCAGAACCAGGAACCCAAGACAGCTGGGCTCACACAAAGGCAGCCCCTTGCTTTCTTGCTTGCTCCTACTTTTCCCACTGAGCTTGGCCCTGGAGAAGCAAACCCCTAATTCCTCTGCTGGTCTGAGCAGGAAATTCCCGTCAGCTTGTGGGAGAGGCCATCTGAGAGAGATTTCAGCACATCCATCCCCCCCGAGATCCAGAACCGTATCAAGTCCTACCCCAGTCCCGCAGAGCAGCTTCTTCCTCCACAGCTTCTGAGCTGCACCGAAGCAGGCCTCCGCCAGCCTTTGCTACCCAAGGCTGATGTTGGGTTTTTAACACTCAGCCAAGTCATAGGGAAGAGTAAGATTTACAATAATTGGGTACATAGCATAGCTGACTGGGCTGCACAGTGTGGCTTTTGGTCAGTTCTGGCATTCTGGTGGGAAAGCTGCACTGAAGAGGCAGAGAAATGCCAGCCCAGATGGCAGACATGGTGCATTTAAAAAGGCAGTGTGGTATAGATCCTCGCTCCTATAAACGCGGGCCTGGAACCTGCAGCAGGAGCATCACCTGGGAGCTTGTTACAGAAGCAGAATCTCAGGCCCTACTGAATCAGAGAATGGGTTTTAACAAGCTGGCCAGCGGACACAGGCACATTCAAGCTTGAGGCAGAGTGGAGCACAGGAAAGAACATATGGGTGCGTTCATCCCAGCCTTGTGGATTCCTAATGCCAGCTTTGTCACTCAGTAGTATGTGACTTTAAGTTAAGCTCCCTCTCTGAGCTTCAGTTTCCTCCCCTTTACAGCAGAGATGATGTAACCTATTATAAAGGGCTGATGTGAGGCTCGACCTGGTACCAGCAGGCTCCTACCCTAGTCAATGTTAGCAGCACAGAGATGATTGCTCAGGGAACATCAAAATCCTTTATTTCCCCAAGGCAACTACCTAGGAGATGCAGCTTCAGTCCGTCCTCTTGCTATTTCACTTTTTTATTTTCTGGGGAGACTTGTAGTCCCCTGACCATGAATTTCAGAGCCAACAGTGGTAAGCTTTTCATTCTAGCTACCCCCGTGTGAAATTAAGATCCAGAGTGCCCCCAGAGGGACCAAGCTTTCTCATGTAGAATAGATCGCTATGGGTGAAGGAACTGAATGAATGCGGTCTGGCAGGGTCAGTTCTGGGGACAGGGGCATTCCAGGAAGAGGAGATACAACATGTAACTTTCATAATGGATAAATGGCTCCTTGGCGGTTCCCCACAAGTGAGTAGTATCGAGTCTGGATTTCATTTCTTTCACCGTCTGTGAGTTTCCTTGAGAGAGAGTAGGATTCTCTTGTCATGGGGATTGGAGTTTTAACCCACTTTTCTTTGTTTGGTGTTGGTGTGTTCTGTCATTACAGTCCCCTACTGCTTTCCCAAGCTAATGTAATGGAACACAGGGATGGACAAGCCACGAGGGTCTGCAGGGACCTCAATGTCTCCATAAATGCTGGGCTGATTTTGCAAAGCTGCTTTCCCAACGGGGCTTGGCTAAAGCTGCTTTTCAAATTAGTTTTGTAGAGGAAAGGAGGGCAGGTCAGCTCCCAGGTACCAGTTGGGTGACCTGGGGCGAGTCCCTTAACCTCTCTAAGCCTCAGTTTCCTCCTAGGATGATAATGCTAATACGAGAATCTCCTTGAAGACAGCCATGCATGTCTCCACCCATTCTGGGGATAACAGAATTACTGGCGGATTAAGTAACGTGATACTTACAAGGAACATGGTACAGAGAGTGGAATATGGTCAATAAATGGTAGCTGCCATTTTTGTAGTCATTAGAAGAGGCGAGCCTTGAACGACTAGCCTCTGTTGAAAATTACAAACAAGAGAGTGGCCTACATTTGCAAACAGTGAGCATAGCCACCCATTCCTGTTAGGGTCAGCAACTGACCCTCCCTTCCCCCGCCTTCACTTTTTTTTCTTTAGCTGCAGGAGTTGAGACATGTGGCTCACCAGGCTACCTCAGTGAGTTAAAGCTTTAAATAAATACACACTCAAAACGGCTATCACATCACTGCCCCCATGACTGCCACAAGCCCCTCCCGACCTGGGAACGTCTCTTCCTCCCTCTCCCTTTCTCTGCTGCTAGAGGCCAGGCCTTGGCTGAGCCCTGGAGAGGGTATCTCCTTTGCACGTATGCTGGTCCCAGGGGCCCTGCACAGGGCAGATGAGGGTAGTCCTGATCCTGTACAGACTCTCCTCTTCCTGGGTTTGTTAGAAGCCTGGCCAGGCCCCTAGTCTTATGACTTCAACAGATGTTTCTGCTTAAGGAGCCCTGGCATCTTTATGGCCTGTTTTTTCCATTCTTGCCTCTCTTCCTCTGTCCCAGCAGCCCTGAATGCAATTTGGACTTTATTTTCTTTCTAATGGTTACAGGGATAGAAAGGGCTTTTTCCCCCCCATTTTCAGTTTTTGGCTTTTTCATTAGCTCATCAAGCTGGGTATGTCTGTGTTAGCTCACACAGACATATTCACACACGAACACACACATTCCATATGCATTCAGATCTGTACCCATGGTGTGTATTTCTTAATGTTGCACTGACATTTATTGCCACTTCAGACCCAGCCCATTTCAAAGCCTTCCTCCCTGCCTCCACCCCACACTTCACATTCATCCTCTGCCTAGCCTCACACAGGTCACCCTGAGCAGCCGACTGGGGTGTCACCCAGATGCTGATTCCAAAAACTAGTGCTGGCCTCGGCCTCCAGCAAGATGTGTAGAGCCTCAGTAACTCACCAGTCTGCCTCTGTGCTTCCAAGGAGTCTTGGGCTGACTGATGGAGTGAGAGCTGAGACTGCATTTGCCATGCATCTCTTCAAGCTCTGCCTGGCCAGCCAGTCTACCCAGGCTCAGGGGGCCAAGTTGACAGCTGTTAAAAAAAAGAACCAGTTTTCCATGAGCAGGCTTGAAACCAGTCTGGCCACCCCTTGGATCTACACCTGTAACTGCCCCCAGCTTGCCAGCATGGCAGGGTGTTCCCAGTCACCTCCCCCGCAGCGTTGGGGGTTGCCTGTCCCATCAGTCTGGTTCCCAGAGCAAAGGAAACCTGGCGATGTCAGGTCTTCAGCTTTTAGTCTATCTATGGCAAAGGTGCCTGGGGCTGGGACCTCTTTATTACCTCCTAAGCCTGAGGACTGGAACTGAACTTCTCACTGCAGGTATAAATAAATCTACCTGGAATCTTAAATGTTGATACCACCTGGCTGCCTTACCTGAAGTTAGACCCATTACCCACAAGAGGCCATCTAACCTCAAATTCTCTGTGTCTCTGCAGCCCTTCTTCCTAGGAGGGCAATGATGCCGAATCACCTGTTATGGCATTTTCATAATTCAGCTAACCATTCACTACTCTATCTGCCCATGATCCACCCAATGCTGACCATGGGTGGCGGGGCAGAGTGGCCTCTCTAGAATGTCTCCTCTTTAACACCCTCACCATGGAGGGGCCTTTATAGATGGCCCCATGAAGTTCTCACTAGGCGACTGCTCCTACCTGAGATGGGCCAGGCAGCCATGGACCCCTCCCCTCCCCTCCGGTTCCTGCCCTGCCCAACCTCATTCTGATGGTTTGGCCTTGTGCATCTCACTAGTGACTCTTTTCTTCCCTCCTTCCTATTTAAACAAATTAAAACTCCAGTTTTTCTTCATTTATGTTTTGGTGGCTGAGGTGGAGCATCTTTTCCCCAGTGGGTTAAGAGAGGCTGGTTGGAGAAGACAGCAACAGGAGAGTGAGTTGGGTCCCCAGTGGCATAGTGACATACACAGGGACAGTGGGAAATGGAAGCTGGAAGAAGTCCCAGAAGTAGGAGCAAGAAGAGTGACTGTCCTCCATGCTGGGTTCTGCCAGGGACTCTGGATGCGCTGAACAACAGCCATCCTAGAGATTTGAGGACACCTCTTCTGTTTGCTTTACTCATCACAGATTCATGAATAAAGACAAACAGGGGAGCCACCTCATTGGCTTTTCCATCTCTAAATAAATCCCTTCTGAATACACACCCCCAATGTGGATGCTATGGATGCTTCTCAAGAAACAACCATATGATGCTATGATAATCGATATCCTTCCAATGACTCAAATCAAATCAACTTGAGGAGCCTGATGGGTCTGATGCTCTTCTTCCCTGGGCCTCTGCACCTTTCCAGAGCCAGGCCCCCTGTGTGTGTGTGGCCGGTGGCGTGGGGGAGTTGCTTCTTTTCATTTTTGTGAGTGAAAATGAAAGGGTTCCCCACAACCAGCTGCAACAAGGATCTCTCACCCTGTTGCTAAGGAGTGGTGGGGTCCTGCTACCATGTGGTGCTCTGGCAGGCCTGGGGAGATCTTTAGGGATCTGGAGCAGCCACTGGATGTGCAGTCCTGAGCCCCTGGGATGTGGAAGTGATTGGCCGGCCACCTGGATGGGCCTCACAGTCCTACTGTCACTCCTCTTCTCTCCTTTCACTTCTGGATCCTGCTAGAGAAATGGAGCCCGGGGAAACTGTCTCACCACCTAGGACTGTGTGGAGCTGGGCACACACTCAGGAGGCAGGTGACTTCCAGGTAGTCAAAGAGAAGCTCACACTCCCTGTCCTCTGATAGTCCTACTCCCTGAAGGATCTGGTCAAGCCATTCCTTCCAGATGGCCGTGATACTGTGTCCCCTCAGTATTAGGAGGGGGGGAATTGATGCTTTCCATGAATGAAAGCTCCTAAACCCCCTCCCCCGCAGCTAGGGCTGATGGGGAATGGCTAAACCCCAGATGTCTTCATTGCACCATAAATGTGAGCAGGGAGGTACAAAGGGGTAGGCAATGATGTGTGTGTGTGTGTGTGTGTGTGTGTGTGTGTATGTGTGTGTATCAAAGAGAGGAGTCTGTCACAGGAAAAATACTGAGTGGCCCCAAATGTTGTAAGCGTATGCACCCCAGTTTTACAATAATAACAATCATAATACTAATAATTTTGCTATCATTTGTTGAGATCTTTTTCTGGGCCAGGTACGGTACTTTGCACATATTATCTCATAATTCTCAAAATCTCTGTGAGGTACAAGTATCACTATGCAACTTTTCAAATGAGAAAGCGAGCATGGAAAAAAAGTTGGTTCAATTGCCAAAGATCATAGATCTGAGAAGTGGCAGGGCCAGGATTAGAATGCTAGAGCTCAAAGTTCTTCTGCCACGTATCATAGAAGCGACCACTACATCGATAATGGTAACTGCCAACCCTCACTGTTCACTGGCCACATGCCAGACACATAGATTCACTTAATTCATTCTTACAAAACTCTGGATGTATTCTTATTGCCTCATTGTATAGATGAGGAAACTGAGGCACAGAGCATTTTGGCATTGATTCCCTTCGGCAAATGTGATTTGAACAGCTCCTATGTGTGTGCAGGGCACCGTGCTCTTGGCTCTGCGTGGGATATGGGACTGAGTGATACGTCATTCTTATGGTCTGAGATCAGGAAGGTCCATGGCCATGGCCATCAGAATGGGCTCAGGGTGGGATTCCAGAACTTGAAATGAGGGACCTTGCATCCTAGGGTATGCTAGAAAGTGGAACATACCAGGTCTCTAGAGAAGGAACCTAGGCACAGAAGCAAGACAGAGTCCTGTTGTCAGACTGAGGCACCAGGTCAGAACTGGGCCAGCAGCAAGGGCTGGCGGAACTGGAACTGATTTATTCCCGCCTGCAGCATGGCCTCGAGGGCAGGGCTCCAGAGCTAGGCTGCTAAGTTCAGATCTTCCATTCTTTAGCTGTGAGACCGTGGGCAAGTTAATGAACCTCTCTGGGTTTCAGTAGCCTCGTCTAGAAAACAGGAATCATAACTGCCCACCTCATGGAATTGTTCTAAGGACTAAATGAGTTAATATGTGAGAGGCTCTTGGAACAGGGCCAGGCCCATGATGGGCTCTCTGGTGGGCTCTCAAGCTCTCGCCAGCCGATGATCATTGGGCCCTTTGATGCTGAGTGGGCAGAAGCTGCAGGTAGGGGACAAGTTGTCCCAGTGGCAAACAGAAGAAAATTGTAGTAGGAACTGATTAGGGCCTGTCTCTGTAGGTGGTTTGATGGGGAGGGAGAGATGAAATCCAATGGGACAAGAGGGAATTCACATCATTAGTATAAAAGGTTGGCAAATGGGCATGGGACCCTTCCTTCTTAGTCTCCAGAGGCCAAGATGCAGGTGCCTGGCACCTGGGCTGGCTGAAAGTGGGGAATGTATCAGGGCTGGCATTTATAGTGATGCCACTATTGTCTAATTATGGGCACAAAGAGAGGCTCCCACTGTCTGTGCAGCCCCTCAAATCACCCAGGGAAGAAATATTGGTCTATTCCCAGCATTCCCTCTGTCAACTCCCCAACCTCAGTCTCTGGCTTGGAAGAAAGACGGCTGGGAAGGGGGATGGAAGGCAGCCATGCTCTGTTGCAGTAAATCTTTCCTAGAAGAGGAGACAGCTGAGCTCATCAGCCAGTGTCGGATCAGCTCAGAAAGAATCCTTTCCAACTCCCAGAAGACCCCTCAGCGGCTTGGGAAAGGAATGGCTCACTGGGGCACTTTGTTTGTGTATGTGGGCCTGTCAGGCTGGGCAGGGGTGTCTGATGACACATTAGGACAGCTGAAAAGAGAGGTGGGACAAAAATGTTTGCCCAAGGGCAGTCTTGTGATTCCCCCACCCCCCGTGCTCCCCACCCCCACACGCCTTTGAGAGCTTGTTCCAGGACTTTTCATATGCATTTGAGACCACAATTTCCTCTCCCAGAAACCCCATTAAGCTATGAGTGAGTGAGGCGGTGGGGGAGAGAGAGAGGAAAAGGAAAAGAGAGACAGAGCAAGAGAGAGAGTTTGTGTGTGCACACACGAATACTTCTTCCCCACCCGCATTCTTTTGCACATGTCTACCGTTATGTACATTCCTATGCCATACCCCTTGAACTCTCCATCAGGTCTTCCTCAACCATCCTCTTCAGGAAGCCTCAGGGCCTCAGAGAAAGGCAAAAGGGCCTAGACTTTGACTTCCTTTTTTTTCTCTCTCTCTTAGAGACAACATTTTGCTCTGTCACCCAAGCTGAACTGAACTGGGCTCCAGAAATCCTCCCACCTCAGCCTCCTGAGCAGCTAGGACTACAGATGTGCCACCATACCCAGCTAATTTTTTAATTTTTTGTAGAGGTGGGGTCTCATTATGTTGCCCAAGCTGATCTCAAACTCCTGGCTTCAAGAGATCCACCCACCTCAGCCTCCCAAAGCGCTAGGATTACAAGTATGAGACTTTGCCATTCCAATGAGAATTTTGTCCTTAGCAATCTCATCCAATGGCCACTGGAGATGTGTGTAGGGCCACAAGAATGAGAAAGGGGGCAATGGAGTGACAGGTGACCTGCTCAGGTGCCCCTCCCCAGACCAAATGTCCCAGGCACACAGCCCATGCCCTCCACCATGGAGTACATTTTCTCCCTGGCTTGCTGCTGAGCTAAAGGACCAGGGACGTGGAAACAGGAGGTGAACTAAGGCACCCCGCCACCCACTGTGGCAGCTTGAATTTCTTGAGGCTGAGACAAACTAGGATCCAGTAGCCTAGATTTTGCCCCAGTTTCTCCACTGAGTATTTACTCAGTGCTCCTGAGCCGATGCCTTCCCCTCTGCCTAGATGAACCACAGCATTTTGGTAAATGCCTCAGCATGTTAGGAGCGCTGGAACGTTTATTCTCTTCCCT
The DNA here is from genome assembly GCF_000001405.40 of Homo sapiens. Lineage (NCBI taxonomy): Eukaryota > Metazoa > Chordata > Mammalia > Primates > Hominidae > Homo > Homo sapiens. The sequence goes on from NC_000014.9 coordinate 68,595,161, forward strand.
CCCAATTATCCACTCTAATGGAGCAGAACACTTACATGGAAAATCCTAAACATGGAAGATGATTTAAAAATGATTCACCCTGGAATACATGCTTCCAGTTGCTTCTACAGGTTTACCTTGCTAAAGGCATTTCGCTTCCTTTGCTGTTACAATAAGCTTGCCTGCCTTGAAGAAAAGAAGACCAGGGCCAAAGGGAAATCAGTCAAGGGAGCCTGTTTTGTCTGAAATAATGCATCCATGAACAAATGAATTGAGTATAACTGTCTTTTTACATCAGTGTTTCTGTGGAATTAAGAGAACATCCAAGGCCACTCCTAGCTTGAGTAGATTAAATTTGTCCTTGTGTTTGGAGCAAGGGTTGTGAAGTCTGTCTGGCCCATCAAATGACCAATGGCTTTTAAGGAAGGACTAAGTGACTTATGACCAGAACAAGGGAGCAGCCTGAGTCAGTCTCCCCAATGTCTACATTGTGTTATTTATACTAGCAAAAAAATAGACACAACTAAATGTTCGACCATATGGTATTGGTTAAATTAACATCTATACGATGGAATACTAGATGGTCATTAAAATTATGTGTCAGAAGAAGGCTTAATCTCATGGGAAAGTGTTCACACCATATTATTAAAGAGAAAAAACAGATTATAAAGCAATATGCATACAATGTAGTAGTTCTGTAAGAAAAAAGTATTATGTGCATTTTAACTGGAAAAATATGTATAAAAATGTTAACAGTGCAATCTCTGGGCAATAAGATTATACTTGACTTTTATTTCTTTTTTGGAATTGTCTTTTTTTTTTTTTTTTCAAGTTTCCTCCCATTAACATGCATGTTCCCAAAATCAGGGGAAAAATACATTAAGAAAAAAAGATTATCTGAGAGACCAGCAGATGTGTTTCCTGTTTCTTATCCCATGTCTATTCTCCATTTTATATTGGAGATTCAAATTCTTCAGCCCTTTCCACAACAGACACTTCTGGGGCAAGAGGCACAGAATATCTGATATCCTAAACAACACCACCAGGGTGAATTTCTCACTGACAGTAACAGCTTTGGAAAGGTTTTGTTTCTACCTGGCGCTGGGAATTAATCGTACCCAAACTTTTTTTTTTCTAATCAGTAATGAGCATCTCCAAGGGGGTCCTAGAAGGGTTCCAGGGGTTCATGGAGGACAATTATAAACCTTGACAGCTGCTCGGTGGGTTTTCAACCATGGGGGTGATTCATCCCTTCTCGTAAGCCTTTTCATAGCACCCTACGCTCAGAGTTTTGAAAATGTGACAAAAAAGAAAGGGGCTGGGGAGAACAATGGCCCTTCTCCTTTTATGGAAGGATGATGAAGGGAATTGGGAAGAGCAAAACTAAGGGACTAAGACAATTCAGCTTTTTTTTGTCTGGCTCATAGGACCGTGTTCCCCATAGAGTAATGCCCAATGAGTGGACGAAGGGAGTAATAAATGAGTTCATAGAAGGAAACAGCTGGGCTGCTGTAAAAGCTCCTGCAAAACAGATAGGCCTGGCACACGCCATTTCTGTCACAGGTTTTAAAGAACCTATCTAGCTTTCAGCTACTCCTCATCACCATCTCCTACAGAAGCAGAGTCAAGATCATGTCTCTTCCCATCGTAAGGAAACAGCACTGCGAATGTTCCAGCTGTCCTGAAGTCACTAATCCCGTCAGGGGCAGACATTGGCAACACACCCAGAAGGTGGTGGGGAGTGCAGCTGTCCTCCTGGCCGACTGTTCCAGCCGGTCACCTCTGCTGCTCCAAGGGTGCCACGTTACCTAATTCTGGTTCACGGTGAGATGGCGGCTTTTCTCGGCCAGCTTGTCCTTAGAAAATTCGTTCCCTTGTTGTATTGGAAAATTCCTCTTGTGCCTGTCATTGCACACATCAGGAGACCAAGGTTTCCATTTTCTCAGAAGAAATTAGCCAGCTACTGTCATTGACATGAAGCCTGTTCCTGGAATTTTTTACTCCTCCTCTTAAAGGCATATTCTGGAAGAGGCAATCTGAGAATGGGGCCCGTGCTCTCCTACAGCAGAGAAATAAACTGAGGCTAGGCCAGGAGCTGTGCACCGTCTGGGGGAACCATACCCAGTGGGGAGTGGCCAGATCAGTCCCAACACTGAAATTGTTTACTGTCATCCACTCCTGGTTGTTAGGGGACATTGAGGATGACAGGATAGAGAGTAGGGAAGGAAGGACCAGCCAAGGAACATTTTCCCTATAAAATGAGACTCCCACCCTACTCCTGCCCTTGTTAAGACTTCATACACTATGGAATACTATGCAGCCATAAAAAGAACAAGATCGTGTCTCTTGTAGGAACATGGTTGGAGCTGGAGGCCATTATCCTTAAGAAACTAATGCAAGAACAGAAAACCAAATACCACATGTTCTTACTTGTAAGTGGGAGTTAAATGGTAAGAACTTATGAACACAAAGAAGGAAACATCAAACACTAGGGTCTACTCATGGGTGGAGGGAGAAGAGGAGGGAGAGGAGCAGAAAAGATAACTATTGGGTACTGGGCTTAATACCTGGGTGATGAAATACTCTGTTCAGCAAACCCCTGTAACACAAGTTTACCTATGTAACAAACCTTCACATGTACCCTCCAAACCTAAAATACAAGTTAAAAAAAAAAAAAAGGACACAGATGTAAATTGACCCTGATGGAGAGAACTCTACTCTATCCTTGCCAGGTCACAAGAAGGTGAGATATTTACTTTTCAAATGATTGATGCTGAAATGGAAAGGACTGTATCTCGGGGGCACAAACCCAACAGAGTAAATGAAGATCCTACTGCTTCAGCTCCTGGGATTTGTTAAAGTGGGGACCAGCTTAGAAAAATAGACGGCCGTCCTAGAGACCCATGGCAGTCTCGGTCTGATTTTAAATCTAAATTCTCAAGTACAAGTAGCTTCCCAAGAAGAGAAAGCTACTTCTACATAAAGAGGTGGTATCAGTAGGAACTCCTTAAGCCTTACCTTTTTATTATTGATGATGATGAAGTGAAGCTTCCTGTTGATATCATTGTCAGACCAAGCACAGCACACCAACTCAAACCTCATTCATTCATTCATTCATTCATGTGTCCTTTTAACAGACGTCTACTAGACACCTTGTGTGTCCATGAACCAAATACCATGCTTAAGACCAAGGATTCAGAAATGTGTTAGCTGTCATTCCCCCTCCAGGAACTCTCAGCCAGGAGGAGATGTACTCAGGGAAAAGGAGAAATCACAGTATAACCATTGTAAAATCCTTTCTGATAAAATCGCAGAGTGTCTAATACTCCTGTTCCACATACATAAAAAGAAACTAAAGTGTAGAGAAGGGAGGAAAGTCCCGAATTTAGTGTGTAGCAGATCCAGGAGTAAAACAAGCATTCCTCGGTCTGGGGTAAATCCCACCGGGACTGTGTTGAGACCCAAATTCCTCTGAGTCCACGGGCCCCTTCAAGTCAGATGAAATTCCAAACAAGCCAGAGCCTAGCTGAACAGTTCCACGGTGCCGGGCTCCAGTGTGTTCTGGAAGGTTCTCGTGGGCTGTGCCTCCAGAAGACGGAGGCGGGGAGGAGCCCCACAGGCCCAGGGCAGTGTCAGGTTCCCCCTTTTCTGTCAGCAGGCATGGAAGAGCCTTTAAGAAAATGGAGTATTATTATTATTTGTTTGTTTTTACAGTGACTCAGTCTGTAGTAACTGGGTTAAAGTCCGCTTTGAGAAAAGGAGAACAAAAGACCTCCTGTTAGTGCTGGAAGTTTGCCTCTTAAGATATCACTGAGAGGAACTGGGAAGAAAAAAAATCCCCAGCAGGGCAGAGGAAGCTGCAGGCCTTCAGGAACACAGCAGCACTTTGGAAAGGAAAACACGGCCGACTTTCATCTCCTGCGCCGTATCTGAGCTGGCCGCTCCCTTTGCCGCTGCTTTATGGCCCACTGCGGTGCTGACCGTCGGACATCGGCCAGTACCCTATTCCCACACTCTTTGAACACAGGGGGCTGCCAGGAGTGGTGGTAGTGTGGGCATATCTCCATAGCCAACCAACCCCAGGCTGAGGAGGAGGGAAAGGATGTTGCCATACGAAACATACTACGTGCTGGACGTTATTCTAACATTACATATCATAACTCATTTCGTAAACACCAAGGAGGCTAGCATCCTCCTTCTCCAGCCACAGCAGAAGTTGCGCAAGGTGGAAATCTGGCCCTGCCCTGTTTAGGAAACTCATTGCAAGTAGAGGAACCGTGGGGTGAGTAGGCTCCCAAATGGGTAGGACCAGATTGCTAGGTGGTCTCTTCCAGGTTGCAGACTCAGGCCATCTGACTCTAAGACCTAAGAACTTAATCCTACTCTCTTCAAATGAAAACAGAAAGTCAGAGGAAGACAAGAAAGTTTTTCTTCTCACGACCTCCCATCAGATCCGCCCCATCTACATTAAACTTGTACCCGTGTCCTTCATCAATCAGCTCAGTGGAAATGTTATTCTCACCCTTGGCCACCCAGATCAGGAAATCGGTCTGGACCATGAGTGACATGCTGGTGTTGGCCTTCTTCACCATAACTATAAGAAGCTGGAATGTTCCCCTCCAAGGCTATGAAAGAAGGATGGAGACAAGAAGGAAAAGACAGAAATTCTGTGAAAGTCTCAGGTCCTTCCTCCTTTCGGAACCACTTCACATAATCCTCTTCCTCCCCAGGGGCTCCCGAAAGATTAGGCTTCACTTGCAGGTCCCAGGCCCTGGTCCTGCAGAGTGGTTGGGCCTTTGGGGTCTCTCAGAGAGCCTAATCATTCTGTTTTCTGAACAAGTCATAGTTTTGCTGACTTCTGACCAAACCCCCATCGAAACCCAAGAGTGGAAGTGTGATTGTGGTCATCTATACCCTGTCCCCCTACAGGACTCCCTGTCCCACGGGATGCAGCAGGCAGGTGTGGGAAAGCCTACCTGATGGCCGAGATCATTAAGCAGCGGCCCTCTGATTTTCTGTACAGCTACTCAGTGACTTGGAAGGGATTCTTTGCACTAACAAGCAGTGCCTCCACAAACAATGAGTTGAGGGGAAAGACTCAAAAGAGGCCGATACAATGCTGTTTGGGATGTTTCTCCCTTTGGCTGGCCTCAGGGGACTGGGCCCGTCATGTAATCACTGGAGATTTAGGGCCTAATTAAACTCTGGCATTGGGCCAGCATGCTGGTGGCCCCTTGAGTTTCCCATGTCCACCCATGTCTAGGGTATTAAACTCTAGACTGGGAGTGTGTACTGCTTAACTGATCCCACAGGAGCCAGCCCTCATTATCCAACAGGCTGGGTATTGGCAGCCCACAGGGCTCGGCATTGGCAGGTGCAGTCCTGGGGAGGACTGCATGCCTTTAGGTTAACGGTCCCTACATCAGCACCCGCTGGGGCCACAGTAGAGGGCTTTGTGGATCACCTCTGCCATTGGGACCCCTGGCATTTCCTTCCTTTCATGGCCTGATAAAACCCAAGCTCTGAGAGTTAGCAAACTGATACCCTTTAATCATGCCTTATATTTATAAAGGCCTTTGTCCAGAGAACTCCAAGTGCTCAAAAATGTCAATTAATTCACTCTCCCAGCCTCCTTTAGGGAAAAGCTGGTGGCAGGTGTCATCATCATCACCAGAGGTGGCCAAATCATCTTCTTAGTGGGCTGTCCTGGATATTCTTTGTGTTTAAAGAGCATTTTGCTTCTGAGCACATGGTTGGGTTTTGCACAGCCTGAAGCATAAGAATTGAGGTATTTCCTTACTTTACAGCTCTAGAGAATTCTTGTGTGTGGGTACCCGTGAAACACAAACTGAGTGCATGCTTTCTTGAGTTTGGAAATTTTGTTATTGTTTGGTCTCAGCATTTGCTGGTAGTAAATAAGTAAGCAGAAGTAAGCTGCTTAAGTTCCCATGTAGTCCAAGACAGAGCAGACAAAAGACCTGATCCCCAAGCCCCACACCTGGCCCCAAGATCCCTCTGGGATTATCTTGCGGCCACTCTCTGAAGCCTTGGACCCTGTAGTTGATCTCATAGCCACGTCTCACCAGTAACTTTTTTTTTGGTGGGGGGGTGGGTCCTGGCAAGAGATGGGTGATGTAGGAATGGCCTAGCTGCAGAAGGAGGACAGCCAGGTAGGACATCTGCCTGGCTCACCTCCTTCCTGGCCACAGACTAGCTTTGTGACCTTGGTTGGCAGCGTCATTTTCATGTCGGCTATAGTTTCCATGCCTATAAACAGAATGATGATACCTGCCACCAACTTTTCCCTAAAGGGGGCTGGGAGAGTGCATTAATTAATGTTTTTGAGCACTTGGAGTTCTTTGGAGAAAGGCCTTTATAAATATAAGGCATGATTAAAGGATATCAGTTTGCTAACTCTCAGAGGAAGTACTTAATGGGATCAGGCCTGCATATGTTGATGACTGAGTTTCATTCTTCATTCAGATCTGCACAGGGCTCCCATCACTCAGCTCTGCCGCCATTCATGTAGTATTCTTCTGTTCTTTCATTTCTATATACTCATAGTAGGGGGCCCACAAATGCTGCCCTCCACATGCAGGCCCACTACCTCCCCTCCCTCTTGTCAAACCCAATGGCTTTTCCTCACTCTGCATTTTCCTTGTCCTTTCTGGAACATGACACTGGTCACTACCCCTCCTCACCCTTGAAAGTCTTATTCTGTCATTCCCACAAGCCCAACAGGTCTAAACTGAAGTCATCATTGACCCCAAACCAATTCCCATCATTACTGCCCTATTTCTCTTCACCATTCTCATGGGCCTGGATTCCAGGTCTTCCTCTCCACTGCCACCCCCTCTGTGCAAGCCTTATTGTCCCAACCTGCTTGGTCCTTTGAAAAGCCCATCCCTGGGCAGAAATGGGATGTGTATGTCCCTAAACTGCCCCCAAAGACCTCTCTGCACTGTATTTGACCTCTGGCCCTCCTGTTCCCTAACTGGCCTTGGTCTCCTGCTCCCTTCCGTGGGCCGCTCCAGCTCTTCCCACCATGTGACCTGCCTTCCTGCTTGTCCACCTTCCTGTCTGGTCCCCAGACTCAGTTTCTACTCTCCCTCCCAGCAAGCTGGGACACACAAACATAGACATATGTTATGTTCACACAAACATAGACATATGTTCACATACCCCTCCCAGCATCCTGACTGGCCCAGCTGACCTCCCTCACCCACTCTGAATAACCAGCTCTCCCTCCTCCTGCCTTTGTCCAGTCCCATCTCTATTACTCAGGGCTCTCCAGAGAAACAGAACCAACAGGGTTGGATGCGGATAGATGGGTGGGTGGGTGGATGGATGATGGATGGATGGATAGCTAGATAGATAGCTAGCTAGATAGATAGATAGATAGATAGATAATACATGATAGGTTGATATTAGATGATAGAAAAGCAAATAGAGTTTAAGAAATTGGTTTATGCAATTGTGGAGGCTGGCAAATCTGAAATCTGACCTCAGTCTCTTCTCTTAAGGCCTTTGACTGATTGGACAAGGCCCACCCACGTTGCGGAAGGTAATTTGATTACTCAAAGTCTACTGATGGAAATGTTAATGTCATCTAAAGAATACCTTCACAGCAACACCTAGCCTAATATTTGACGAGATATCCGGGTACTATGACCTAGGCAAGTCAACACATAACATTACCCATCATGCTTTTCATCTGGTCAGCAGTGCTCGTATAAATCTCCTGAAACATTGCTCTCACCACAATGCTTCCCTGCTCCAAAACCTAAACACCCATATGCCTGACATGCAATAGGGACAGGTACATATTTGTTGAGTGAATAAATAATGAGGAGCCTTTGGGATGGGCTACACTCTGCTCAATGCAGCAAACCATTTTGAGGGCCTAATGTCTGGAGCTGAGGATATGACTATCAAAGCTGCCCTTACGTGTTCCTCTCCTCTCCCTCTAGTGTCTCAAGGCCAGAGTCCGAACCTCAGACATCTCTAATCCCCCATAGTACCCAATGGAGTGCCTTATATGGATTAGGCCCTCAATCACTTGTGGGTTAATTTTATTCTCTTTATTGATCCCTATATCAAATTTACCTGAAATATTATAGGTTTTTAGGGCGTCACTTATGAAATCATAAACTGTAGTGCCAAATCTGCTTCCACTTTTGTTTTTAAGGCACACATGCAAAGAGCTATTTCCACAATCAGGAAGGGTGGAAATAGCTCAGAACACTGACAGTGGTCTGTAGGGATGGGTGGCTTCTATGGGATTTTTTATACTTTTCTGTGTCTTCCAAATTGTCCTCTGTGACCACGTGTTGCTTTTACAACCATAAAACATGTTATCTGTTTTTTTCATTTATCTTTTCGATTTGGGGGTCTGTTCTCAGCTCTTTTTTGGGGTCCCCATCATGCCTCCTGGCTTCCTTTTGAAAATAAGGCAACCCGAGACTTCCTTGTAAAAGTCTGTGAGGTCATAAAAGGCCAAGTTAACTGCAAATGGTTGTTCTGTTTTAATTCTGTTGAAGTGTCAGGTAACATGGACTTATAATAAAAGCACTTGGGGAGTTAATGATTACTGCTGTTGTCAAGCTGTCCCAAAGACAGAGAGGGAGCCTGCACACGCCGCGTCTCGCCTTGGGCCGCTCCTTCAGTGTATCCAGCCCTGCGGCCGCGCTGGCCCCCTGTCCGCATGCTGTCAGGCTACCTCCGTGCCAGACGACCAACACCCAGCCACAGTGGAAATGACTGTTCCTTCAACTTTCTTCAGCCCCTGCCTGCTGGGGTCTCCGGAGGGAAGCGTTCACTCTAGCCCAAATGAAACAGAGCTCCAGAAAAACCACAGTGGAGGCCACAGCGGCCTCAGGCCCTGAACTTTGTATTTCTTAGCCCGCCAGGATTGCTGGCTGCTGGGTGTCATGTAACTCCCAAAAATGTGAAGGGAAAACCAAAGAGCCTGAGAAGCGCAGACGTCTCCTGGCTGGGGAGTCCGTCTAGAAAGTCGCCTTTCATGGTGAGGCCAGGTGCACGCGAGAGTGGCTGGAGAAGGTGGGGTGAGCCCAGAACAGGGAGGCCCGGCCCACTCCCAGGCTGAAACTCCGAGAAACTCCCCCTGCACAAGGCCACGCCAATGAAGTCCCCTTCCTTCTGGAAAGGGTCCTACACAAATTGCTAGGGTTTCCAGTGTGATATTTGACAAGTGCAAAGGGCTGGAAATATTCTAGAGATTTTTCAGCTTCGTACAATTATCGGTGGCCACTGAGCCCATCTCACCTCCTGTGGTGTCCCGCCAGTGGCTGCACCAGCCAGGCGGGGCTGCCTTTTGTCCCTGATCCTGTCAGCCCTCCAGTAAAGTGTGCTTAACCAGGTGCCCCAGGAGAGCAGGGGGCCAGCTCCATGTCCTCATGGGTGTGCAGCCCCTCAGCCCTTCCTCGGCCCTGCCCATTAACAGCTGTGACCGCAGAAAATGCCCCAGCGGCAGCGCCATGGTCCCCAGGGCTGCCCTCCTGCCTCCCTCTAAGTCATCGAAGGTCAAGGTTGGAGAAATCTTAGTGCCCATGGGCCCTCCTCCTCACTGAGGAGCAGAGCACTGGCTCAGGCTCACTGAGGACAGGGCCACGCTGCTCTGGTCTCATGTACTTTTGTATTCTGGGAGCCTAGCACTCAGGGCTCCCTGAGTGAGTGAATGAATGAGTGAGTGAACTAGCTCCTGTGTTCTCGTCTTTTCTTCGGAGAGTGACACTTTGGACAGGTCATGTTTACTCCATCCCCTCAGCTTTTCAGTAAAACGAGCCCACCAGTGTTCATTTCCTTCATATAACTGCTGGCATCAAGCCAGCAACCTTGTGGCTCCTCAGACGCCCACCGGTGTGGCCCAGGCGGTGCTGCAGCCTCCCTCGCTCCAGCCCTCAAGGGAGGCCTCACTGACATCAGCCTCTGCATTAGTTTCTTATAAGGCTGACTTGGTCAAGTTTTACTTAAAATAACAGAAATGCACTCTTTCACATTTCTGGATCCGAGAAGTCCAAAATCAAGGTGTCACAGCAGGGCGGGTTCCTTCTCGATGCACTGAGGGAGAGCCTGTGTTATATGTAAAATATTTGTTTAGAAACAGAATGCTCGTTCCCTGGTGCTGCAAAGAAATAGCACTCAAACATAAATTTAATTCTCTCAGCAAGGCCATTTTTACTTTCTGCAGAAAGGGTGCTCATCGCAGATGGAACAATGGTGAGAGTACACTCGAACAAAGGAGGGAATCAATTTTTATTCCTTACACAGTTTGTCCCTGCTACTGTGTCTTGTCTCCATTGGCTGGAGCCAGACATGACAATCTAAACTAAAACCCGACTGGCTAACAGTTTAACAAGAAGGGAAACTTTGGAGAGGAACTTTTACTTTCTACAGCCTGTCCCAGGCCTCCTCTAGCCCCTGGTGTGCTTGGGCGTGCACCTCCATCTGCACATGTGCTCTCTCTCTCTTCTCATAAGGACAGTAGTCAGATTGGACGAAGGGCCTACCCCACTCCTGTGTCTTAACTAATTACATCTACAGCGACCCTATTTCCAAATAAGGTCACGTTCTGAGGCTCTGGAAAGGACATGAATTTGGGGGGACACTATCCAACACAGTACAGCCTTCCTGCCCCCCTGCAAAGTTTCGTCTTGCTCTCCACCCGCCCCTAACCTCTGCACCCTTTCTTTAGCTGGGGGTGGGCTTCTGGAATGCAGTCTCATTCGCCCACTAGTCTAAGTGTGGTTGGTAGGTAGAGGGTAGGGGACACGCTGTCTGTGCCACCGTTTCCCGCCAGGGACATAGACACTCTCAGGATCCCTGAACTCTGAAGTCTAAACTGTCAGTCAGCGTCCCCAGCGGAAGCTGCACTTGAGAATCACCCGGGAGCTTTTAAAACACAGTGTGCCCTAACCACACTCCCAGGAACTCTGGTGCACTTGGGCCGGGTGGGACTCTGGCATGAGTATTGTTTGAAAGTTCATCAGGTGATTCTAAGGTGCAGCCTAGGACCGGAACAACTGTGTAAGATGCTGTGAAAACAGCTCCATCTCACCTTCACCAGGAATATGAGCAGCTCACTGCCTAGTGAGGCTCGAATACCCATTAGGAAGAGCCAAGCCAGGCTTCTTAGGGTGGGTTCCCTGGCAACACTTCCCAAACTCTCCCACCAAGCTCCCAGGAGGCAGGAGGGAGCAAACACATACTCTGCAGAACCGGAAACAGATGGCAGCAAGCACCACGTGTCCTTGAAGTTTTCTGGTTTTGCTTTTAAAATTGGAATTTTTGCATCTTCTTCTACAATATCACCATCTTGTTTTACAACCTAAAAAAAGATTTCATTATGTTGACTTTTTTTCCTCCAAAAATATCTGAGTGTAGAAATGAGGCTCTGGAAAGGTATGCCATGTTTAAACTGTGGTTTTGTATGGTCCTTGACACACCATTGGGTTCCCTGGGGTTCCTGACTTTGAAAAACCCAGCCACAAAGAGTTAAAGAGGGTGGGAGCCAATCTGTTTAACCTTTGGAAGGAATCGCATCTTAGACGAAAACCTAGGCACAGAGAAGTTAAGCAGCTCATTCAAGATGACACAGTTTGTTATTAACTGAGTCGGAACTGTACCTCAGGACCCACCTTTCCCACTGCATTGATCTGGGGCAACTGCTAATTTGCTGTGTGACCTTGTCTAGTTCTCTTTACTTCTCTGTGTCAGTTTTCCTACGCATAAGATGATGATAACATCTGATCCACCCAACTTCTTCAGTAGTTGAGGAGGCTCAGGTGTGTAGAGGCATGTTGAAATTAGGGAGTGTCACATGTAAACTGTGGCATGTCATGTGTAAATTATGGAGTGTCATATGTAAATTATAAAGTGTCACATGTAAAAACAAGGCGCCGTAATTTAAGTCCAGCCTCACACTTCTAGGTGAGGCACAGTGATTGCAGCAAGAGTGACTTTTCCAGGGTCATGCGGGCGGGCCACTGAGGGAAACACAGTGTAGTGCACCCAGCCCCTCTGAGCCCGTGCAGAGGCTTAAGGGAGCTCCAGTGTTCCAGTTCCAGGGAAGGCTGAGGCTGGGAGCTCATGCCAGCACTTCTGTTTGCTCTCCATTGGTCCCAGCTTTTATCTGCCCAGTACCAGTTTGAAAACAACCTTCTTGTCCCAATCCTGAGAGTATCCTTTCGAAAGAGTAAGTCATGGAAAAATGCGTGGCAAACAACAACAATGCCAGCACCTTCTTTCTCCTTTCACAAGGCCACAGAGACCCTCCCCCACAGCCCATCTCTTCCAGAGGAAGTCTGCGGCCAGCCCTGCTCCAGACCCCTCCCTTGCCAGCCCAGGCCCGTGAGGCTCCTCAGCCCACGTCCGCCCTTTTCTGTTTACACTGGGAGATGAGCTTCTGCCGAGCTTAAGTGCAGTTCTGGCCCTTTTGTTTGTTTTTAAGTCAAGTTACAACTTTGCTCCTGGATTTATTGCAAATTCCATTTATCTTCTTCTTCCCGGGGTCTCTGCACAAAGCCTTTGTGTCTTCCTCTTCTGCTGTGGACAGATACCATGGGGCACCAGGAAAGGACGGGGAGCACACAGCCCCGGGGAGGCGCACTCTAAGGAGGGCCAAAGCCATTCTGCGGGGTGCTGGGGAGGAAGACAGGGGCTGGCAATGTAGGAGGAGGGGCTGTCGATTACCCGGGAGGACAGGCCCGGCCCTACATCGTGCCCCTTCTCACACAGGCCTCCAGAGGAAAGAAGAGCCAGGCCGAAAGGCAAAGAAATCCCAGACCTCAGGGGAAGGAATCAAGAAAAGAAGGTTCTGGTTTGAGTGGAAGGAGCCCGTGGCACTTTCTAGCCAGGGGTGGTATGAGGCCAAAGGTTCTGAGAGGCCTGAGAAAGGACACCTAGGTCTGCTGAGGGCGGTAGGCCTGAGGGTTGGGCACAGCGCGTGCCATGAGAGACCACCCCAGGTGCAGCTGGGCACCAGCACAGTCTCTCAGCTTCCCTGCCCTTCTCTTAGGCCTCCCCAACCCTCTCCAAACACCACATTTCCAGAAACTGCTGATGAAGAGCAAACAACTCCAAACTGAAGCTCACCAGGGAGAGAAAGAGAATCAAACTGAGCTGAACAAATTGCGAGTGGGGCGTCCAGCTGTGCTGTTGGCTTGTCTCTCTAAGAGGGGAAGTGCTGAGGGCCTGTCCCCCACCACCACCCCGAGTCCTTCCCTAGTGAGAGTTCCCTGGCTTGGGAGCACGCAGGAGATGCTCGGCTTCAGAGGGGCCTTGCTTGAGCGTGGTGAGGAAGTCCCGGGGCTGTGAAAGAGGAAATGCTGGACTCTCCCTGCCTAAGGGCCTGACCTAGAATGGGGCTTTAACCTCCCTGGAGGAGGAGAGCAGCTGCAGGTAGCTGGCGGCTGCAGAGTACTCCTGGGCAGGCTGTAGGGCCATGGGTCAGTAGCTGAAGGAGCCACCTTTCATGCCCTCCCCTCACCATCACAGTTCCCGGGCATGAAACTCAGGCATCAGCACCTCAGCCCAGGCCCTCAAGGAGTGGGGTTAAGTGAGCATGAACAGAGCAGGCCCCCTTTGCCTCTGGGAGCCTCCTGGCTTCCCAACAGGTGCTATCGCTGAATGAAGAGGAGGGCTGTCCACAGCAGTTTCCCCAGCCAAGGCTCTGGGCTCCAGCCCTGCTGGTCCCTCTTCCTCTGTCACCCATCAGCTCTGCAGCCGGCCCAGATACTCCCTTCTCCATGCTGTGGCCCCTCCTCCGGGGCCCCCACTTCTCAACCTCTGCACTGGTCTATCTGTCACTTACCTGCCTGGCTCCCTCAGACACCTCCAGCCATCTACCCTGAGACCTTGGCTGCTGATGTCCACTCTCTGGCCGCAGCTTCCTCCCTTCACCTGTTCCTTCTCCTGCTGTCACCCTGGCTCTTGTGCCCCCGCCTCTCCCTCTAGAAGCTTCCCTGGGCTCCCTTGCCCGCCTGATCTCAGGCATTCAGCACCCTCACTCTCAACTTTACTCAGGCCTGCCCCGAGGGCCCCTCATGGCCATCCACTGCATTCACTCCAAACCTTCGGCTGCCAGGCCCCAGAGGAGGTGCGGCTGCAGGCCCAGCACAGGCTGAGTCTGGCTCTCCCCTGAGGCCACTGTCAGTGGCCACTGTCACTCTCCTCAGATGCCCCAGATCCCCACCTCTACCTTCTACCTGCAGAATCTCTCAGCACGCCCCTTACTGAGCAGGTCCAGGCCTTCCCACAGGGCCCCTGGAGTCTCCTCTCACCCCCCTCAGAGCTCACTCACTCACACCACCACCCTTCCTTCCCTCGAGAGCAGAGGATGTCCCCACCTCCTTTGCAAAACTAACTTCCATACCTGGGTGCAAATGCAACAGCTCCTGTGTCTTCCACACCAAGTGGCCGCCGTCCTCAGCCTGGACCGGAAGCTGTGTGGCAGCAGGATCTCCAGTGCTTCCAGTGCACAGCCACAAGCATGGCGTCCTCTTCCTTGTCCTAAAAGGGCTTCCCTTAGATGGCTTTCTCTCAGCACACCATCTCTGCTCTTGTCCCCCGTATCACACACTTCTCACTGGGTCCTTTCACCTTCCTCTTCTCCAGCCCTGGCCATCGGCTGCTACTGAAGGCCATTCTCAGTGGCCCAGGAGCCAACCCCCTAGCTGCCTCCTCAGAGTTTCTGGGCTTCCCACCCACCCTTTGCCTCCCCTCCATGGGTTCTCCTGGTGACTTCCTGCCAGGCTTCCATTTTCTCTCCATCCCCGTGCTTTTTACCTGCTCCTCTGCTGGCCGGGCCTCCTCTCCCAGCACATCGCTTCTGTCTCTCTCCTCCGCGTCCACATCTTCAGCCAGTGCTTCCATGAGCCCCCGATTTCCAGCTCCCCAGATCCCCACATTTCTACCGGCCTACTCTGCTGGCCGTCTCTGCTTAGACACCCTGCAGAACTTCTCACGAAATTGAACTGATCTTCTCCTCCCCAAACCTCTCCTTGAGGCTGTTTGTCTCTTTCTGTATTTCTACCCTCCCCACTGCCCAGGCTCAAAACCCAGCATTCTCTTCATCTCTTTCTTCTCTGTCTCCCTGCATGTCTGGTCAGCCTCCGGATGCCTGAAGGAGCTTCTGCTCTATTTTTCAGATCCCTCCCACTCCGGTGTTGCTATCTGAATTCAAACCCTTTCCTTCTCCTCCCTGGACCTTACCTCTCAGCCTTTGGGCCTCGCTTCCCGTGGTCTCCCTGTCCTTGGACACAGAGCCCATCAGAGTGGCCTGTCTCCCTTTCAGAAACCCATATGAGCTCCACATGCATGTGGCTCCCCTGCCAGGAACAGGCCTCCCTGTCCTCCCGTACAACCTCACTGCCGCCACTTGTCACTCAGCAGATGTTGCCTGAGTCCCTGCCATGTGATATGTACCTGTGCTCACACCATAGCCACCTGCTGCTCACTCCCAGAACTGACCCTCTGCACCTACCCAGTCTTCTGGTCCCTCTTTTTGTTCGCCTGTTTTATCTTCCAGAGACACCTCCTGTTCTTTACATCCATTTCCACCCATCAGCACCTTATTCAATCGTACTCAAGGCCTACCTCCTCCAAAGGTGAAACCAATTTCTCTCCTGCCTCATTTTCCCTTAAAATACTGTTCATTCCCTATTATAACCACATCTGAATGTATATGTGTGTGTGTGTGTGTGTGTGTGTGTGTGTGTGTGTGTGTGTCATCTCCCTAGTTGTGTAACCCTGCAGGCCATGAACAGTTATTATTCAATGTTGTTTCCTACACATCTTTAATAAAAGTTTGTTGCATTTAAATCTGATCTTATTCTCTCATTTCACAGTTGTTAGAACTGTGGCCAGAGTCAGCCCCAGGTCAGAATGCTGGTCAGCAGCAGACTCACATCCCAGCCCTACCTTCCTGATACCTGATGTGGTGCTCAGAAAAACAAGGAATCCCAGGCTGTTACCCAGTGTCTCCATGTGCCCTCCACAGATGCACTCAACTGTCCTCTCTTCTGCTCTTCCTCCTACAAACTGGGCAACTGGAATCAGAACAGAGACTTTGGATGAGCATCCAGTGTAACCCAGCCTAGTTTTTCACCACGACTTCCAGATCTACATTTAACATCCGACAGCAACTATAATTCTACTTTCTGAACCTCCAGGGAAGTTGCTTCCTTGTCCCTTTCAGCAAAGGATGTCATGGTTTTACAATGTCTCCAGTGAAAAAGTTCTTCTTCTCTACATCTTCCTCCCACTCCTACAACCCTTGATCCCCACGTGAGATCTCATTTCCTCCAGCTGGGTCTTCTGCAGAGTGATTAGAGCTTCTGCCCTCCTTGCAGCATCTCTATTGTAAAAGGATTGCTGAAGCTTATTAAGCCTTGCAGCTCCTAGGAGGAAAGGTACCATATAGAAATAAAACAAATCAACAAATTAGTGTGTTTTGTAGAAGTTGAATAGGACTCCACCTATCTGCATGAGTGTGCACACTGTGCAGTCGCACAGGCAGTCTCAAATGGGAATTTGGAAAAAGCTAAGCTTTTTCACTTGAGAAAGGTTTACATATTCTTTGCACCTGGGCACACACAGCACAGGCTGTTCTCAGGACTCCCACCAGATTAGGCCTGGGACATGACAGAGCCTGTCAGGTCCACGTTTGCTTTCCAGTCTCCTTGCTTCCAGTCTAGCTGTGGCCTGACTCCAAGTCCAGTGTAAGATTTTTTTTTTTCAGCAATAAGGAATCGGTTCATTCACCTGTACGAAAACCAGTGGGAGGATCATGCATAAGGCTCATATCCTTGCTGTGAATTTCAAAGGACTGGCTAAGTAAATAAAATTATCATGCCAACCTGAGCTGGTATAGATTGCATTGATTGCTGCTAATAGCCAAAATGGACATTTTAAAAGTGCTCTACACTGCATTCTACACAACTTGGGACAGAAAAATAGCTGTTGCTCTTAAGGAGCTGATGGTCTCCTTCAAGGGTAAGCTGGAACAGGCTGACCCAGGAAAAGGCACTCCCAGTTGAATGCTTTCACTTGCGTGGGAAGTCCAGCTGTCTCAATGGGGCCCAGGAGACAGACTGACGAGGGACGAATTCCTGTGTTTGGGACTGGGCTTGAAAAGTCTCCTGTTTGTAACACTCAACTTGTAGAAGAGCAGAAAGAATTTCCAGCTGTCGACAGGATGAGGGGAGCCCTCCTGATTCTGTCTGGGGATGTGTTTGCACTCCAGAATCTGCTATCCTTCCTCTTGCTATCCTTCCCGGCTACCACATGAAACACCTGGTCCTATGGGCCAGCTCTGGAACAAGATGACTCTTTGCCATCAAGGAATACAAGTGGCCAAAGGACAAATATTGTGTGATTCCACTTACATGAGGTACCTAGAGGAGTCAAATTCACAGAGACAGAAAGTAGAGTGGTGATTACCAGAGGTTGGGGTGGAGAGAGGGGAACGGGGAGTTAATGTTTTATGGATACAAAGTTTCTGTTTTTCAAGATGAAGAAGTTGTGGAGATAGATAATGGTGATGGCTGGACATCAGTGAGAATGTACTTAACACCCCTAAACAGTACAGTTAAAAATGGTTACAGTGATAAATTTTATGTTACGTATATTTGACCATAAAAAGGAAGGAAAAAAGGAAAGAAGGAAGGAAGGGAGGGAAGGAAGGAGGGAGAGGGGAAGGGAGGAAGGGGGAGGGAGAGAGGGAGGAAGGAAATGCAAGTGGGAACTCAGCCCTGGTCAGAGCACTGCTGGGAAAAGATAGGTGACTCTTTATCTTGCTGTAAAGAGAGGTGTGTTTGTGTGTGTGTGTCCCTGCAGGAGTGAAAATGGACCCACAAACCACATGGTTAATGAGGTGAGCATACTGGACCAAGCTATTTAACATCTGGGCCTGCCCCATGACTAATAGTCCAGGTCATTCTGCATAATGCAGACCAATATAAGATTGTTAGTGGAGGCCAGGCGTGGTGGCTCACGCCTGTAATCCCAGCACTTTGGGAGGCCAAGGTGGGCAGATCACCTGAGGTCAGGAGTTCAAGACCAGCCTGCCCAACATGGTGAAACCCTGTCTATACTAATAATACAAAACAATTAGCCAGGCATGGTGACTCACGCCTGTAATCCCAGCTACTTGGGAGGCTGAGACAGGAGAATTGCTTGAACCCAGGAGGTGGAGGTTGCAGTGAGCCAAGATCACACCATTGCACTCCAGCCTGGGCAACAATAGCAAAACTCTGTCTCAAAAAAAAAAAGATTGTTAGTGGAAGTTGTTCTTTTTTTCTTTTTTTTTTTTTGAGATGGAGTCTCACTCTGTCACCCAGGCTGGAGTGCAGTGGCACGATCTCAGCTCACTGCAAGTTCTGCCTCCCAGGTTCATGCCATTCTCCTGCCTCAGCTTCCTGAGTAGCTGGGACTACAGGAGCCCACCACCACACCCGGCTAGTTTTTTTGTATTTTTAGTAGAGATGGGGTTTCACCGTGTTAGCCAGGATGGTCTCGATCTCCTGACTTTGTGATCCACCCGCCTTGACCTCCCAAAGTGCTGGGATTACAGGCGTGAGCCACCCTGCCTGGCCAGAAGTTGTTCCTTAAATGGCTAAGAGCCTTCATAATATTCTTGGGAGGGCGAGTGGCAGCCCATTTCTCCATAACTTGCTCAGAAGCACATTTTAGTTGTTTTAAGAATGACTCGATTTTTGGAGTCAGAGAGGTTGGGGCTAGAGTTTAGGGCCTGCTGTTGTGTGGCCATTCAGAACGCCCAATTTAAATCTAAATGCGTAAAATCAAAAGAGTGGTGAATGTGAACATGCTTTTTTATAAACTGTAAAGTGCCTCACTGTGATCCTTTATTCTTTCAATTCAGCCTATGAGTGCAAGTTAGCAATAGACTTTAAAGAACTCATACTGCAGGAAAGTAAGCATAGATACTAAAATACAAAATTCAACCTCTACTGCCTATGACACGATTTTTCAGGCCTCAGAGGCAGCCTGGTAGCAACCACAGCTAAGAACAAAGGTCCTAAGAGCTGGACTTTTTGAAAAAATAGATTCTGTAGCCTTTGTAGGGAGGAGTTGGTCTGAGTTGAACCATATTGCTGAGAAGAGTCTCTCATTAAGCCTTTATCCATTATCAACACTGGGGCATAAAATCATTTATACCAAATACTTATTTTTTTAATTGAGATATAATTGACATACCATAAAATTCACCCTCTTAAAGTGTACAATTCCATGATTTTTAGTATATTCACAAAATTGTGCAATTATCACCATTATCTAGTTCCGAATATTTTCATCACCCCCAAAAGAGTCTCCATATGCATTGGCAGTCACTCCCCATTCCTCCTTCCCCTTTCCTCTGGCAACCACTATTCTACTATCCATCTCTATGGATTTGCTTATTCTGGACATTTCATATAAATGGAATTATACAATATGTGACCTTTTGTGTTTGGCTTCTTTCAGTGAGCATAGTGTTTTCAAGGTTCATCCATGTTGTAGCATGTATTGGAATGTCATTTGTTTTCATAGCTGAATAATATTCCATGGTATGGATAAACCACATTTTGTTTATCTGTTCATCAGTTGATGCACATTTGAGTTGTTTCCACTTTCTGGCTAAAATGAATAATGCTGCTATGAACATTCATATACAGTGTGTGTGGACATGGATTTTCAATACTCTTGGGTACATACCTAGGAGTAGAAATGCTAGTCATATGAGCAATTGACCTAGCTTTCTTGGAGTGCACTGGCATGATCTCAGCTCACTGCAACCTCCGCCTCCTGGGTTCAAGCGATTCTCCTGCCTCAGCCTCCCAAGTAGCTGGGACTACAGCTGCATGCCACCAGGCCCAGCTAATTTTTGTATTTTTGGTAGAGATGGGATTTCACCATGTTGGCCAAGATGGTCTCGATCTCTTGACCTTGTGATCCACCCGCCTTGGCCTCCCAAAGTGCTGGGATCATCTGTATCCTTACTGGTTTACTGATTTTTCTGACTATTTGTTTTATTAATTCTTGAGAGAGGAATGATGAAATGTATATATTCAAACTATGACTGTGGTTTTGTCTATTTCCTCTTTAACTTTTGTCAGTTTTTGATTCATATATTATGAAGTTCTGTTAGCAGGTACAGAAACATTTAGAATTGTTAAATCTTCTTAAATTTTTCTTTTTTTTTTTTGAGACGGAGTCTCGCTCTGTCGCCCAGGCTGGAGTGCAGTGGCGTGATATCTGCTCACTGCAAGCTCTGCCTCCCGGGTTCACACCATTCTCCTGCTTCAGCCTCCCGAGTAGCTGGGACTACAGGCGTCCACCACAACGCCCAGCTAATTTTTTGTATTTTTATTAGAGATGGGGTTTCACTGTGTTAGCCAGGATGGTCTCGATGTCCTGACCTCATGATCTGCCTGCCTCAGCCTCCCAAAGTGCTGGGATTACAGGCGTGAGCCACTGCACCTGGCTTAAATTTTCCTTTTTGTCACTATGAAATTGTCTCTCTTTATCTCTGGTGCTATTCCTTGTCCTAAAGTCTTCTTTTTTTATTATTAATATAGCTACTCCAGCTCTCTTGTGATAAGCATTGCACAGCATATCTTTTTTCATTCTTTTACTTTTAAACTATTTGTGTTTTTATATTTAAAATGAATTTCTTGCTTTTTAAATCCAGTCTGATAGTGCCTGACCTTTAATTGGGGTATTTGGACCATTTGCATTTAATTACAAGTACATGTAACATACATGTTTGGTTTAGGTATGTCATCTTACTATTTGTTTTCTACTCATTCCATCTGTTCTTTGTTACCTTTTGCATCTTTCCTTGCCTTCTTTTGAAGTGAGGGTTCTTTTTTGTTATTTCATTTTATCTAGACCATTGACTTTTAGCTACATGCTCTTGTCCTTTGTGCTATTGCTGCTATAAATTTTATTTCTGCATATGTTATGAACTCTACAGTACTTTATTATTTTTGCTTTAATATTTTAAAGAAATTTTTAATGAAAAATTTTAATATTTATCCTCATGTTTCCCATTTCTGGTGCTCTTCATTCTTTTGTGTAGATCCAAGTATTATTTTCCTTCTTTGTAAAAAACTTATGTTAACATTTCTTTAGGGTAGATCTGCTGATGGTGAATTGTCTAAGCTTTCATTTATCTCAAAAAGTCTTCATTATATCGCTGGATACAGAATTTGATTTGTGTATCATTCAGTATATCAAAGAAAGTATTCCATTGTCTTCTGGCTTGCATTGTTTTGATCAGAAGTCTGCAGTATTTCCTATACTCTCTATGACACTATAAAATACAGCTTTTTTCAGACTACTTTTAAGATTTTCTCTTTATTACTAATTTTAGTAATTTATTATGATGTACTTTGGTATGATGGTGTGATTTCCCTTGCTTATTTTGATTGGGGTTCATTGTGATTCCTGGATCTGTGGTATTTATAGTTTTTAACAAATTTGGAAAATTTTCAGCCTTGATTTTTGTCAAAAATTTGTTCTCCCTCTTTTTTCTTTTTCAATTATACATATGTTAGACCACTTGATATTGCTCAAGGATTGATGGGACTTTGTTCATTTCTGGGTTTTTTGTTTTGTTTTGTTTTGTTTTTGAAGTCTTCTTCCTCTTGGTGCTTCATTTTGGATAGTTCCTATTGCTGTTTTCAGTTTTACTTTTCTCCTTGTAGCATCTAGTTTGCTTTGAATTTCAGCCACTGACCTTTCATTTCAGATATTGTCTTTTCCACCACAAGAAGTGCATTCTTTCCTCATTTTATGTATGTTTTTCTTAAAATCCTGGAGTATATTTTGCCTACTTAAACAGCTGTTTTAACGTGCCTGTCTGTTCATTCTGTCTTTTCAACTCTGTCATTTTCAGGCATGTTTCTATTAATTGCCTTTTTTCCTGATATGGGTCACATTTTTCTGCTACCTGGTGAGTCTAGTAATTTTTGCTTAGATGTTGGATATTTTAAAGGTTACATTGTTGAATGTTTGTATATTTTTAAATCCTCCTTTAAGGAGTATTGAGTTTTTATCCAGCAGGCAGTTACTTATGGATAAGATTATTCCTTTAGAGGCTTGTTTTTAGCTTTGTTAGAATGAACCTAACGTTTCTTTTATTCTAGGGATAGTTCAGTCTTACTATCTGCATATGAACCTCATTGGATCTCTACTAAATGCCCCAGCTGATCAAGCTGGTTGATATTTTTACATCTCAGAATCCCATGTGAACTCTGAAATTTTCAGCTTATAGCTTCTGGTCATTCTTTGCCCAGACTTACAAAGCTTCACTCTGGGTATGAACATCTTAGTATTAAGCACTCAACAGGGCACTTGTGCAGATTTCTGGAGCTTTTTTTACATGGTCCCCTCTTTTCTAGAATTCTGCCCCACAGTTTCCAACTACAGTCTCCTTGACCTTCATTTCTGTATTTTAACTTAACAAGACTACCATACTGTGCTTGGGATATTGTTTCCCCTGCTGTAAAGTCCAGAATGTGCCTCCAATCAGAAACTGTCATGATCATTTACCACATGTATTTTCTTTATCTCATGGGTCATAGTTCTGCACTGTGTGTTGTACAATATCTGAAGCCGTCAGTACATTTATTTTGTTGTTTTCTAGTTTTGGTAGAGACAGGGTTTCACCATGTTGGCCAGGCCAACCTCTATATTTTTCATCCAGGCCTGCGGGGTCATCCTCTTTGGCTTCAAATCCCAAGGGATACAGGGGGAGGGTAAATCTGGATCCTGTTGCTTTGTCATGGCCAGAAGCAAAAATCTTAAGAACAGGTTTTGATAAAGAAATGATGAATGATAGCAGGCAGGCCCAGAAACTAGACCTGATAACCTGGCTGGGGGTTCCAAGATATAAGGAAGCAGCAGAAAAACTCTAGCATCTGCAAGCCATGCAGGAACAGGTATGGCAATGGAGACAGAGGCAAAAAATTTTGGAAATTACTACAAACAAATCTCATCTGTGTTCCCAGGTGGCTGGCTATCTTACATTTGCTCTCCAGATTCACTCGCCACCCTTTGGCCTGTCAACCTGTCTAGATTGCATCAATGGGGCACCATTGACCTCTAGTTTCTAGTTGTGCTCAGGCAAAAAGAGACACAAACAGGAAACTACAAGACAGAAAGGATGTTTATTCCCCTAGATCCTTTCCTGTCAAATCACTGTGAATTAGTTTTGCCCCTCTACCAAAAGTTGCACTGTCACCATCCTATTGGGAGGCCCTCTCCTTACAGGTACTCTCTGTGGATTCTCCTAACTATTCCTTCCTCTTGACCCTTTGGATTTAGGGAGGGTAATGCCTCTTCAATGTGATTAAGCTTAAAGTATTGCACCTTCCTTTGTTAGTTCCCCTAAATCCTGTCCATAGCTTGATAAATAATCCCTTCATTAAATTCTCCTCTTTTTCCCCACCAGAATTCTAACTGATACTACAGGGTTGTTGATGCTGCCTCTAAATGTAAACCATCTACTGCCCAGTAATTGTAAGACCATAGGCAGATCACTTTACTGACTCTAGCCTCAGTTTGCCCTTAGCCTAGCCCTGACAACTTGAGCCTAGCCCTGACTACTTGAGAAACTCAAATTCAGGAGGCTGTACCATAACAGCAGACCTGAGGAAAGAAGTGCCCCCTCCACCTTCCCTACCTTTTTTTTTCTTTTGTCCCCCATTCTTAGAATTCCTAGCTCAGCTGCTCTGCTTCACAGGCTAACCCAAGTCTTTTCCTCTAGGTCTTAGCCACAGATATAGCCTGGTCAGTGCTAAGAGAGGAGGAGGCCAGATAAAGACCACTCACGTAGAGACAACTATCATTTGGGGATCATGCTCAAGGTCAAGTTCACACAAGCAACTCAGCTTTTAACCCTAGCCAGTAGGGCTTAACACACAAGGGACTCTTTTCCCTCCTGACACATGCTCCCTGGAGAAGATTTATTTTTTTATTTTTTAACTAGAAAGACAAATCAATAGAATGAGTAAATTAAAAAGTTAAAAGGCTGGGCGTGGTGGCTCACGCCTGTAATCCCAGCACTTTGGGAGGCTGAGGTGGGTGGATCACGAGGTCCAGAGATCGAGACCATCCTCGCTAACACGGTGAAACCCCATCTCTACTAAAAATACAAAAAAATTATCCAGGCGCCTGTAGTCCCAGCTACTCAGGAGGCTGAGGCAGGAGAATGGCGTGAACCTGGGAGGTGGAGCTTGCAGTGAGTGAGATCGCACCACTGCATTCCAGCCTGGGTGACAGAGTGAGACTCCATCTCAAAAAAAAAAAGAAAAAAAAAAGTTAAAAGATAGAGATTTTAAATAAAGAAGGAAAAGTCATGAGTTTTAAAAGGTTAGTCCTAAGGTCAAGGAAGCAAGTTAGACAGAGTCATTTACTGCAGCCTCCCCCAGGCTGAAGCACATTTAGAAATGGAAACCAAAGGTATGGTGGAAGGAATCCATGAGCAGGAGGAGTCAAAGAGTTGGTGACAGTCTACTCTGAAAGACATTAGGCCACAACGAACATATAACCTCTCAGGCAAACATCCCCAGATCCCTGTCCTAAGAAAGGGAAAATGAAATGGTCTCCCACCTTTCTGTGAAAACCCATTAAACGTACTTGCCTTCCTGAGGAGGTTATTTTCTGCATAGTGCACCTTTTCTGTCTTCTCCTTAATCAAAGGGACACTTAAGTCCC
Organism: Homo sapiens; assembly: GCF_000001405.40. Taxonomy (NCBI): domain Eukaryota; kingdom Metazoa; phylum Chordata; class Mammalia; order Primates; family Hominidae; genus Homo; species Homo sapiens. Next base: position 68,619,881 of record NC_000014.9, read on the forward strand.
CTTTTGAGGCTTCTAATGTGGCAAGCCTATTCAGTCTCCAAGGTTGATGTTTTTCCTAGACTTTCACTTGATCCTTGCCCCAAATATAATGTACCTTTCCCCTACCCATGTTGTGACTCAGTACCAAAGCCTCCAGGGCCACTACCCCGGGGTTAGCCTCTCTCTCTCTCCCTTTCCTTCCAGGAGTCTTTCCAAGATCTGAGGTAAGATTGATGCTTCTCTGGGAATCAGACCTCCTTACCCTTCCTCTTGCATAGGCTTAAACATGATATTGCATCTTTCTTTTAGAGAAAAAGTCTATATTTTCTTGTTATTTATTATCATTAAAGGCAATACAGGCTTACCCAAGAACTAGGCAGGTTATTGGACTGGATCTACCCAGGAGTCCAGAGATTCCCAAGTGAGTCAGCAGACGCCTGAGATAGTAGGGGCCTAAGAATAGCAACCTTCCCTACAGCCTCTGCGTGACCCCTTCTGACCTGTCCCCACCATGGGTAGCTGTTGTAATCTGACTCACTGTGTCCCTCCAGACAGCTCTGGTTTCTGATAAGAACCTTCCATGAAAGAAGAGCCTTGCTCACTTCTGCACTAGCTGCTCACATTATTGGTTCAAGGCTTAGAGAGTATAGTCCTTTGACCCCTAACCCTTGATCCTGGCCCCAGTGAACTATTCCTACTGGGCATAGGAAGAAATGCCTATACCTGACATTTTTTACTGAAGGGAGAGCAGAGACAATCTACCCAATGATTTGCTATTGTTAATTAATACCCCAAATCCCTAAGTAGGAGTGACTGAAAGGCTTAAGGCCCTTTAACTCTTCCTATTCTCAAGTGAATCTAAAGTTTATTTTCCCTATATCCTTTAATCATGTTTCAGGTCCTCACCTGTCTGTCCACAGCCTGAATACAATTGGTCTGGGATGGGATTTGGAAAAAGCAGACACAATGCCTTGTAGTTGATGAGTGGCAGCTCGGGAGTTTCTGTAAAGGAGAACCTATGGATGGAATATTGGCTGATACAGGAGCCAGGGGGTTTTCATCAGGCTGTTTTGTATAGTAAACACTCTATTTTTCCACTTAGATTGCATGTTTATTTACTTAGAAAGACTTTAGGGGAAGCCAATGGAGACTGGAGGGGACGGGGCAAGGCCCTCCCAAACCACTCCTTGGCAATCCCTGCCTAAGATGGCTTAACCCCTCATTGGATTCTCTCACTTCTCACTTATTTTTCCTTCCTTTATCATTCATTCAATCCTGGGAATACCACGCTTATTGTTTCATTCATCCATCCACCCACCTGTCCATGCATCCATCCATCCATTCATGATGGCAGCTCCTTCTCAATGGAAAGCAAAAGCCCCTTGCCAGAGAGAACCTCTATATTTTTCATCCAGGCCTGTGGGGTCATCCTCTTTGGCTTCAAATGCCAAGTGATGCCCAAGGGTGCTGATGGTGTCACTGCACTTCTCCACAGCCACCTTTCTTCTCTTGCCATTCTCTCCCACTCCTTTCTCCTCTACTCTTAAGTTCCTTTTTTCTCTCCTTTTCCTTTCTCCACTGTCTATGCTTTAGGCCTACCCAAGCCACTGTGGATATTTTGTAGCCATTCAAAACTAAAAAGGGCAGCTGAGCCCAATTCCAGAAGAGTTGATAGCTCCTGGCTCCTGGATCCTCCATGACTTCAGCTACCCGCTGTTTCCCTGGGGCAGAGCTAAGCTGGACTTCTCCTTACTGGCCCCCAGGGTCTGGGCTAAGGCCACATTGGGGCCCCAAGGACATCAAGTCTTCAGGCTGGAGCTTTCTCCTACGGGAGAAAAAAATAAGCTCCCAAAGCAGAAAAAGTTGTCTTTTCTCCTGTTGCTATTGGAAACATAACAACAAAGCCAAGATGTAGTGGCTTAGCAAGAATAAAACAAGCTGTCAGCAGCCAGGGCCCAGCTGATCTCCTCAGTGGTGACGTGGGTTCTGTGCACAGTGACAATGAGTGTAATTGAACCCAGAGCTTTGGGGTGCAGGAGGCAGGCCAAGCAGCCCCAACGCCACTCCCCTTTCCCATGTCACTCATGCCTCTGGTTGGGGGTGGCAGATGGGTCAGCACAGGCCCACAGAGGGTTCCTCTTCATGTCTTTACTTCTCTCCTAAAGAGGGATAAGCCTGGAACCTGGGCACCTGGAATGACTGGGCAAGCATGCCTCTAACCTGGCCTCCATTCCTGAGCTCCAGTTACCCTGTTACCATCCAGCCCCATCTGTTCTAGAGTCACTGCCTTTAGGCTGGAGGGACCTTGGCAATCGTCTGGTCCTGGCTGTCTCAGGAGCAGAATCCTCACTTGGGATTAGACCCTTCACAGACGCCAGATGCTCTAAGTACAGGGGCATCATGGAGGAGGAGCCATTCTGACTTCCAGTATACTTGATGAGGAACAACTGATTCAGTCAACCCATATCATCTTGGGTCAGGATTGGTGCTGATTCATTTTGATTCCTGCAGGCATGGTCTCTCTCCTCCTGAAGCTGAGTCTAGTGGGGAAGACAAATATGGATCAAGTAATTAAAGCGGGAGGCTGTTTACCAAAAGGGAGTTCTTAGGAGGTCACAAGTCTAGGAAGAGGGTGGTCACGGAAGGCCTTTCTGAGGTGATGGCATTTAAATTAAAGGCAAGAGTGCATTTCTGTCACTCACTTCCTCACCCCCAGAGCCTAACACAGGGCTGGCACATGGTAGATACTCAGTTGTTTCATGAATGAATGAATGAATGGGCAATGAACAAATATCTCTACATTTCCTGATAGCCCTTGGTGACTTACAGGATTTGATGCTGGGTCTATTAATGTATCCATTTACAAAAAAAAAAAAAAAAAAAACTGGATGTCACGATTCCTCCTGAGGGCTATTTGTGTTATGGACGTGCTATGTGCTGTTCATTCAATTTTAGAGGTGTTTATGCTGGGTCACAGCTGGGGAAAACGATACCCCTGAGATCCCGCAGGGAGTCTTCTAGACTCGCCCCCTCCTGACACCCTCAGACTGCACCATGGAGAACTCTGTAAATTAATTCATCAAAGTGAGGAAGGCAGGCCCCTTGACAGGTGACTGGATTCAGATCTGAAAGCGGAGACAGGTTAATACTTCCTGTGCCCAGATGTCCTAACCACAGACCCAAGCTCACGGGAGGCAAGGGGAGAATAGCACCACGGACCTACCTTCTTTTTCTCATAAGAGGGTGAAGGGTTCTTGGAAATTCCCCTAAAGCATTCAAATGAGCAAATCCAGGGCTGTTTGCTGTCAGGTTTCTGGGCAGGATTATGGGCAGACTGACCAGCTGTTCCCTCCCCCAGGACTGCCTTAATTTCCAAGCCCTACTTCTCAGTCCCAGGGAAAGTTGGCCCAGCTATAAAATGCCCTGAAACTCTCCCAGAACTCAAAACATACCCACAGTACGGTGTCACTCTTGGGGAACCTGTCCGTAATGAACAGCAACAAGCATCTTCTTTCCCTTCCCTCTCCAACACGCACCTTTCCAAGAAGAGAAATGAGAGCTAGTGACATTGAGTATAGGCAAGGCCACCACATATAGTTTCACAGGCTGTTCACTGCAAAAGGCCAACATGCATAGAAGGCAGATGGGGGCTGAAATTCAGCCTGCACTCATCCTGCCAAGCTGTGCCCTGGCATGGCTGTATCCACAAAGAGGAAGGGGTGCCTTTTCTAACTTGTACATAGGTGCCATATGGGCTAGTAGTGACCCTGGGTGGAGAGCCCAAAGAGTGACATCTGGGGAGGAAAATAAGCCAATCATTCCCTTGCTACCACCTAAACATTCTAGCCAGGTGTTCCTCAAGTGATCAGATATGCTAATAAGGCAGACTTCTTAGAAGGTAATAGAATATGATGGATAAACCAGTAGGGCCGGTAAGGCTTTGTGTTTTATTTTTCTATGTCTTGAATTCACATGACAGTGAAAATCAAACTACTGAGATGTACTAGGGAAAGATCAAATGTCTTCTTTCTGTTAAACTGCTTTTAGGGAGAGTAAAGATTTGCAGTGAGTATAACCCCTCTGGGTTGGAAACACCAGGAGTCTGGAATGTAGCCCAAACACTGGGCTCTAGCTTTGCTTACCTTGAGCCTTTTGGTCAGGAAGGGGGCCTCTGAAAGACGAGGGGAAGTCGGCATTTTCTCAAGAGAACAACCTCCCCTGTGGAGGTCCAGGCATCTCACCAGAGAACACATCTCATACTCAGGATGATTAGCTCTTGGTTTCGTCTGAATGGTGGCATAATATGGATGTGTTGCTTAGAAAAGAATCTGATTTCAGCACATGTTTGATGGGTGTAGAACCAAGGGCTGTGGTCCCCTTTGCCGATCACTTTACATTGTGGGGATATTTGGAAAAGGCAACTCATACTTAGGGGCAAGGGCAGTCACCCCCTCTCAGAAATACGTCCCCAGCATGATATCCTTTGTTATCTGCCCATATGCCCAGTCTAAAGGGGGCTATGGTTCTGGGGAAGCTAAGAGGGAAGGTGGGCAGGGAGTGAGGCCTGCCAATCACAGCTCTCCTAGCACTTCCGGGCCCTCGATATGCCAGAGCATGAAGTGGGGTCAAGGGATGGAACTGAAATGCTTCCTGAGACTCTGGGATCCCCCTAACCGCAGTTCCCTACCCTCATAATTCCAAATCCTCTGTGGCTCTTGGACCAGGCAATTACCTGGGAACCACCTCTGGACTGGCCAGAGGGAAGCCCAAGCTTCTCCTAAGTTTCAGGAAGAGAAGCCTAGGTTCTCGGTGCTGTTGAAACTCAGCGCATGCGTGGGCAGTTCAGGAAAGTCAGACCAATGTCATATGACTCCTGCGCGATCCTCTCAGGAAACAGGGCCCCAGGCAATTTCGTTCCTAAGTGAGACTTCTTCCCTCATCATCCCTTTTGTTTTTTCTAAGCAAAAGTTACTTGGACCTTGCAGATAATTTCATATCCAGAGCCCTCCCATGCCTCGTGGGAGTACATAGGATAGGAGCCGGTGGTTCCGAAGCGCCTGCAGGTGCCACACATGGAGCTAAGGGGTCACTTTGCCAGGAGGATCTTATGAAATCCTCAGACAACCCTGAGATGAAGAACTGTTACTGTTCTTATTTTTACTGATAAGATGCTAAAGGTTCAGAGAGTTTAAGTAGCTTGCACGAGGTCACACAGCCAATAAGTGGTGGAGCTGGGACCTGGACTAGTCCCAGCCCTAGTGCCCACACTCATACCACCTTATAGCATGGGAATTCCAGGTCTTTCACAAAGTTGGAAGACTGGGATATAATGAGGAGGGAAGGCCATAGCTCCCCTACACCCATGGTCAGCCAAGCTCTGCCCATGTCGTGAGATGTGTATCGGAGCTACAACTCCTCCAGGCATTTTACCTGAGAGCAGGGACTCTGTCTCCCTTGAACTTTTCTGCATACGCTGTGCCTCAAGCCAGGCCTGATTCACAAAATAATGTTTATTGGCAGAATGAAGGACCGCCTCCCAAGCTGCCCTCATCCTGCTTTTCTCCTCCCTCTCTCCTAAGCTCTGAGTAGACACTGGGCTCGCCAGGCTTTCTATTTTTATTTATTTTTTATGAAACAGGGTCTCACTCTGTTGCCCAGGCTGTAGTGCAGTGGTGCAAACATAGCTCACTGCAGCCTCGACCTCCCAGACCCAAGCCATCCTCCCTCTTTGGCCTCCCGAGTAGCTGGGCCCACAGAAGGCAGGGTTCCTGCACAGGCACCAGGTTCTACTCAAGCTGACCTATGTTCCCACTTCTGACCCTAGCATGTTAAACATCCATGTCCCTAGATGGGCAGATGGGGGAGGTCTTGAACATGTGTCCTTCCTACAATGGGTTCTCAGCTGCTCCTGGTATCTCTATGAATGGGTTCTGAAGGTTTTCTCTCATCCACACAGTTTTAGCTCTTCTTTGGGTTTCCAGGGCTGCCCCGCAAGAAGCAAATCTAAGCAGGAGGTTAGCAACTGCGTTCTTGGCCCTGGTCTCCTTCCCCTGAGTGGCCACAGTGTGGGTGAGGTTCAGACTCCCCCATGGTGTGGCTGGCTCCTGGGTGGGCCCAAATAGCATGTTCATCAGTTATCAAATGTCAAAGATCAGAAGCCAAGCCATATAAACACCTCAAGATGCTGTTCCAGCAGTTATCCCCCGTATTTATCCACTGGAACAGCTTGACAAATCTGTCAGTGCTAAGGAGGGTAGGAATCAAATCATATAGGTCCCTATCTTCAAGGTGTCCACCATCGGGCTGAGGAGGCTTATATACATGGCACAGTTAGTGAGCAGTGCAAGGTTTGTGTGGTGCAGTGTGCCAGGCACAGCTCAGAAAGCAGGGATGGTGTTGGTGGGATGCAGGGGCAAAAAATCCTGATAAATAAAGCCTTTCAAAGTAGCTGAGCTATCAGGAGGTCCTCTCCTATCTTCCATACCCCATCTAGCATTTCATTCCTCTTGAACTACCTACTGCTACACAACAGACACTCTAAAACTTAGTGTCTCAAAACAATGCATTTTTATCTCTCACATCTCTGTTGACTGGGCTCAGCTCACTCAGGATGTCTTGCAGTTGGAACGGCTAGGGCTGAAATCATCTGAAGGTTCTACTGAGCTGGACATCCAAGGTCACCATCACTCACTCACATGGCTGGCAGTGATGCTGAATGTTGGCTGAGAGCTCAGCTGGGGCTCTTGACTGCAGCAACTATTTCTGGCCTCACTCTGTGGCTTGGACTTCTCACAGGATGGTGGCTGATTTCTAGAGCAAGTGTCCCATATTGAAGGTTCTAAGAGATCCAGGCAGATATTGCAAAGCTTCTTACAACCAAGCCTTGGAAGTTCCAGAATGTTGCTCCTAGCATATTCTGTTGGTCAAGCAAGTCACTATAGGTAGACCAGATTTAAGAGGTGAGAAGCAGCTCATGAATCTGAGGAGGGAAAGAACTAAAGGCTGCCATCTTGGAGACTGTCTATTACAGCTTCCTTTATATAAAGATAACATGCCTTTGTTGAACCGAGACAGAAAATGAACTCTCAACTGGGAAAGGAAAAAGAATCTGTCCCTGTGTCTAGAAGAAGGTACTTCTTCAAGTCCCACCCCAGCCTGTTTTCTTACCTCATACCCCAAGGTACATTCTTTGACTATGTCCTAGGCCCAGAATTCTGGAGTCAGAATGCGGAAGAGAGTGGAAAAAACCACTTACATCATCCTAACTAACCAGCCCACATTTAAGAATGAGATTGCTACGTGACTGTTGCCATGAAATTGTTTATCTGCCCTTGCTGCAGTGTGGCCTTTAAGGGACACAATCTGGTGCCAATGATGTCCCAGCAGCAGTTGCCATGGAGACCTGGAGGTCAAGGTTGGTAAGGGAGCTTCTTGCCAAGATGATGTCACATAAAAATCCCTTTGCTTTCTTGTGACCACCAGGTTATTCAGCTATGAAGGAAAAAGAAAGCCATAAATTCCTCAGATGTGTGTCCACAGTTGGAGCAGGGTGGGCTACTGCAGACTCCTAGCATACAAGTCACGAGACCTCCTTTGAGTCCTTGCACTCCCCCTGACTTGTCTGATGGGGGAGATCCATCTAACCTCACTGGACATGCTCCAGGAGCCGCGTTTGGAAGGCTGTGAAATCATCTGGTTGGGACTGCCTTTCTCACCCATCTGAATAATTCAAGCACAATAACTCACTTCTAAGCCTGCCGTTGGCTTCCCACAGCCTCTGTCTGCCAGTCCCCATTACCTATGGGGTGCAATCACTGTCCATATAAAGCAGAACTGGGGTACTTTGCACATGCCACCTCCCCCCAACTCACTCCTAGTCTACCCTACTTCAGAAACCTTATCTCCTTCCCCAACAACACAATGTATTTAAATAGCTACTAATTTCCTCTTCTTTCTTTCTTCTGCATAAAATTTCATTAATTATACATTTCTTGGTTCATGACACAATGTCATCTTTGTACCATGCACACTTCACTTGTATTTAGCTATTCAGTTATTTTTTTTTAAATAAACACCATCCAGTCAGCCCACAACCCAAAACAAAAGCCAGGCCCTTGACGACAACCAGTATGTCTTCCAAATTCCAAGTGACAGTGAACAGAAAAATGAAAGAGCCGTTCACCCAGCATAAACAAGGCGGAAGAAGCCCACGCCTATCAAAAGTTTCCATCTTCTAGCATCCGAAGATGGCGCATCTTCCAAATGTCTTGGTTTTTACATGACCCAAGTGTCCCAGTCTTTCCAGTCATTGAAAATTTGGGTTCTCAAGTGGTGTATCATTTTATCTTGAGCTGTGTGTCCTATAGAAACATGGAAGATGACTATTTCTTTTTTCGGCTAAACATGCAGCAGCCAGCAGACTAGAGCCAGCTTCTGCCTCGGGCCGCCCCGGGGCGCGGGATGGGAAGGGGTTAACGCAGCGCCCCGCTTACCTGGGGTAAAAGCCGGCACAGAACCCGAGCGCACAGGTCGCCGCGCGCATGCGCACTCTCCTGGCCCAGCACAGTGCTTGGGGGCCGGCGGCTCCCAGCTCCCGGGCCGCCCTGCTGCACAAAGGCCTGCTTTGTTCTCTCGGCTCTGTTTTAAATATCTGACGAATATTCCCCCCATCCCTGCTCCAAATCCCCGGCCTGACGGCAGGCGCGGCACAACGGCGCATTGTGGGGCCAAGCGAGGGGCGAAGGGGGCTGGGGGTGGCCGGCGCGATGGGGACGCTCCGGTTGCGCCAAGTTGACTCTGCCGTTTGGGTCACCTGGGCTGAGTCGCGGGCGTGGAGGCAGAGGGTAGGGGGTGAGGAGGTGTTTCTTGTCTTCTTCTTCCAATCTCAGAAGTAAACATTGGAAAGTGGGGCCCCCAGCAGTGTACAGCCCGTTTCCAAACCAGGCCTGTAAGGAGGAGCTGAGGTTTCGGCTGAGCCCCCAGCCTCCCCCGACCGCACAGCCTCGGGCATGAACCCGCGAAGCCAGACGCTTAGTTGCTTATCAGGCCATCGCTGTACATATTTAGAAAGTACCTATCACTCAGACACTTTGAAAAGCGTGGCGTTCCAGCGCAAACCAACCCGAACGGGTTGGAAGGGGGCAGTCCTTTCTTCCCGCAAGTTCGGGGCTCGAGAGACGGCTGCAGGAAGGCCATCACCCCTGGCTTCCTGCAGCCACAGCTTCCAGCCCCACACGATGCCCAACTTCATTTTAGCAGTGGCCCCCAGGGGAAATCACACCATTCTTGGTTTTGTCCCTCCCTCCTGAGGTTGGGACATTGTTCAAACAAAAGTAAGCCTTCAGCTGACAGAGAAGCTGCCCCGCCTCTTCCCTGCCCTTGTCTTGCTGGCATTCATTGGGACTACCAGGTAGCTTTCCTTCCCAGCTCAGGTGTTTACCTGCTGCTGCAGAGGAGGAGTTTTTGCATTGTCTCCAGGGGGTTTGCAAAATAAGAACCCCAAAACCCACCTCTCTTTCCCATTTTCTTCTTTAAAGGTAGAGAAAGCACTGCATTTCACATTGGGTCTTGGAAACCCAAAGCTAGACACAAAATGTGGGCGTTAGCAGCTCTGAAAAGTGTGTGCTTGGTCTTAACGTTTATTCTTAAAAAGGAGGTGTTCATACCCCAGCTTGCGAACAAAGCTTTCATACCCTCAGCATCTTGAAGGGAAATTGCTGCCCTTCCATCCAGGGCAGGTGAAGGAGGAACTGGCTTGGGAGGGTTGGATTCAGAAGCAAATAGCTTTATCGTTTTGTGATGCCTGTTTGAGGCCTGACTGGGAGCCCAGGAGTCCTCCTTCTGTGGTAGTTTGTTATAAATCCCAGGGTCGGACTTACATTCCCCAGCTGCAAAAAGCATACATACGTCCTAAGATATTTATTTTTAATCATACTTTATAATTTTCACATTTCACATATTGTTACATTTCACCAATACTCTAATACTTGAGTATTAAAGCTAATCCACCATAGACCAACAGTCTAACTTTGCAAATGAAGGAACTTGTCCAGAGCCATTCAGAAAGACAGGGCAGAGGCGAGCCTGGAGGCCAAGCCTCCTGTCCCTATGACCAGGTTTGGTCCCTTCTAACATGCTAGTCATGAACTAAAAGACCAGGTTTCCTACCACTTCTCACAAAATTCTTATCACGTCAGGGAGGATTCTGACTCCACAGTAAGAAGCTTTGGAAAAAGGTTTTTGGTATTCAGGTAGCTTTGAGGAGAGGGAGTCTCTTCTCAGTACAGCCCCTAGGAATGCCGAGTTTGCCAGGACTGTGCTCACAAGCTTAGAGACGTAAGTCACGTTCCATTGCCTGGGTTGCTAAGTGGCAGAGAAATCCTGGGTGTTTGTTTCCAGGCACTCTTGAGCCTCCGGAGGAATTTCTTCAAGCAACACTAACTGTCCTTTCACCACTCTGTTGGCCAGTGAACCCCCTATCTCTGTAGATGACAGCAGCCCGCTCTTTCTCCCCCACTAGTCCCCCTGCAGCAGGTCAGCCTGGAGCCACATCTGGGAAGGTGTGACCTAGAACTTGACCTCCTTCCCTGATGAGTATGCAGAATCTCCCCAGCTATAAAATAGCATGGCCGTCCCTACCCCACCCCCCATGCACCTCCGGACTTGGAGACATTGGAAGGTTTACTTCAGCACATTTGTGATGCGATACTAGCTGCTTGGAGAGAAACCTTCACCAGCAGCCTCATCCTATAGCAGTGCCTGCCCATCTGGGCAGGAGGTGCCAGGGTTTATACTCCCCTGAGCTTCAGAGGGTGGGATCGTTCCAGACAACCTTCGGCCGGTAACTTCTACGGGCACATCCTTTTTTTCGTATGTTCTACATTGACCCATACCACCACCACCATTCCAACCCCTTGAACCAACCCCTGGTTTCAAGCTCTCCCAGGCTGGCAGATGAAGGAACATTTCAAAGCCATCACGTGGTAATACTGCCTGCTGGCCAACAACTCCATTTCAACAGCGTCACCTTTGGACTGTTCAGCAGTGTTTGTGCAAGTATTTGAATATTTTCTGGCATTTTGGCCCTATTATTTTATAATAATAAGTGGAAATGGAAAAATGAAGTGCTGATTCTCATGATAAGAAGGGCAGGTCTCACAGAGCTCATATAATTGAGGCAAAGATGGAAATCATTAGGCACGCTGAAAGTGGGATTATGTAGCCTCAATCAAATGCTCACTGGAGTTAAGCCTGTCAACTATGTGTCCAATTGTTAAAAAAAAATGAATACAATTAGGGAGCATATATGAAATTCTGGACGTATATGGTCAAAGACTGTGTCTAAAAGGCGGGTGTAGTTGGGATATACTGGATTCCCTCAATTCTAAAGCTGCATTGATTTAATAGCAGTTTTCCAGGACTGGGTTGGGAAGACACTGTGAGACCAGAAATCAGGAAAATACAGTGATAATATTGTTTCACTTCCTGGGAACAGAACCGTCCCTCATAACATGCAAGTGTACTGCTTGCCCCTGGCATGGTGGACCAGAGGGTTTTCAGGACAGTATTAGGGTATGGGAGGAGGGAGTGGCCTGGAGATTGATCCCTTGGGGAGTCACTACAGCTCGGAAGCCGGGGACAGGCCTTTAGTTAATGTGCTAGAATGGATGGAACTTGACTCAAGAGAGGCCCTCATGCCACAAGGTTTTGAATCTCCCATGTGCCCGGCATATAGAAAATTTAGGGAGTTAAAAGCAAAGAGTATAAGGTGCACCTTTTCCTCTTTGGGCACTCGTCCCTTTACCACTGTCCCAGCTCTCCCTGGGGGCCATGCTGTCACTGGCAGCCTTTGCACGGTCTGTTCCCTCTGCTGGGAGTGTCTGTCCTACCTCCTTGGCTGCCTGGCCAGCTCTGGCTCACCCTTGAAGACGCCGCTCAGGCTCCTGCCTCCCCAGGCTCCAGTGTCTGTGTGTGCGCTGCGTGCTGGCCATCCACCTCATATTCTTGCTCTGTCCACACTGTATAACCATCACTGGCTGGCCTGGGAGAGTTTGAAGATGAGATTTCTTGTTCATCTTTCGATCCTCTGCATCCCAGGAGCCCTCAGTGAGGGTTTACTGAGTGAAGCAGGCCAGGAAGGAATGCTGCGTTCTCAGGAAGACCTCTTCAGCAAAACACTGTTGACCTTTGCCTTTGCATCATGCGCCAGGCATGACCTAGCACAGCCATTTTAAACCTCTGAGACACCAAGAAACTCTTTCTTTCTTCTCCAGAAGCCAAACCATTTGTTTCTAAATTCCGCTTTCTTTGCCTCCGAGGCCCCCTCATCTGGAGCCTTCTTGCCCATCTAGTGTCTGGAGCTTCACATCCTCCGGGAGGTTCTTTACTGATACTTTCAGTAAGTAAAGCCACTGACTTTTCCTTCAGCTGTGGGGTGCTCGCTGAATTCTTACCACTTCTTCAGGGAAAAACAACCTAGAAGCACTCTCTGATCCAAAGTGTTTCTCAGGGAGAGCGGCCAAGTGAGCACAGGAGCCGCTCGGCCGTCTGGGACTGTGATGTGATGTCTGAACAGCCTCTTTAGAAACACTGCAGCCTTTTCCAGGGATGCCATCCAGACGGGGACATCCCTCACAAGTTGTCTAGGGTCCTGGGGATGGAGGCCGGGAGCTCCGGATCGAGGGATTTAGCCTTATGGGGCCTGGTTGGCCCCGCCAGGCCAGCTGTGAATGAGGAGGGTGTCTGAGCTCTGTTTTGCACCCGTCCACTCACCAACTTATTCTTGACCTAACACACCATGCCCCTGCTGCCCTTGGCTGTGACGATGGGAAGCAACTGTCCAAAAAGCCTGAGGGGAGCCAGCTCCAACAAACCCACCGTTGGCCCACCATGCCCACCCTACTCAGCGCAATGACCAGTGGGTCTTTATGTTTTACAGTCAGGGCCTTGCTCTGTTGCCCAGGCTGGAGTGCAGTGGTACGATCACAGCTCACTGCAGCCTTGACCACCCAGGCTCAAGTGATCCTCCCACCCCAGCCTCCTGAGTAGCTGGTACTGTAAGCACACACCACCATGCCCAGCTAATTTTTTCTTTTTTCTTTTTCTTTTTCTTTTTTTTTTTTTTTTTTTTTTTTTTTTTTTGGAGAGAGGGGTTCTCACCATCTTGCCCAGGCTGGTCTTGAACACATGGGCTCAAGTGATCCTCCTGTCTTGGCCTCCCAAAGTGCTGAAGTGCTGGGATTATAGGCATGAGCCACCACACCCAGCCCTGGGCCTCTTTTTGAGGACACCAATGCCATTGCCTCCTGGCTAAACTGCTCTCCACACAAGTTAGTTCCACAGACTCTCCAGGTCCTTGGGACCCCATGAAACTCTCTGGGGCTGTGCCCAGAGTCCACTTGACAGAAACCTGATTCTTTTCCTGTGAGGCAAACAGCTGTGATCGGGACATGTCTGTCAGGGGATGACTTGGCAGAGCTACAACGCCAAGGCTCGGATGCATATTTTTTATGTGATTTCTTAAAATTCAAGCAGGAGAATACGCCTTCCCCCAAACGGCTGGCTCCCCCACTGCATTCGCATTCCCCCCACGATGTATAACAGGAGTCCGCAGCCCACCCCTGGAGAGGACAAGGCTGTAATTCAGCAAGGCTCCAGTGACATCCTGACCGTGAGAGTGCAGCTGGGGCAGTTTATGAACAGTGCTCTAGTCCCTGGGGGAAGTTAGCTCTGTTCTCCAGCCCACAAGAGTCTATTGTTCGCTTTCTTGTTTTTCTCCAAATGTTTAGATGTGCTCAGAGCACAGAAAAGCCCGAAACCCAGGCCACCAGCCAGGGCGATCCTGAAGCAGGGAAGCCTGTGGGCTGGAGCTCGTGGGGCTACCCCCACCCACACACACCCATTGTTGTTCCTACCTCGCCCTAAGATGTGACCGTCCTGGAGGACAGAGGTAAGGGAGTGGCCTCTTTTTGGCCAGGGCTGTTTGGACAACAGTGGGCTTGGATTGTTCCAGCAAGTGAGGTATGAGACCACAGCTCAGGCTCACTTGGGTGGTAGCCAGAAGCAACTGCCCAAGTTACCTTGGGCCCATCCAAAATGTGCACAGAGAGAGTTTGGCAACTGTCTTCCAGTTGCTTGTCACTGACCAAGACTGCTGAAGTTTGACAGGAATAAGCAAGTTCTGGCCTCCTGTCTGCATCAAGAATCTGGGCTCCAAGGTACAGCCTCTTGAGTTGGACTCCTGCCATCAGCTCTTCCTAACTGTGCAAACTTGGGCAAGTTACTTAGCCTCTCTGAGCCTCAGTTTCCTCCTGGGTAAAATGGCACCTACCTCGTAGAGTTACTGAGGATTCAACAAGGTAATCAAGGTAAGCACTCGCACAGAATGAGCCCTCAATACATACTGGTTATTCTTTGTATTATTACTGTTATCAATGATTACTAGTACACCATCCCAAAGTCACCTCCTCTGCTTAGAGCATCCATTTTTGTACCTAAACCGAATGCCTTCAACAGTCTCCAGTTGTGGGTCAGAGAACAGCTGTGCAAGAACGGCAATGCCAGAGGAATGAAGGATGAAGTGCCTTGTGATGTGGGGAGGAGAGAACGTGCTCAAAAGCCCGTCGCCTTTGCCTCCCACTCCCCTTAGCCCCAGATCCCTTTCTCCAGGGCTCATATTACCTGCCCTCCCCCAGTGGCTGGGATTCTCAGCCTGCCACTGGCTCCACAGTCCCTACAGAGCCACCGAAACCCTCCCACCCCTGCCTGGAAAATGCCTCTCCCCCGTATACCACCTTGGCGGCCACCACTAGTCAGCCAGTAATGGGGTGGGGGTGAGACGGAGGTGGAGCCTCTGGAAATGGTGCTAGATCAAGGGAGAAGGAGATCCAGGACCCCAACTCCGTAGGCCTGGGATGCTGAGTACAGTTTAGAGATTGGGGATTCATTTACACCAGCTTGGGGGGCTTTGGTGTGAAGGGAGATGGACAGAGTATGAGGGAGGAGGAAAAGGTAGAGGGTAGAGGAATGCATCCTGAATCCTAGTCCTTTCTGACTGGGACAGTTCACATCCATAAACGAGGCTCTGGGGCCTGCCTCAAGAAATGGAACTATGATGATCCCCCTTTGGATGCATTAATCCTTTCAAAAATAAGACTCTGGGAGCCTCCGGTGACAGGGCCATATGGTTTCCTTATCTTCCTTATCTTCCAGCACTCACCTTCCATTTGGAATGTTTATCCCAAGATAATGATCAGATTCCACTTAGGGTGATTGAATGGGGGCCTCTGAGTATCCCCCCCTCAATTTCAAATGAATGGGTGATCCGATCCAATAATAGATGAGCCTAACAGTCTCCTGCTAATGGATGGGGCTCCTCAGCCCCATGCCATGCACCCCCAACTTCCTTTTCCTGCAAATATCCACCCCCTTCAACCTGGGCAACTCCACTTTTACCTGCTTTATATAGTGGAGGGTGCTCTGTGTAAAATTTCTAGTGAGCCAAATGGAACTGCTTTAAACTATGTTTAAAAACCAGAGATGTGATGCTAACTCAGCGATTTTCAATAGAAATGTAATGCAAGCCACAAATGCAAGCTACACGTGTCATTTTAAATTTTCTGATAGCCACACATCTGTAAAAATAAACAGATGAAATTAATTTTAAGGATATATTTTATTTGAAATCTAATTTATATCATAGTTATTTAATATAATTAATATATACTATATTTTATTAAACCCCAAAATATTTTAACTTGTTACCAATATAAAAATTATTTGTGAGGTATTTCACCTTCACTTCTTTGTACTTAGTCTTCAATATCCAGAGTATATATTGATTCTGACTAGCCACATTTCAAATGCTCAGTTGCCCCTGGGCTAGTGGCTATTGTATTAGATAGGGCAGATCTAGACAGACCACACTAAGAACCTAGGGCAAGGACAAACTCTGATGGGCATAGTTGAGCTGGCTGCTAGAGAGAGACCCTTTGAGAAGAAGAGCAATTTACAACTTTGCTCTGAGTCTAAGTGGAGATCTAGCCATCATCTTGCTACCTCTCCTTGCCTTTCCCCTCCCAGGGAGGAAAACACATAGGACACAGCATTTTTTTTTTTAAGTGATAGCAGTTTTAATTGCTACTAATTTAATGGCAGTCATTTCACCTGCTAATAAAATTGTCCATTGAGGCCTCCAGCCGTGAGTGCTTTTTTCCATGGACTGTTTAAAAGTGAAGCTAATGCTGATTGTCACCAAACATCCATGTCATGGATCCACTGTACTTTGTCTGAAGAAGGGGAGGCCCGACTGGGGTAGACAGAGTCAGCTTTGGGTGATCACTGCCAGTAGACACCCTCTGATTCCAGAGAACAGGAGACACAATTCAGCCTTTGACAGGACATTCAGATAAGTGTTCACTAGTCAATCGGATACCATATTTAAGGCTGGGCGTGGTGGCTCACACGTGTCATCTCAACACATAGGGAGGCTGAGGTGGGTGGATCATTTGAGGTCAGGAGTTCGAGACCAGCCTGGCCAACATGGTGAAACCACGTCTCTACTAAAAATACAAAAATTAGCTGGGCATGGTGGCAGGCACCTGTAGTCCCGGCTACTCGGAAGGCTGAGGCAGAAGAATCGCTTGAACCCAGGAGGCGGAGGTTGCAGTGAGCGGAGATTGTGCCACTGCACTCCAGCCTGGGCAACAGAGTGAGACTCAGTCTCAAAAAAAAAAAAAAAAAAAAAAATCCATATTTAAATGGCCATTCATGTTCTGGACCAGGCATTGGAAAAGAACAGAGTTTGTGTTCGGAGGTTTGTATATGTGCTTGATGTCTCCCAGTCCTAGTGAGTCTTGAATGAGTTAATAATGTAACAGGTCTCCTGCTGAAGCAGACATGCCCAGCGCCTCCCTGATCTTCAAATCAAGATAAACACATACAAGAGCAGGCTGGGAGGGGAGTCCTCTGGCAAAGCAGGAGGACGGCGGCCCCAAGCAAGCCCTGCATGAGGGAAGGTGGGGAAGTAGATTCCAGGCCTCTTGGGAGAGCCCTTCGTTGACCACCTTGTGGAATAGTTGCTCTCTAGCCCCTGTCTCTGCTTTGATTTTCTTCAGAGCACTTATAATTCTTGACATTCTATTTTGTTTTTATTTGTTGATTGCTGTCCTCAGCTTTGTTTCTTGCTACTTCCCCAGTGCCTAGAAAGAGTGCCCGTCACTCTTAACAAACTTTTTTTTTCAGACAGGGTCTTGCTCCATTGCTCAGGCTAGAGTGCAGTGGTGCAATCATAGCTCACTGCAGCCTCAAACTCCCGGCTTCAAGTGATCCTCCCACCTCAGCCTCCAGAGTAGCTGGGACTATAACCATGGCCATCACACCTGGCTAATTTTTTAATTTTGTGTAGAGATGGGCTCTTGCTATGTTGTCCAGGCTGGTCTTGAACTCCTGGCCTCAAGCGATCCTCCCACTTTAGCCTCTCAAATTTCCGGGATTGCAAGCATGAGCCACCTCACTCGGACTTCGTAAACATTTGCTGACTGAATAAATAGTATGAGGAGTTTGTTCCAGCCATCCTGGGCAGGCCTGAAAGATCTCTGAGCTTAGAAACAGCCAGAGGATGAGAACAAGCTGGTAGGAGAGGCAGAGCGAGATGGTGGTCTTTGTATGTGATTCCCCTAGTAATGGGGAGACGGAGAAGAATTTGCAGAAGTGAGGGAATGTGATTGCAGCACAAAGGCAGCAAGATTATTTTGTCAGCAACATTTGGATCCCATTGGTGATGAGAGACATGTGGGCCCGGCAAGGAGACAATTGTGGTAGTCAAGACAGGATGTGAATAAGACATAAAGAAGCGTTTCATCAGTGGGGATGGAAAAGAACCAGGGCTGTGGCGGCCGAGTTCAGGAGTAGGAAGGGTCGGTCAGGCGTTCATGAGGACCTCTTCACATACACACACACACAAACACACACACTTGCACACACAGGCAGCCTGCTGGGACCATTCATTTAGAGGCCCCCACAGCACATTTTAGCACAACTGCAAACCTCACCTTCTGCCTCAGGCTTTGGTCTTTGTCTTCTCTTTGCTTCTTACCATAGCTGGGAACATTGCCCTGTGAAGGGCAGGGCCCAGAAACTTTGGAGGAGGCAGTTTCTTCAGTCACAGCTTTTCTCCTGGCTAGTTTGCAGAGGTAAGAGGCCTCAAAGTCACAATGTCCCTCGGGAGAGAAAGGAGAGAAGGCCAGTGAAGGAAGGCCTGGAAGAGGAGAGAAATCCTTTTTTGAACTGGGTCAAGGAGGGCAACTGTGAGCTGACATCCTAACTCACACATTCACACATGTGTAGGCCACGTGAAGGGTCTGTAATTGAGACTGGGGGACTGGAGGAGGCGAATGAGCTTCTTATTAGGAGTGGGTGGGGACCTTCTTGGGGATCCAGCTGAAACAGAACTTTATTTTTAAAGAGCTTTAGATTGATGTCCCTGCTAGCCTAAATATAACTGAGCAGCCAGCTTCTTGCGAGCCAGGCCAGGCTTCCAAGCAAGCTCCAAGACCCTCTTTTTAAGAGAGGGAAAAAAAGAGAGAGGGAGAGGAATCCACAGATGGAAAAGGTCACACAGTTAGCCCTCTGAATGTGCTGGGAGGAGGGAGATGGATGAGCTGGTTGTGTACACTCTGCAGTCCCCTGGCCTCACCATCAAGGAAGAAAGATCAAGGGTTGCTGGGTGATGGGGGAGGGGAGCTGGCATCCACTTTGTACCTGGGATCTGCCTGGCCCAGTCGGGGACAAGTAAGACCCAGGCTTGTGCTCAGAGAGCTGACGGTCCAGTGGGAGGAAAAGGGTGCCGAGCAAACCTGCGCAGCACTGCAGTGCAGCGCAACTGATCAGTCCCACGTGACGCACAAGCAGAGGGCTGTGAGCTTTCAGAGGGGCCATTCCATGTGGCTGGGGGACCTGAACAGCCCATCTCAGAGAAGGAAGGGTTTCATATGGAGCTGGAGAGAAAACAACAGGAAGCAGAGACAGGAGTGGACAGGATGCACGTCGGGTACTCAAACTCATCAGATTTGACAGAAGTGCAAGAATGTGAGAGCAAGGGGGTTGGTGCTTGGAGCCTGAGATATTGTCCTTCAGTCTGGAGGTAAAGGGGAGGCACTGAAGAGTTGAGGGGGAAGGCAGCAACCCCACGTAGACTGAAGGAAGGCTAACTTGGCAATGAGGTGTAGGGTGGAGCTTCCTTGGGGGAGGGGAGAGCCCAAGAACACAAAGGTCAGCAAGGGGTCTGAGTTAGGTAAGGCGATGCTAGCTGCTGTAACAGACTCCAGAATCTCAGCTGTGTAAAACAATAGAGATTTGTTTCTTGCTCACATAAAGCTAATTTGGTAGAGGGCTGAGGTGTAGGGCTTTGCTTCTGGAGTAATTCAAGAATCCTGAGTGAGGGGGGCTCTGCTGTCTTCAACATGTGGCTCCACGGTCAGCCTGGAATTGACATTCATGTTGCCCAGGAGAATATGGAAGACCTGGCAGGAGGCTTTTATGAGCCAGGCATTCCACCGGCCAGAACTCAAGTCACCTGGCCCCTCCTGCATGCAAGGGTGGCTGATGGGTAGTCCCTGGTGGGCTACACATATCTGGTGGTCACCTCTGCCACAGGACAGGGACAGGGACTGTGATCTGAAGGAATATGTCAGCAATAGGAATGAAAAGGGAGGAAGCAGGCAGAGCGTCTATATTTAGGAATTAGGAGGAAGAGAAGCCAGAGATCCAAAGCAAAATAAGGCAGCTTGAGGGAACAGAGAGAAAAAGACAGCACTGCAGACACTTTGAGGAGGAGTGTGCTGAGACAGAACCTTCGGTTTGGCTGCCATAAGGCCTGTGGGAGAGGTGGGCAGAGCCAGGGTTTTGTTTTGTTTTTTTTGTTGTTTTGTTTTTTGTTTTTTGTTTTTTTGAGTCAGAGTCTCGCTTTGTTGTCCAGGCCGGAGTGCAGTGGCGCAATCTCGGCTCACTGCTGCCTCCATCTCCTGGGTTCACACAATTCTCCTGAGTAGCTGGGATTACAGGCCTGCTGAGTAGCTGGGATTACAGGCGTGCACCACCACACCCAGCTAATTTTTGTATTTTTAGTGGAGATGGGGTTTCACCACGTTGGCCAGGCTGGTCTGGATCTCCTGACCTCAAGTGATCCACCCACCTCAGCCTCCCAAAGTACTGGGATTATAGGAGTAAGCCACCATGCCCGGCCCAGGTTTTAAGGCTTTGGGAAGCAGCCAGCAATGATTCCCTAATACTTTCCGTAAGCACATCCATGCATTAGGCATGTGTGATGACATTAGCTTTACCTCCAAACACCCAAAGTGGCCCCAGAAGGCACCCCTTTCCAGGGACTCTCTGTGGTGCAGCAATGTGAATATGGGCTTTAGAGTCAGAAGATCTGGAATCCAGGAATAACCATGTCAACCTACGGCAAACACCTTAATCTCTGGGAGCCTTGGTTTCCTCATCTATTAAATGGGCAGACTGGTAGCTACTTTTCCATCTCATTGAAAGGGTTAGGAGTAATCCACTTCGTAAGGTGCTTAGCTCAGTGCCAGTACATAGTAATTCATGTAAGAAACATTTATTGTATATCTACTGAGGGCCAGGTGCCTTACTAGGTGTTGGGGACTCAAAGGAACCAAAATTCCTGCTCTCAAGAAGCTTATGCTCTGGTAGGGCTGAAGACACAGAAGAAGCACACCCTTAAAACATAGCATGATAAATGCAATGATAGTAGTATTTTTAGAAGAGGGAGACTCAGCCCTAGTTTGTTGGAAGAGGTGACTTACAGTGGAGAAGAAGAGTTCACCAAGGGATGGGCTGAAGTATTCCACAACTAAGGAAATATCAAAGAAGCAGCAATGTGTAGCAATGAACAGCAACTGGACTTCTTGTGAGTTTTGTCAGATTGCATCCTTTAAGGAATTGGCCCATTTCATCTAGGTGTATGTTGGGGTGGGTGCTGGGAAATGGCTGAGCTGGGAATCTCACAGTTTACTGTCTCTAACCATAAAGTTAAAGCAGAAGTGGCAGGAGGTGCAATGGAAAAGGTAGCCAGGATCCTGAATTTTGAAACGTTATCCATTGTGTTAATGGTCTTTACCCTGTGGGCAACGAGGAGCCCTTGAAGAGTTTTAAGCAAGAGACTGATTATGGTCATATTTGAACTCATCTTTTAATGAGTTCACCTTGGTTGCTATTTGGGTAATTATTTAAGGAAAGAATAGAGGAAAGGAGGCCCAAGACACAGTTCAGATAAAAGATGATGAAGGTCTGCAGAGATTGTACTCATGTCTGCCGTGTGTTGCATGTGTACCATATGCCAGCCCTGTCCTACGGGATTTAATTTCAAATTCCAATTGTTCACTGTTGGTATATAGGAAAGTAATTGACATTTTTGTACTAACTTTGTATCCTGCAACCCTACTATAATTGCTCGAAGTCCCAGGAGCTTAAGAAGTTAATCCTTTTGGATTTTCTACATGGATGTTCATGTCATTTACAACAAAGTTTTCTTTCTTCCTTCTGAATCTGAACACTTTTTATTTCCTTTTCTTGTCTTATTGCATTATTTAGGACTTCCAGTATGATGTTGAAAAACTATAACAGGGGAAATCCTTGCTTTCTTCCTGATCTTAGTGGAAAAGCTTTGCATTTCTCACCATTAAGATGTTAGCTGTAGATTTTTTGTAGATATTCTTTATCATGTTGAGGAAATTCCCCTGTATTTCTAGTTTACTGAGAATTTTTTATCATGAATGGGTGTTGGATTTTGTCAAATGCTTTTTCTTGATCCACTCAATAGAATCATATCTATTGATATGATCATGTGATTTAAAAAAAAATACAGAGACAGGGTTTCACTATGTTGCCCAAGCTTGTCTCCAACTCCTGGGTTCAAGTGATCCTCCTGCATTGGCTTCCTGAATTGCTGGGATTATAGGTGTGAGCCACCATGCCTGGCTGGGATTTTTTTTTTTTTTAGCCCATTGATGTGATGGATTACATTAACTGATTTTGGAATGTTGAACCAGCATTGCATACCTGAGGTAAATCCCATTTGATCATAGTGTATACTTCTTTTTATACATTGTTGGATTGAATTTGCTAATATTTTGTTGAGGATTTTTACATCCACGTTTGTAAGAGATAATTGGTATGTAATTTTCTTTTCTTATAATGTCTTTGTCCATTTTTGTTATTAGGGTAATCCTGGCCTCATAGAATGAGTTAGGAGGTATGCCCTCTGCTTCTATCTTCTGAAAGAGATTATAGCAAATTGGTATAATTTCTTCCTTAAATATTTAATAAAACTCACCAATGAGCCCATCTGGGCCTGGTGCTTTCTATTTTGGGAGGCTATTAATTATTGATTCAATTTCTTTAATAGATATAGACCTATTCAGATTGTCTATTTCTTCTTGTATGAGTTTCGCCAGATTGTATCCTTTAAGGAATGAGTCCATTTCATCTAGGTTATCAAAATTTGTGGACATAGAGTTGTTCATAGCATTATTTCTTCATTATCCTTTTAATGTCCATGGGATCTGTAGTGATGTTCCCTGTTTCATTTCTGTTATTAATAACATAGATATTAGTCCTCTCTCTTTTCTTAGCCTGATTAAAGGTTTATTGATCTTATTGATGTTTTCAAAGGACCAGCTTTTGGTTTTATTCATTTTTCTTTATTGATTTCCTGTTTGCAATTTCATTGATTTTTCCTTTGATTTGTATTATTTCTTTTCGTCTCCTTCCTTGGGATTTAATTTGCTCTTCCTTTTTTAGTTTCCCAGATGGAAGCTTAGGTGATTGATTTTAGATCTTTCTTCTAACGTATGCACTCAGTGCTATAAATTTCCCCAAGCCCTGCTTTTGCTGCATCCCACAAATTTTGTTAAGTTATATTTTCATTTTCACTTAAATCCAAGTATTTTTAAATTTCGTCTAAGATTTCTTTTTTGACCCATATGTTATTTATAAGTGTGTGGCTTAATCTCCAAGTATTTGGGGATTTTCCAGCTATCAGACTATTTCTAGTTTAATTCCGTTGTAGTTTGAGAGAAAACATTGTATGATTTCTATTATTTTAAATATGTTTAGGTGTGTTTCATGGCCCATGGTCTGTCTTGGTGAATGTTCCATGTGTGCTTGAGAAGAATGTGTATTCTGTTGTTGCCGGCTGGATCTGTCCATTTCTGACAGAGGAGTATTGAAGTTTTTAACTGTAATAGTGGATTCATCTGTTTCTCCTTGAAGTTCTACCAGTTTTTGCCTCACACATTTGGACACTCTGTTGTTAGGTGCATACAAGTTAAGAATTATTATATCTTATTGGAGGGCTGAACCCTAAATCATTATGGGATGCCCCTCTTATCCCTGATAACTTTCCTTGGTCTGAAGCCTGCTCTTTCTAAAATTAATATAGCTACTCCTGTTTTCTTTTGATTAGTGTTAGCATGGTATGTCTTTATCCATTCATTTACTTTTAATCTATGTGTGTTTTTATATTTAAAGTAGATTTCTTGTAGACAACATAGAGTTGGGTCTTGTTTCTTGATCCACTCAGTCATTTAAGGAGACCAGAGGAGGATGGGAGTGGTGGGGGGATAAAGATCCAGATCCCTCTAAAATAAGCAAGTGCTTTAGCTAAACCATTCTACTCCTTATTTCAGAGGGGAGAAAAGAGCAGTCATAGATCCAAGATAAAATTCCTCCTCCCTGCTTTTTATTACTTTGTTTTATCCTACTCCTCTGATAAATGGATAGATATGTTCAGAACATATAACTCACTTAAAATAATATGAATGCTAAACATGTGCCAGGAAATCAGAGCAGCTCCTTGTGTTTTCCCCTTTTTAGGAGGTCTGGGAGGACCATCCACCCCTCCTGGAAGGCCCTGACTCAAACACTACAACATTAGATCCCAGCTTCCCCTTTGACAGAGTTTTGCAGGTTCCCAGGAGAGAGGAGTGGTCATGAAAAGGGGGTGGGGCCTCTCTCTGGATGGGAGAAGGCACTGGAACTAGTAAGCTATCATCTCTCAGATTCCGCTTTGGGCTTCGCCTTCCCCAGTAGCTGTCACCTGCCTTTCCCTTTGTTGTTGGGGCACTCTGCTACAACCTGCTTCATGCTCCCCACTTACTGCCTCCATTGTTTCCCTCCCACTCTGTGCAATAATTCCCTCTCCTCCCTTCTTCTTCCAGGGGCCTTGTTTTAGGCTTGACCTTGGCATTGCTGGCATCCTAATTCCTGCAACGAGCATTTACTTGTTCATCTAATTCATACAATGAGCACCTACTGAGCTCAGTAGTGAGTTCTTCTAATTCATACAATGAGCTCAGACATGAAGCTGCCCCTATGGCCTCAGGGATCAAGGAGGGCTGTGTAGGGCCATGGTGTCTGCCCCCTTTCTGGTGCCCAGGCAGTGGCCCCTGACTCTTGCCATAAGTCCTGTTCCTAGTCACATGGCCACAGGCTCTACCTCTTTCTGCCACTCCTCTGACCCTCTGAGGGACCCTGGAATCCATCAGTGGCTTTCAAGCCCCCTGAGGCACACAGGACTTGGTAAGACCATCTAAGGACCATCTGCAGCATCTTTTCTCAAAGGCCTGAATGCCTTCCTGGGGCTCTGCCTAGAAACAGGGCCCAGATTCCTGCTGTTGCTTTTTGAAGCCCAAAAACCACACTGAATGTTGCTCTCCTTCCTGAATCTCTGCCTAAAGATCAGGAATATGTGAGAAGAAGTGGAATCTCTGCTCCGTTTTCAATCTCCCCTCACAGATTAGTCTGGCCTCTCCTATGTATGTCATCAAATGTCAATAGTGCAGGTTTTGATCAGGCACTGGTTTGTCGTTTGCTTTTTTTTTTAATTAACTTCATCTCCACAAAAGTCTTATACACTCATCATAGGGAGTTTAGATGACACAGAACTATATAAAGAAGAGAATAAAAATAACCTATAATATCAGTACTCAGGAAGAACCACTGTTAGCATTTTGTAAGTTACTCTCCTGCACATATTGTTTTATATACTTGAGATTATAACTTTGACCCTACTCAGTTTGTTGGTTTGTTTCATTTTTTCACTGTGTTAAAATACACATAACATAAAAGTTACCACCTAAACTATTTTTAAGTGTAGTCTTCAGTGGTACTAAGTACATTCATATTATTGTGCAACCATCACCACCATCCATCACTAGAGCATTTTGATCTTTCCAACCTGAAATTCTGTACCCATTAAATATTAATTCCCCATTCTCACCTCTCCCAAGCCCCTGGCAAGCACCATTCTACTTTCTGTCTCTGTGATTTTGACTACTGTAAGTATCTCGTGAGTGGAATCATATAGCATTTGTCTTTTAGTGATTGGCTTATTTTACTTAGCATAATGTCCTTAAAGTTCAAGCATGTTGTAGCATGTACCAGAATTTCCTTCATTTTTAAGGGTGGATAATATTCTGTTGTGTGTATATACCACATTATGCTTATCCATTCATTCATCGACAGACAGTTAGGTTGCTTTCACATTTTAGCTATTATGAATAATGTTGCTATGAACGTGGGTTTACAAAAATTTCTTCAAGACCTTGCTTTCAGTTATTTTGGGTATGTACCCAGAAGTGGAATTGCTGGATTCTAATACAGTAATTCTATTTTTAGTGTTTTGGAAAACTGCCATACTGTTTTCCACAATGGCTGTACCATTTTAAATTCCCACCAATAGTGTACAACAGTTTCAATGTCTCTACATTCTTACCAACACCTGTTTTTCTCCTTTTTTTAGTGATAGTCATCCTAATGGGTGTAAGATGCTTGCTTGGTTTTTTAAGTTTACATTATATTGCAAGCACTGTCATTAAAAACTCTCCAGACACATCCCTCCTCCAATTCCTCTATTGTTGGAAATTTAGGATTTTTTTCTTTCAATATTTTTGCTATCATAAGTAAAATTGCAACAGAGAATTTGTGCATAAATTTCTGCTGCATTTTTGGTTATTTACATAGGCAAGGATTGCTAGATAAAATACAGGATGTCCAGTTAAATTTAGATTTCAAATAAACAATGAATAATTTGTTAGTGTCAGTACACTCAAAATATTCCCCGGGACAAATTTATTCTAAAACAGTATTCATCATATACCTGAAATTCAAAGTTTGCTAGGCATCTTTTTTTTTTTATTTGCCAAATCTAGCAATCCAACCATACGTACTATTCCCAGGAATGAAATTAATGAGTTAAAGTTGATGAACATTTTCAAGATTCTGGATGCATCTGGCCAAAGGGCTTTTCTGTAAACTAGTGCCAGGTTCCTCTCCACTAACAGTAAGTAAGAATGCCTGTTTTCTCACAAAAGTGGCTGCTTTGAGTTATTTCATTTAAGAATAAACAAAAGTTTGCTTCTTTGATAGGTGGGAAATGATCATTTACAAAGTTTTGACTATGAATGAAACTGACCTTTCATTCCAAAGGTTGGTCTTTTGTATTTCCTTTCATGTAAACTACGTGTCTGTCCTTGGCTCATTTATCTTTTTGTGTTTCTTGTCAAGCCATAAGAACTCTTAAAGGATATTAGCTTTGTGGCTTTCACATTTTGTTGCAAATATTTCTCCCAGCTTATTGTCTGCCTTTTAATTTGGCTTATATTATTTGCCAAAGTAAAGGCATTTGATCGTCTTATGTGTTCTAATCTCTAGGTCTTTCATGATTCTTCCATTGCTTTTAGTCCACAGCCCCTTCTTACTTAGATTACATATATCTATTCACCTGTATTTGCTTCAAGAAATCTGTGTTGATTCTTTTTAGTGTTTTCTACATTTAACCGTCTAAACTATATGGAGTGTCTTTGGAAATGGTGTTCAATGAGTTTCTAAATTATTTCTTCTCTTCAGATCTCTAATTTGCTTCAGCTATATTTGATGAATAAAATCTCTTCCTTCACAATGACTTGTGATGATACTTTAGCCTTATACATAAAGAAAAATCTATTTTCCTTAAAAGTGAGCTTCTCTGTCATTTAATCTGTCTGGGTCTTGCTATATTAACTATACAATGAGGCTATTTTATAATTCATTCATGTATTCAACAAATATTTATTGAGCATCTTCTGTGGGTCAGATATATATGTAAGATTTCTTAGCAGACTTAGCTGAGATTAAAGGAAAAATTAAAATAAAAATAAAGATTTCTT
Source organism: Homo sapiens (assembly GCF_000001405.40). Classification (NCBI taxonomy): domain Eukaryota; kingdom Metazoa; phylum Chordata; class Mammalia; order Primates; family Hominidae; genus Homo; species Homo sapiens. The sequence continues at coordinate 68,647,087 of NC_000014.9, forward strand.
CCAGCATTAAAATTCTAAATATAAAAGAACTTCATTTATTCATCCTCAGATCACTGGAGGAAACTGACATAATTTGCTTCACCTGTTGATTTTTTTCATTCTTTTATATTAATCTAGTCTACTAATTTTATTCAGATCTTCTCCAGAACTTTTACCTCTTATTGCTACTGCATGTCTTATTGCATTGGCAAAAACTTCAAAATAATTGTTACATCATAAAACTATGTAATAAAAGTGATAGATGACACCCTTGTTTTGTCTCTAAGGAGAATGCCTCCCATTTTGTGCCATTAAGAATTTCTTGGCTTTTGGTTTAAGATAGAGGTATTTTTGTATTTAAAAAGTAATAGTCTCTTCTTATTTTTCTAAGAGGTTTTTTTTAAGTCAGGAAATACTTGATTAATTTTATTAAATATAATTTTAGAGCCTGTTAAGGTTATTGTATCATTCTTTATGAGTTTTGCATTTTGAAGTACAAGTACTACTAACATAGTGGGACTACATGAGGCAGAATTAAGATGAATACACACAGTCCTCACCACATTATATGGTGCTTTTGTGAACAGCAATTCTAAACTTGAAGTACATTTTAAAGCCTTGATTGACTGATTAATTTGTTGTTGTTGTTGTTGCCCAGGCTGGAGTGCAATGGTGCAATCTTTGCTCACCGCAACCTCTGCCTCCCAGGTTCAAGCGATTCTCCTGCCTCAGCCTCCCGAGTAGCCGGAATTACAGGCATGCACCACCATTCCTGGCTAATTTTGTATTTTTAGTAGAGATGGGGTTTCTCCATGTTGATCAGGCTGGCCTTGAACTCCCAACCTTAGGGGATCCACCCGCCTTGGCCTCCCAAGTGCTGGGATTACAGGCATGAGCCACTGCACCCAGCCACTCTGATTAGTTTTTTAAAAATTGAGCATATATATATATATATACGTATATATATATATACACACGTATATAGATGTGTGTGTGTATATATATATACACGTATATATACGTGTGTGTATATATATATACACACACGTATATATATATACACACACGTATATATATATATACACACACGTATATATATATATACACACGTATATATATATGAAAATGAGAAATTCGAACCCGCATGTGTGTGAGTAAAGAGTGTGCAGATGTTGCACAAAACTCTGTACGTGCTCAAAGTAGAATGAACCCACAAATATCCCACTAATACTTAGCTTTTATATGGCTGGTCTCCAAAGTAGGGTGTGTGCAAGTTGATTTATTGAGGTAAGAGGAAGAGATTAGAATGTCTATTTTGTATCTCATCCTTTAAACTTTTAATTTGTTATGGTGAAAAAGACATTCTAATCTTTTCCCCTTACCCCAATAAATCAACTTGCACACACCCTACTTTGGAGACCAGCCATATAAAAGCTAAGTATTAGTGGGATATTTGTGAGTTCATTCTGCCTGGGGCACATACAGAATTCTGTGCAACATCTGCACACTCATTTGAATTTAAATGTACAGAATTCAAAATGCCCTCTGAAGCTTAACGAAGAATTTTTAAACTAGTGGGACAAAGCTCAATAATGGTAAAAGCACACAAACACACACACACACACACACACACACACACACACACACACAGGGAAAAACAAGTTATTCAACTTTGCCTGACTTGGGGTAAGTTATGTAGCCTCCTTGGGACTCAATTTCCTCATTACTACAATGACAGTGTTGGGCCAGATGCTCACCAAGCCTCTTCCTGCACTGACATTTTGTGATGGCGATGACCCTGTGGGGAGTATCAGGTTATGGGAGAAACAGATCTACATGTCAGTCAGCAGGGCAACTCTGTTATTAGAAATCAAGCAGAGTGCAGTCCTAGGACTGATGACCAAGAGTCCAGTGTGCACAATCCTGGCTGTCTCCAGAGGCAACCCTCGCATGTCATAGCAATGGAACATGAAGAGGTGGAGATCTTTTGGAGTGATCAGAGAAAGGATTAAAACATTTTAAAATGAGTCCTCTGGGGAAAAGTTACAGAAATTGGATTCCTTGGGCACATTAGGACACATTAAGATGGATTGAGCTCCCAGCTCCAAGCTCCGAGCTCTGAGCATCTCGTGGTTGAGCAGCTTGCTTTATACTGATTGTGACAGTCTTGGGCAAAGCTCTTTTTGTTTCAAGGAACAGAAACCCACCCAAGCTAGCTCACAGAAATTCACAGCTAGGAACACAGGGGTAACTGGGACTCACAGGAATAGACACACTATCAGGACCTTGGGCATCTCCTGGGGGCTTTATGTTCTAAGCATTCTCTCTCTGAGCCTCTGCTCCATTCTCTACTCCCCACTTTGTACTCTCTGTTTCCACTTCTCTGCAAGATCAGCGCACAGATGGACATCATGGCCCCACTCCATACCTTGCATGACTTTTCAGCCTAAGTGTCCATTGGCCATTAGCCCAGTCTTTCCATTTTCAAGTCTAGGTTCCCCTGAAATGATGTATTTATCTTACTTAACCTTAGCTTTTTGTGCCAAGCCACATCAATAATTGGTCATCGTTGGTTAGCCAATAGATGGGTCACCCTTGGGTCAAGTGCCCACCCTTGGTCCAGTCATGTGTGAAGAGGGGAGGTGAGTCGCGTGCTCTCAGACAGGGCTGTATGGGGCAGATTTCCTCCAATCACTGGGGGAGCAGATTGGCCATGATGAACACCTTCCGCAAAGAGACCAACTGTCTTTTAACCTGATACTGATATGAGCACAAAATCAGTCTGACCCTGAGCCTTTATACAGGAGTAAGATGTAATAACACTTCTCAGGACACCCTTTGAAATAAGGTGAGACTCCTTCTGCCTTAAGACAGGCTGACCAAGGGCTGCCTCGCTATGGTGGTGGCCTGGGCTGCAGGGCTCCTGAGAGCCACCTCTTGGCCCATTGGTCTGGGAGACTCTAAAGTCACTCCCCCCGCAGAGCCTAATTTCTCCATCAGAAATGTCTGATCTTTGCTGATGGGTGGTTAGCTATTTGAGGGATTTACAAAGCACTAATTCTGTTTGACCACCGAAAGATTTTCCCTGCTTAAGAAGATGCTAAAAACTACCCAAGGACCTCTGCACCCTCTTGGACTGGCTTGACCAATTTTCATCCATTTTGAATATTCAATTTCTAGCTACTTCTCTGAACCAACTCACAACCCAGTGACTGACTTTTCATTCCTTAATCCTACATGTGACTCTTCTGCTCAGCATCCTGCTTAGAATCCCCAGGATCTTATAGAACACAGAAAATGGGACATTAATGAACAAGCAGGCAGGGTGATTGTCTGTGGTCTTTTACCTGTGCTGGGTTTAATCACAGTACCAGCCTGACACATAGGTGGGCAGAAAACTCAGTTTCCTCAAATGCAAGGGCTTTGAGAGCTTAGACTTCAAATTAGAGTGAGATCTATCTACCCCAAACAAAGCTACTCAGACACCTCACTATCTAAAATCAGACCAGAACCTGGGGATGAGCCAAGAAATGTCTAAGCAGCCAACATTATCTACAGAGGCCCATACTGTTGTGTTTAAAGTAGCATCTAATTCAAAACAACTAGTTTCTCAGAGGGCTGGATGGCCTATCACCCTTTAAGAAAGCCTGGATGAATCCTCTCAAAATAGGAAAAGCTAGGTTCCTTACAACCTATTTACTTTTTGTTTACACAGAATTTTGGCACATTTGCATATCTGGTTTCTCAATCCAGAACAGACTAAAAGAAAATGAGTCCTGAGATTGCTACAGGTATGAACAAAATAGCATTCTCCCTCACAACAGGGAAAAGTAACCACTACCACAGGAAGAGATCAGAAAATGATATAAAGTAGACCCAAGAACCTCAAAAGCATAGCAATATGAAGAGATACAAATGGCCACACATATCTCAAAGGTTTGGGCACTACTGGGTTAACAGTACAGTAACTGAAGTTTCTAAATATGACCCTAAGTAGAACAGAAATGTGAAATTAAGATCAGTATATTCTATTTTAAAACCTGGTAAGCATATGACTTTTTTAAGAAAAACTTCCATCCAAAATGATGAAATGTTTACATGTGATGTTTATTTTATTTTATTTTGAGATAAGGTCTCACTCTGTCACCCATGCTGGAGTGCAATGGAGCAATCATGGCTCACTGCAACCTCCACTCCCCCAGGCTCAGGTGGTCCTCACACCTCAACCTCCCAAGTAGCTGGGACTACAGGCGTCTGCCTCCATGCCTGCTAATTTTTGTATTTTTATGTAAAGATAAGGTTTTGCCGTGTTGCCCAGGGTGGTCTCAAACTCAAGTAATCTGCCCGCCTTGGCCTCCTAAAGTGCTGGGATTACAGGTGTGAGCCAGCATGCCCGGCCACATGTGATGTTTAAAAGGACAAACCTTAAGCTAGCTGGAAAGCTCCACTATCCAGAAGGATGGGTTTTGTTCTGGATAACTGAGGTTTTGCTATATAGCTGAAGTCGAACCCTCTAGACCACTTCTTAAAGGACATCAGGGAAGCTTGTCAGCCAGGGAAATGCCGTTGCTGTGACTTATATGCTATTTGGACGAAGCAAACGGGCTGAAGAAGGTTTGACTGTATTTGGTTGTAGGCTTCGCTTGGCACCGTCTCTTTAAAAGGCTGCCTGCCTTTGAACTAATCCTCTATTTATAATCCAGCTGGAGAGAGGCCTCGGCAATGTATACAAATTCCTAGAATTTGCAGAGTGCTGCTCACGTAAGCCCTGAACCCCACTCCAGAGCTTCTGCCTGGGCCCTCACTTCTCCAGCAAGGACCCTGAATCATCCCGGAACCGTCTTGGTGCTGTGGTAGACAGGCCACCTGGCACGCCCAGCGCCCCACATTCTTGGTGGGAAGCACAGGGCGCATCTGGGAATGGGGGCATGAGTTGGATTAGGCTCAGTAAACACCATCACTCACTCCTGATGGCCTGCACTGCTCAATGGCTCTTTCCTAGAGACCAAGGGTTGAGGCCTCAGGCACAGCTCACCTCTATAGGGCTGTTCCTTTCTTATAATTCATTCCCTCCCAACACGACGCCAACTTCACATTTTCCTTTCTTCCCCCCTTGCACAAATTATTGCAAGTCATGGCGATCTAAATATAGCCCGCAGTCTGCGCTCCAGATGCCGAGGCCACGCAGCCCCGATATTCTCCTGGTGTCTTTCCAGCCGCCTCTTGCTCTTGCTGTCCTTTCTCCTTGCTCGCCCTTGTTTTCTCCCTGATACTCCTACTCTCTGCCTCCCAGTCTCCCCAGGTCTTTCCTGTTTTTCCAGTTCAAAGGAAAGTTCTAAAAGCAAGGCCTGAAGCCTGGACGGCCCCCTCCCCAGCCCTCCAACAGCACTAGCTGTGGGAAAGGGATCCCGTCTAGAGAAGAGGCAGAGGTGCAGCATCCTCTAGGACCCTCGGCCATGCGTGCTGTGCGTTCTTGCCCAACCTTCACTTACTCGCTTTGTCCAGAAGTTGTTTATCCTCCTTCCTCCTCATCTGTTTCTTCTTGGATCCTGGACGCCAAAGAGTGACTGGCCACTCCTTCCATTCAATCACCTCCTGTGTTACTGGAAAATATGTTAGGACACCCTCCAAGTCATTACTTTCTTGAAGTTAAATGATATCAATTCCTTTTGCCTCCCTTCCATGGGCCTAGGTATCCAGAGCTTTCATCATCTGCATGGATTGTCTCTGTACCATCTCCAAGTTGGCCATATCCCCTGTAGGAAGTAGGGCCAGGCCTTGAGTCCTCTGTCCTGCTAAGGGTTTGACATCTGCTTTGTGAGCATAGGGGAGCAATTTACTGATACTTCTTAATCACAGGCCCCTAATTTAAAAAGAAGTGCTACAGTAATGATGTGTGTTCATACCTAACTTGAGGTCCACTCTGATAATAGGCTGGTCCTTTTCTTCACTGAAAGCAAAGCATTTGATTCACACGCATGTTTTATTCTATCCTTGTCAATATGCTTGTTCACTCACTATTAGTCAACTTTCTTAAGTTCTAACTTGGTGGGCTCACGGTGACCCACATCCCACAGGTGGAGAGTATATAACTATTAAGTCAGTCTGCTCATTTATTTATTCAAAAAGCAGTTATTGAAAGCTGGGTGCCTCGGTGCATGCCTGTAGTTTCAGCTACTCAGGAGGCTGAGACTGGAGGATGCCTGGAGGCCAGGGGTTGGAGACTGTAGCGTACTATGAGCATGACTGGGAATAGCGCACTATGAGCATGGCACCCCAGCCTGGGCAACATAGCAAGACCCTGTCTTTCAAAAAAACAAAGCCAAAAAACAGTTACAGGATACCTCTTTAGACCTAGCCGTGGATATACAAATAAGAATTTGCCTCAAGAGATACACAGACTAGTCCAGGGTTTCTCAACCTCCGTACAACTCACATCTGGGGCCACATAATTGTGTGGATGGCCCTGTGTATTGTAGGATGTCTAGAAGCATCCCTGGCCTCCACCCACAAGATGCCAGTAGCACCACCCCACACACAAATTGTGACAACCAAAAATGTCTCCAGCCATTGCCAAATGTCTCCTGGAGCCAAAATCACCCCAATTTGAGAACCACTGGTCTGATGAGATAGATAGATATGCAAATGATCATTACGGCTCAAAGAAGCCCTACCATGGAGACACGAACACAGGCCCATGCACAGAGGGCACTGGAGTTGAATTCTGAAGGATGGGTGCAATTTTTCCACGTAGAGACTATGCTGGAGAGAGGATATTCTTGGCAGAGAAACAGCATGTGCAAAGGCACAGGGGTACCACAGAACAAGTCAGTTGCCTGACATGGCAGCTACTGGGTAGGAACAAAAGGAGATGAGGATGAATGGGGGCTGGCCCCAGTGTCTAAAGGGCCTTGTGTGACTGGGATGCTTGCACTTGATCCTGAGGTTAGGGAAAGCAAGAAGGTTTGTAAGCTGGGAGCATGATTGTTGGCATGATGGCATGACGAAGAGAGGAAGCTCTGATGACACTCCAGGAAGAGATGATGTGGGCTTGAATGAAGGCATTGGTGCTTGGGAAGGGAACAGAAGGGGCAGGATTTGAAAGCTCTTTCTGAGGCAGAACGTGCAGGATATCTGAGTGGAGATGAAGACAGGGAATAAGCCCAGCGCTACAGAGCTGATGGAATCCTGGTGGTTCGGTCTTGGCATTAAGGCTTTTTTCTATCCCAGAAGCATTCTGGAGTTTGGGCTGTGCCCACCTTGTCTGGGAAGATGAGGCTGTGGGGACACCTTTACGTCAGGGTGTGTTTCTGCTCATCCCTCCTTGTTTGCTTTTAGATCAGGCTCATGGGAGATGTCTGGTGGACAGAACCCCCCACCCCCTTTAGGAATTGCATTAAGGACATGAGCTGCTAATTTTGTCGCTGTCAGTGCCTGGCAGGCAGATGGCCCTGAGCCTCAGTTTCTCCATTTGTGATGGGAAGAGAACTCCCCGCCCCATCTCCCAGGATGTGGTGCGTGTGAACAGGGCTGTTTCTGTGGGTGGTTTAGACCCCCGTGGGTGCTTGGCACTTCCTGCCTGCAGTTGGTGAGGATCGTGAGCAGTTGTAATCAGGCCTGATAGGAAGGCCCCCAACTCTACCGCGGCCTTGAGTGGCTGCCAGCTCCATGACCAGGCCTGCTTCAAAACTTGCCTGCAAGTTATTTTTTTCAGGGTGTCTGGTTCCTGTAAACAGGCTTTCCCAAACCCTCTCAGGCTCCAAGAACCCGCTTTGGCTGTGCATCCCACTGCCGTTCATGCTCCCCAGCCCAATGGAAAACCTCAAGACAATCCCACTCCATTTGGCTTCATGCAAGCCCTCCCCTCCAGCTCCCTCCCCCCCTGCCTTCCCAGGTAAGTTAGAGTGAAAGGAGGGAGTAGGAGGCTGGGATGGAGACACCTTAGAGAGAGGCTGGCCCCACCAGGCAGTCATGATGGTCTCAGGCCTGCTATGTAACACCTTTCCCCAGCACACCTACACTGGGTGGGCTAGGTGAGTGGGTTGTGCCAGGAGGCAAATGGTGAGTGTGTGTGTGTGTGTGTGTGTATGTGTGTGCGCCAGCTAGCTGCCCCCACTCTCAGGAGCCCGGTGCTGATGGTGATCTCTCTCTCTCTCAATGCAGGAACAAGGGGCTGCATTGTTAGCTAGCCTATCTCTTGGTTTCTGATTCACCCCGGGCCACGGCAGCCTGAGCAGGTTCACAGCTGCTCAGGGTTATACTTTCCAGCACATTTAGGACTTGGAACAGCCCCAGGTTTCAGGAACACATGGTGATGGGGGAGGGGAGGGGCTCAAATAGACGGGGTGTGGGGGAAGCGAGCTACTTCTTTCTTTCTTCAAGATGAATCTCCATTTTCATCATCTGATAGCAGGAACAGCATCTGAGGACGGCGGATGAATTGCAAACCTGCTCAGGTCGGGGGAGAGGGCAGGCGTGTGGGGGAGATGGGCAGATTTAGTTCATCCTGGCTGAGGTCTTCTTGTGCAGCCGTGTACCCTCTGACACACAGCTCTTGCTCCAGTTACAGCCTCTGCACAGCCAGGGCCTGCCAGGGACGCCCACCCGCGGGGCACTCTGGCATACATCTCGGAAGTCAGCCCCCAGAGTGGGCCTCTGGCTTCCAGCAGCCATGGCCAAGAGGGCAGGGAGGAGCTGGAAACCGGCCCTAAGAGGTGGGACGTGAGGAACACCAGCTTCCATCTTACAGATCGGCGGGGTCTTTTCTCTCTGTTGCTAGTGGCTGGCTAAGGAGGAAATCGAGACTATAATTTCCCAGCCTCTACCATCTCCCTATTTTCTCTGAGACAAGTAACTGCCTCACAGCAGACAGGAACCAGGTGACACTGCTGTCCCAAGCATTCTGCCCACATTCAACCACAGCCATTCATCCATCCATCTGATATCTGCTGAGGGCCTTCTAAGAGCCAGGCATGGTCCAGGTGCTGGCTTTTAGCAAGGAGCAGAACACAGTCCCTGTCCTGCAGGAGCCAGGAGAACCCACAGGAATGGCAGGCATTGACAGCACCATGTACAAGGGGCTCGGGCTGGGCAAAACCAGATTTGAGCACTGTCAGTGACTTTGAAAAGCCTGGACCCTGCTCACCTGGCAGCAGGCAGCCTCCTCCTCTGCTGCCATCTAGCTGGACAATCTGGGGCAGGGTTCTCTTGAGCCTGGTCATCTCAGCCCACCCACAGAGATGACTATAGGTATCCTGCCTACCTCCTAGGGCAGCTGAGAAACTCAAGTAAGATTTGTGCACAGAATCCCAAAATATAAAACCTTTGTCCAGCTCTCAGATTCTTCTCCCCCTTTTCTCAATGGGGTAACTGAGGACTGAGGCCTAACATGCAGGAGCCTGTATCAGAACAGGGAGGCTGCTGTGTGCTGCCAGAGATTGCCACCCCTCCCAGCCTCTCTGGGCAGTACTACACAGAGCTGGCCTCTGTGAGGGGTGCAGAGCAGCTCCGGGACTCCCACACAGAGCCCCTTTCTCCTGCGCTCTGGCCCAGAGCTCGCTCTCAGGGTCCTATAATTGAAAAGGCGACCGCAGGCCGGCAGTGTGACCTTTGGGCCTGCCTGGGCGGGTGACTGAGTTAGGCCCCCAGGTCCCCCACCCCTGAGAGGACCAGCCAGGCCCCAATTTTTCACAGACACAGCAAGGAAGGTGCAGCATGGCAGAGAGGACCGGGCTGAGCTCCTGGCTCCCAGCCCCCATGGGTCACTTGTCCCCTCTGCTCCACACTGTTCCCATTCACTATGCGGGATCAAGAACTACCACCCTCTCTTTGAGGATAGACAGGGAGAGAGGACAGGGTGTATGTCAGAGACTAGATGAGTTTGCAGCTGAATAAAAGGGTTTAAGCAGCCTGGTTAAAACAGGAAAGAGCCTCAGTACAACCTAGTCATAGTGCTGCCTTTGACTTTCTACATAGAAGTTTCTACAAAGATGGAATGTTCTAGAGTTGCACTGTCCAGTAGGACAGCCACTAGCCATATGTGACTATTGAGCACTGAGATGGAGCTGGTGTGACTGAGAAACAGAACCTTTACCTAAGTTTAAATAGCCACATGTGGCTAGTGATATCCATATTGGACATTGTAGGTCTCGCGGTGGGGGGAATGCTGAGGCTTTGGAGCCACAGAGATCTAGGTTCAAATCCTGACGCTGCAGCTGAAACTTAGCACTTCATGGCTAGGGCATGCTGCTTGACCTCTTGAGACTCAGTTTCCCCGTCATTTAACAAAATTTTTTTGTAAAGACAGGATCTCGCTATATTGCCCAGACTGGTCTCGACCTCCAGGCTTCAAGTAATCCTCCCACCTTGGCTTCCCAAAGTGCTGGGATTACAGGTGTGAGCCACTGCACCAGCCTCCCCATCATTAAATGTAGAGCTGAATAATATACTAAGTGAGCCTGGTGGGGGGCCAAGGCCCAGGGTCCAGCTCATAGGAGCTGATAGTCCATCTATTAGGACTGCTGCCTCGGCCCCTGCAGAGATCAGTCTGGTGGCTTCAGGCATCTGTGTCTAGGAGGGCTAGATTGATCCAGGCTTTTTCTTCCTATGTGTGTACTGAAGGAAGCCTGCAGGCAGGAAAAGGTTGTTTCTCCTTAGTGTGTGGAGGATTTGACAGAGCAGGTCCAGAAGTGCCAGGACAGGTTGTCAGGCTTGGACCTTCTGCTCTGTGCTCATCAGCTTCATGCTTCATAAACAGACATCCCTAGATTCATTTGGTGAGCCTGGTGGACCCAGGCTGGACAAAGATGGGATAAGAGGACATCTCCTGCCCTGGAGCTCAGCTGCCAGCTGTTTTCCTCCTAAGCTGCTGCCCATGAGCTGACTTTCTTCCTCCTACACCTGAATCAGAACTTACCTGTCCCACCTGGTAAAAATCTGCTCATTATTTGCCTGAGTGACAGCTCCTTGCCTTGGCCCAGGCACTGAGGTCTTCCTAAGATCTGGCCCTGCCCTTGCCAAGAAGCGCATCGCCACTGCACAACTCCGACAGGAGCACCAGGGACCATGAAAAAGAGGGAGCTCTGGGCTGGGTTGGCAGGTGAGATGGGGTGGGGAGAGCTCCCCAGCTGCTCTCTGAGGACAGCCACGTCCCTGGCCTTGCTCTGTGGGAGCCTCTGAGCCAGCCACCCTGGAAACCTTGGTGCTACCAGTGCCATGTCAGTGGGGGCTGCCCGGACCGAGAATCTGGGGCTCAGGACACTCAGCCCTGGGCAGCACTGACAGACCTGTCCTCATGGTGCATGGCAACAGGGGCTCATTCAGATGATGAGGGCCACTGGCCCGTGCCCCCTGGTGACAATGGCCAGGCAGGAGAGCTGGCAAGTGCCAGGGCAGCCAAGAGTCACAGAGGAAAACAGCCGTCATAGTGCCAAGGATAGTGAAGCTTGGTTTCCCCATCACCCCTTCATCTCATCTGCACCAAGTGTAATCACTCAGCCCTACTTCACAATCCCTCTACAAGGAATAGGACGGAATGAACTACACTCCATCCACAGAGGGAAACATGGAGGTTCAGTCACCTACAGAAAGTCACCTAGAGACTCTGCCTCAGGGTTCTCCCTGCCTTCTGCCCCACACCCCACCAGATCATCATCATCCTCGTCCTCCTGATCATCAACACCATTGTCATCACCATTTATTAAGTGCCTGATTTTGTGTGGAGCATGCATTGTTACATCATTTCATCCTCACTACAACTCTGTGAAGCAGGTATATTTATCCCCAGTTTACAAAGGGAGAAACTGAGGACCCAAGAAGTTATTAACTTGTCTAAAGCCACACAGCTCCCTGGAGTAAGAGAGAGGCTGTACAGCCCAGGATGTCACTCCCTGCACAGCACAACCACTCAGGAGAGAGGGGCGGGAGGGAGGAAAGGCTGGCGGGATGGTCTCTCCTCCATAACATGCCACCAAGCCCAAGACAAAGGTCTGCTGCTGGCAAGGGTGACCGTGTGGCCTGGAGGGAGGGCAGAGAGTGGACAGCGCTGGGGGAAAGCCCTGCAGAAGCATGCTAATCTGCACCCCTCCTCTCCACCCACGGAGCCTTTTCCTCCAGGCCAGCCTGTTCCACAGGAAAAACAATCTCCCCTGCCTGGGGACGTGAGGCCCTGGGGCCGGCTGGGCCACCTTCTGGTCTGTCTTCATTCAGATCCCATTTCTCTCCTCTCTGGAAGCTGGGGGAGGGAGTCACGCTGGGGAAGGCGAGGATGAGGCTAAAGTCTTCATCTGTCCCCCTTTAAGCCAAGCAAAGAAAAATAGCCCTTTGCCAAGATCTTTCATCTCAGTCATTTACTCTCGCAGATGTTTTCTGCAATATAAACAAGAAGCAAAGAATGTTGGGGAGGAGAAGAGGGCGGGAGGCGGGTAGGAGGGAAAGGAGGAGTGAATTGACAGCTTTGAAATCTGGGCCTGCAGAGGGCAGGAAACAGGACCTTGGGAGGGTCCCGACTGCCCTGAGAGCCTGGGCAACCTCAGGACACTGCACCGGGGCAAGCCAAGGGTCGCTTCCCAGGGTGTCTTTGAAAGGAGATTCTGGAGAGGCAGCCCAGCCCTTGAGTGGGTGGTCTCCCCAGACGCCCTCCCTCTGCCTGGGAAGCGACACATGGACGGCAGCTGCTGGGGCCCTATGGGCCCAATCTGGAGCCATGCCCTGCCAGGGAACACACCTGCCCACCTTAGCACTCCCCAAAAGTTCTGGGGCAAGGACGCTCAGCCTGCTGCCAATGGAGGCATCAGTAGGACTGACAAGAGATGCTGACACCTGCAATGGGCATTAGGGTGCATGCGGGGGAAAGAATCTTGAGCTGGTGGGGGTTGGCACCTCCTACAGTGGGTCAAGAAATAAACCAAGGAAATCAGGTGTCTCTGAGTTCACTGTTCTGTGAGATTCCTATTGATGTCAGTAGCTTTTAAACGAATAAGCCATGGATTACGAACTCAAATGCCAATGGGGGCTGGCAGTAACCCACAGGAGCAAAGCCAGGTGAGCACTGCCCTGACTTGAAGAAGGCTGGCCCATCTAAAGGGGGCACCACCACTCAGTTTCAGCTGGGTATTTAAGACAGCCTAGAAATCCAGAGTTCTGTATAAAGTATCCTGTTTTTAAAAATATTTGCACTAATTAAAAACAAAAAGCAGAAAAATACCGGGCTGGACACGTGAGACGTGCTGCTGAGTAGCTTTTAGTTTGTGAATCGTGGATTTGAGATTTTTGCAAAATATGCTGGTTGAATGAATAAATGCTTAGTCTTTCTGCTCTTCACTTTAAAAAGGGATTTGTGAGAAGCTTGGATAAGAATCCAATAGCAAGCTTTTATTGGGCATCTACTATCTCCCCAAAATGGAGCTAAACATTCTGATGGATTCAGAGAATCAGAGGACCTGGTCTTGCCCTTGAGGATTTACACTGTAGTTGGGAGACCGAATCAGCTCCTGGTGCAGAGCCTGGGCAGACACGGGGTTCCAGAGCATGCGGCAACAGACACTGCTCCTGCCCTCAGGGAGCTACTGTTCTGATCTGTCTCCTGTTCTGTAAAGTGGGAACACACAGGAAATGAGACCAGTCCTTGACAGTCCTTGGTTATGCGGCACAGAATGTTTAGGGGAAGGGGAGAAACTAGGCAATGCTCCCAGAGGGGGCGGTGTTTGGGCTGAACCTTGAAAGATGGGTAGGAAGAGCCACTTGTTTCCAGCTGATAAGTGAATTCTGAAACTGGCCGACTTCTCACCCAGCCAAAACATTGAGAACTCTGCAGGATCAAAACCCAGGACCACCAAAATGAGGGAGTCCTGCTTGCTAAGAAAGAGTGGCTGTCCCACATCTGCCATCAACATGTCACCAAATCGCGTATAGTGTCTCCAGGGGAAAGTCCCCTAGAGCCTTCAGGGGAAAGTCAGTGAATGGGTGGCTTGAGCGGAGCTGCAGCCACAGAGGAAGGCCAGCCATTTAGGAAGCAGTGACAGGCAGGCCTGATGTCAGCAACCTTTTTGAAAGGAAAGAGGGGGACAGATTTCACACAAGGGCCCTTGAGGGTTTCTGAGTATCCGTGGTTTCCCGTGAATGACTATAGTTTTGTGCTCCTTGCAAGGAAAGGAACGGAAAGGGAACCAACTCTGAGATTCCCACATATTCCACAAACACACTGCAGAACAGGAGAAATTATTCCCGCTTTACAGAACAGGAGACAGACCAGAGCAGTAAGCCTCCTGAGGGCAGGAACCATGTCTGTTGCTGTTGCTGCACGCGCTGGAATCCCTGGTGCCTGCCAGGGGTCTGCACCAGGGGTTGATGATGCCAAATGTGACTTGTTTGAGATCTTACAGCCAGAAGTGGCCCGGGGGAAATTCAATCCCAGATCTGCCAGACCCCAAAGCCCTGGTTCCTTCTGTGATGCTGGGGAAATCTGCATCTCCATAGATTCCCAAAGGTCACTTAAAGGAGAATGCTGGATGCTCCAAAGTTTGAAAACTATGAGCGGATGCACTCCATCATGGGTTGGTATGCCCAAGGAAGTGTTAGCATGAAGGGGGCGTGGCATGCAAACATATTCATGTGGCCAGGCATTGGAATTCAACAGAGATCCTTTGAGACAACACGCCCTCCTTTTCATGCCCGGTAGAGGTCTCTTCTCCAACAGCCCTGGGTGCGAACATCTCTAAGGGAAGCCAACTCACCACCTCACGTCCCACTCTGACTGCCAGCAGGTTGTGCTCTAGGCTGGCCCAGTTAGCCATCACCCAGTGGTCTTTGTACTCTCTTTCTGTCCTCCACCAACAAGGCTCTTCAACATGACTACCTTCCAGACACTTGAGAACCTCTCTTTTATTTGCCAGCTCTCTTATTTATCTCTTCTGCTTTTCCTTCACACATTCTCGTGTGACACACTCTCAGTCCCCTCCCCCATCCCCATGGCTGTCAGCAAATGCGATCCATTGCATTTTGCTTCTCCTTTAAAAGCAGTGCAGTGGCATTCCAAGTGGGACAGACCAGTAAAGAGGCCAGCAGGAGAAATACCTCCCTCATCTTCAACACTCTTCTTCAGTTAATGTCACCTAAGATGACACCAATTTTCTTGGTAACTGTTCAGGTTGATTCACGTCGACTTTACAGTCAACACACACCCCTGAGTCTTTCACACCTGCCCCATCCCGGGCATGTATAAAATTCCATTTGTTTAGCCCCAAGGTTCCAGATGTACATTAATCCTATTATATTTCATCTTGTTACATTCAGCCACCATGAATCCAAACTGTTTTGGGATCTTAGGAGATTCTAATTCTGTTATCCAAGATGTCAGCTGCCTCTGAAAGTTCTTCCTAGTCTCTAATAGAACTGTTGAAACAGAACGGTCATGGGAGATTCTGGGACACGGATGGAACCACCCAGCAGGCTGACATCCATCTGTTTGTTAGCAGCTTTAGGGCCACTCAGCACATCCCCAGCTGTCCCAGTGACACTGTCTCCAGCCCTCCTTGTTCTCAAGAGAGCCATGAGCTGTCTGCTCTGCTGCCTACCACAATGCCATGTGCTACCAACTTAGGAATCCTGTCTCCTCCCTCCAAAAAAGTACAGTGAGTAGTCATCTTTTTTCTTGGTAAATCCATGCTGATTCCTAACGATCATCACTTTCTTTCCTAAGCCTTCATAAGCCATCCCTTTCCTTGTAGATGAGAGAAATTAACCCTGAGTTCAAAGCAGAAGCCTTCAGACAGCTGTACGTGTTAATTCATTATGCTGGGCATCTCCATTTGCCCCTCCACAGCCACCCCATCCTCCTCCCCACTGCTCTGTACCCCAGGAAGCTGACCTTGTGGACCGCATTACTGGGCACCCTTGCCCTCTGGCTTCAGTTGGGTTCTGCCAGTGGGAGGCACCAGCAAGAGACAGGAGGGTGGGGCCAGGCGTGGTGGGTCACCCCTGTAATCCCAGCACTGTGGGAAGCCAAGGTGGGTGGATCACCTGAGGTCCGGAGTTTGAGACCAGCCTGGCCAACATGGTGAAATTCTATCTCTACTAAAAATACAAAAAATTAGCTAGGCGTGGTGGTGCGCACCTATAATCCCAGCTACTCAGGAGGCTGAGGCAGGAGAGTTGCTTGAAACCAGCAGGGTTGAGGTTGCAGTGAGTTGAGATCTAGCCACTGTGCTCCAGCCTGGGTGACAGAGTGAGACTCCATCTCAAAAACAAAGAGAGAGAGAGAGAGAGAGAGAGATGGGTGGGACAAGGTCAAGATATTTATTTATCCTCCTGGTTCTACTGTAATGGGCCCTTGCTTGGCTGTGTCTCTCCACTGCCCCTGTATCTAAGGCCATAGCCCCTGATGAATGGCTCTCTCCTCCAGATACTTTCTCTTTCACTTCGCCCCCTTTACCCTTCAGGCTCCCCCCGCTGCTAGCCCTGGAGGGCTTCATCTTTCCTTGTTAGCTTCCTTTAGCTTTACGCATAACTTGTAAGTAGTGACATTTCTAAATTCTGCTCAATTACCCCATTTGAGTGTGCCGTCTGTCTCCTGCCAGAACGCTGACCAATACACTCATATTTTGAGTCATTGCCTAAAGACTTAGGCCTAACAGTGCTAGACGTGGGAGGGAGTGTAGGTGTTGGTGAGAATAGCATAAGAGTTAAAGGCACGGAATTTGTGGTCTAACTAACCAGGATTGAACTTGATTTCCACCGCTTTCCAGCTATAGTTACTGAACTTCTCTGAGCCTCTGCTTTCTCTTCTGTAAAATGGGAGCAGTAGTCCCCTCTCACAAATTCTTTGTCAGGATTTTATGTGATTATATTTGTGAAACATTAAATTTAGCATCAGGTGCATTATAAGCACTTGATAAATGTGTTATTCTGATTATTATTAAGACAGACTCTAACCATTGAGGGTATTGCTTTGGTGCTAGAATACGCTAGCAATAAGCTTCAAGGTTTTCCTGTTTATGTCCACCAGGGAATTTGGACCTCAGGTAATCTGCCCAAATCCTGCCCAAACAGGAGTAAGAAAAAATAAGCATTGTTGTTGCTGTTATTTTATTAGCTAGAGAGGCAGTCAATTCTATCACTTATTGTCAACATAATTTTTTAGCAAAGACTACTCTAGGAGGCTGTAGTTACATTCTTTCTGACACCTTTCCCCTATCTCTTTTCTACATAATCTTAGAGTCCCCCAACCACCAAGGATGATTCCTACTGATTCAAACTAAGAAAATGTGGCACCTTTTAACCTCTGCCCTTACAGAGCTTCTCCCCACCACATCCACCCCCGCCCACAATGATATTCTTACCAAAATAAGCTCAGAAGAGAGTCTCTTAACTTTGTCCAAAAGCTAAATCTGAAAGAGGTTAAAGGTTCTCTGGTCAGTCGCATTTCACCCGACTATTTTTAGCTGATATAGGGCAAAACAAGTTTCCCCAAAGATCTGGGCCCTGTGAAAGCTGGAATTTCTGCCAAGATGGAGGAATACAGCTCTCCCTGCTGGAAAAGAGAGCACAATTCCCTCTTTCCTCACCCCGGGATACCTATTTGCTGCCAGTGAATCTCCCACCTACTCTGTCATGCTAGCATTTGATCACATTGGGTTCATATGTGCTTATTTGCTGCTCCAACCCCAATCCTTACTCCTGAGCCTTTACCACTCAACTATCAATGTGTCCACTCATCCTCTGGGCCATCTTGTGCCCTCTTATCCTCTATCTCCTGGGTCAGAAGCTTGGCAGTTTTCTGGATGTGACTCCTAATGGAAATCCATGACAAAAATGCCCTGGATTCTCAACCAGGGAGAGAAACTCCTCTTCTCAGCCTCTTCTGCCAATGTGCCCCACTCCTATTTCTCTCTCCTGAGAGCCCTAAGCCCTGCCATGTTCCTTCTGTCCTTTCAGCCCCTTTCTTCCCCTACTCACATAATGCACCAAGGGTAAGCATCTTCCTGCCCAGATATATCTGCCCTTTCACATACTCCCATGTGACTCTTTGACCTCTGTTGTTGGAATCTCTTGACTTAGAAAACCAGAGATGTTTCCATGACTTTTAAGGCTTTTGTTGGCAAGACAGCAAGGAGAATGGAGTGAGGGGCCAAGCTCAGGCTTTCTGCCTGGCCCCGGAGGGCAATGCCATGGGAAGGTGACCTCGTCACAGGCCTGGGGGCTATCCCAGTGGGATGACGCCATTGGGTACTCTATCTCAGGCTCCTCTGTTGCTCTGCCCTTCAGGCAGGATATTGAGTTTTAAGTTAAAAGACAAGGATCGAGCTTCATCTTATGATTTATGGTTTAGGCCAGGGTTTCCAAAACTGTATAAAAAGTTATTCCTGGCCAAGTTCCCTATTAGTCATATGTGTGAAGTGGAAACATCACTTTATCAGAAATATACTTCCCCCAACCCATCCCAAACTGTGTCTATAATCAGGCTCTGGAGGGAAGACACTGGTATTAGAGCTGGTGTCAGGAGAAGAACTCAAGGGAAGACGCTTTACTAATAGGACTGTATGGCCCTGGCAGTGGTGATTATACCAAACACATATGGAAAGGGATCATGGGGCAGCCAAAAGAATGATGAAAACTTCACATTGGTACTGCCCCTAGAGGTGCTTTTCCACGAATGGCTAGATTATGAATGTTTAAGCTTTCTTATTTAAGTGACCTTACTCCATCAGCACCCGTCCACTCTCTTCTGGTACCCATGCCCCTGTTTCTTGGGGAATCCCACACCATGCCCTGCTCTCAGTCCATGAGATTTCAGTGCAGCCAACTTTACCCCCAACTCAGGGTGAAGCACAGGACCCAGGCCTAAGCCAATCAGAGCATTAGATTCTCTTGGGCATAGTGATTGGTTTAGGAATGGACATCTGATCAATCAGAGCCAATGAGATACCTTAAGGTCTTCCCTAGGACTTCTGGGAAGGGGACTCACTCTTTCCCCCTTGAACCTGAAATCTGAGAGGTATAGAGCTGGAATTGCTGTCATTTTTCTGTCACATGAAACCTGACTCTGAAGCCAGCATAGCAGAGAGTAGAGCTGAGAGATTTTTCTGTCACATGAAACCTGACTCTGAAGCCAGCATAGCAGAGAGGAGAGCTGAGAGATGGAGAGTACCCAAGTCCTGATAACACATTATTTTATCCCTGAATCAATTTATATCTGATGCTGGCCCTAATTCTGGATCTTTTTGTTGCATGGGCCATTGGATTTCCCCTTTGCTAAAGCAGTTTGAGATGACTTTCTGTCCCTGGCAACCAAAGAGCCGTAGTTTACAGCTATTGTTTAAAAATACATTCCTAAGTGTAAATGGAACTAAGAGAAAGGAGACAGGGCCAGCAATAGATCTGTACTTTGCAAGCACAATCTATTGCTCAGGGGCACAGACAGAGGCATATCACATACTTAAATGTGAGGAGAGCAGTACTGGGAGGTCCTCAGACAGGAAGAGGGTGAACCCCAGGCAGGAAGTTCCATCAGCAAGCATCATGTCTTTGGAAATGAAATTATTAAACAACCAGACCATTTCTATTGAGTTTCGTTTTTGTTACACCCCTCTTGGTATGCTTAACATAGTAATAAGTATTACTGCTATAGTGAAACTCCCTTATTTATATCATCACAATTTCTATTTCCCTATTATTTACTCCCTTTTCCTATGAAATAATAAAAATATTTACTCATCATGAAATTACTTTCTCTAATTTAATCTGCTTTTCCCCCAGTGTATTATAAAGGTTCTCCAGAGAAACAGAACCAACAGGATCTCCCTCTATATATAGAGATAGATTAGATATGGATATACATATGTAGATGTGGACAGAAGTGATGTCTGCCTCTTTCAGGGTTGGCCTTTTAAAGCAACTCAGCAACCCTCCAGCTCTCTCTTCCCTGATGACAGCAATCCTGAAGTCACGTGTTTCAGGTGACATAACCACTGAGATGCAGGGGTTTATTTGCCACAGCAGCATAACCTTTCACATTCTGACTAATGTAGATGTATCTAGAGAGATGTAGCTATAGACGAGATGGAGAGAGATGGATTTAAGGGAATTGACGTATGTGACGGCGGTGGAGGGAGGTGGCAAATCTGAAATTTTGCAGGAAGTTAGGTGGACTGGAGAGCAAGTAAGAGTTGATGCTTCAGCCTTGAGTCCAAAGGCTGGAAACTCAGACAGAATTTCTGAAACTCAGGCAGAATTTCTGTTGCAGTCTGGAGGCAGAATTCCTTCTTCTTCAGGAAACCTCAGCCTTTGCTCTTCAGGCCTTCAACTGATTAATGAAGTCCACACCTATTTTGGCAGTTTCTCTGCTTTGCTTAAAGTCAGCTGGTTGTAAATGTTGACTTTATTGTAAATCAAATATAAAAACTACCTTCACAGAAACATCTAGACAAGTATTTGACCAAATAGCTGGGCACCATAGCCTAGCCAAGTTGACACATAAAATTAACCATTACATCCAGCTGGAGCCAATATTCCCCCATGCTCCTCCATATATTAGTGAGGGTTCAGCTTTGGATTCCCAGGCCAACACTAAGGTAGACACTGCAAATAATGAACCCTTGACAAAGCTCTGTTAGTTCCCAGATGGAAGAAAATTAATGATGATTGCTCAATTCAGTCTGGACAGAATGCTTTACTATTTCTGTTGTGGTTAAAGTATGTAAGTCAGCTCTTATTTATTATATCTCCATTGGTTTACTTTTCACTGTTTGAGGAATTCTCCTCCCAGCTACCATGCCAGAAAAACACTTACACCCTGCCCCGTGGATCCCCAAAAACTAAGGATGTATCCACAGACCTAACTGAAGGCAGATCAGCCTTCAGTAAGGTAACTCCAGCAGGAGAAAGCATTTTCCCCGTTGTGAGGCCTGTGGGAGATCCTCATCTGAGGCAGATGTAAAGAAGCACTTCCCTGGCCTGGGTCTGCTGGGAAACAAGTGATTACCAATCCTTGTGCTGTCCATGAAAGGGCCTCACCCCTGGCTGCTGAGGGTCTGGGAAATATCTGCTTCAATGAATACCCAGGTGCTCATTTTTCTTCTCCCCAGTTACCTGCTAAAGGCTCCATCTTGACATCAACCCTGGGGTCACCCTCCAGGATACTTCCTCGAAGCAGCCACATTCCTGGGGGCATCTGTGCCAGCAGGGGATGGTGGGATGGCAAATCAGCAAGTTCTGTCAGTCCTCAGCACCACTCTGTCCACAGCCTCATGAGAGTTTTGTCTGAGGACCTTCATTAGGCTTCAGGGCCTGTGGCTGATGACTCCAGGTCAAAGCCCCAGATGATACCTGCTCATCGAAAACCACGCATTCCACTCCACTTCCCGGCCTCCCCTGCCGTTAGGTGGAGGCCATATGACTAGATCCTGGCCAAACGGATGTGGACAGAGTCATGTCAGCCACTTTCAAGGCTTGTCTTTAAAAGCATCACAGCAGCCCTCCAGCTCTGTCTGTGATGGCAGCAATCTTGAAGCCACATTTCAGGTGGCATAACCATTGAGACATGGGGATCTATTTGTCACTACAGCAGTAGCCATTCCCATTCTGACTAAGGTAGAGCATAAAGGAATTATGATCCATGGCTCCCCTCTGCCGCCCGAGTCATCTCACAGATGGCGGGCTGTTCTCCTGCACCCCCAGGCACGCTGATCCGTGACATCTCTCCCAATCGCTGGTTAAATGACCTCAGACACCTGCTGTGCTGAAGGTGACAAGTCAGGGGCAGCATCTGCATGTCTGAAGCAGCTCAGGATCTTCTCTGTGCCCAAATCCCCAAGAAAAGTCTAAAACTGGTAAAGTAATTGAACCAAGATGGGTTTTCCCGAAAGACCTTTTACAGCTTTGAGCTCATTAAGGAAAGAAAGAGGATTTCAAGACCTAAACAGTGCTGGATTCTTTCTATTTTAGTTGAAGTTGAAAAGACGATATCTTTGCTAGAGTCCAGAAAGAGTCTTACCTGTTGAAAACTCATGCAACTTAAAGTTCCTTCATCACGGAGAGCCTACCAGGCCTGCCACGTGGCATGACCCATGGATGTGGGTGGGACTGCTTGGTATTTTCAGACTGTTGGAAACAGTGGCCTCTTGATCTCAGAGAGAGCCAAATTAAGCTGATTTCACTATTTATAATCCCTCCGGAAATAAGCAAAGAAGAGAAGTCTAATTGCAAACAGACTGAACTTTACATAGGAAATATGTAGGCCCCCTGAGGCACCTAGAAAGTGTCTAAAGCCCTAACTGCCTCCCTGCCTCCCCTGCTTCCCTCTCCAGAGCACGTAGGCCACATCTAGAGAGGCCTGAGGCTGCAGAATGGCCCTGGACTGGCCAAACCAGCCCAGCCAGCCCCTTGGGCCTAGGGGCAGGGACTTTTGGATGAGAAACAGGAAGACATTTGCCCACAGCTTGAACCATGGCTTTGGGAAGACTCTTTGTTCTTTCTTCCCCATTATTTTGGGTTTTCTGGTCTTTATTCCGTGCTTGTCAAATTCCAGGCATGCAAGGCTTTCAAACACACTATCAAACCCGCCACTTACACACACACACACACACACACACACACACACACTCCCCACCCCCATTGCATTCCCATCACAATCACATTTGTAGCAGAGCCCTGGGATTTGTAACCAAGTGGGGCCCAGTAAGAGCTTTGTGAAATTTCACATGGCCCCTGGCCTTCTGTAACAACTCCAGAGCTAAAGCCCCAGCCAGAACCCTGGGCCTTGCTGGCAGCTGTGCTGCCGGGTCACTGTGGGAGATGAGACAAGGACCTGCGACCTGCTGTGCCTCAGTTTCCCTGCCTGTCAGTTTGGACAACCATGACTGCAGCTAATTCTGAATTGTCTGCCTGCTGGTGGGACCAGGCCCTGGTGGGGGGCTCAGATTAATGGCACGGAAGTCCCAGAATGAGTCAAAGAAGAGAGAGACCAAAATAGATCAGGAGCCAAGCGCCCAGAATGGCAGCCAGAGAAGATTAGACACGCTGCCGAGAGAACCGTCCCGATGACTTTATTGAGGGCTCTTGCTCATAAACAGCCACTATGTTATTGTAACTTCCACAGACCAGGCCGACCCTTCCTTGTGACGGGAAGTTTGGGATTGGAACCGTCCGTGGGCCCTGCTGTTGCTGAGGTCACCCTGGGAGCTGGGGCTCTTCCAAAAGGAAATCAGCATGGGGCTCCGGGGCTTGGTGGAACAGTGGACAGATGGATGGTTTTTGAGTGAGAAAGTCATGGTTAGGAGTCAGGGAAGAGTGGCAAGTGCCCCCCGGCCCACCCCTCTGCAGTTCAGCTGGTGGGACTAAGTCTTTCTTTATGGGCATTTCTGCTGAAAAGTCCTTCCTCCCTTACATTTGCTTCTTGGTCTCATGAATCCAAGGAGAGGGCACTAGGCCAGGGTGACAGATGTGGAAAAAGCCCAGAACTGCTGCCATAGTTCCCATCCCTGGGAGCCTCCAGTCCCCAGCCATGCCCAGCAATGGCTTTTCCTCTCACATCCTGACCCCTCACATCCTCTGTCTCATTGCACAGCCCTTGCCCTCCTGGCCACTTGCTACTTTTAATCCTCCTCTCATGTGGAGAGCAGCCCTGGCAGGTCCATCCACTCTCATCTTCCACTGGAGTGCTTCAGGCAACAATGGAAAAACTTAAGTTTGCCAGCAAAGTGGTCGAAGGCCAGAACTTGTCCATTTGAAGATAGAGACACAAATATCTCATTTCAGTACCAAAGACCCTTTCTTTCTTATCACTGCCAGCTCTCCACCACCCATCCATCTCCTGCTCATCTCTGCTGGAAATGCTACTAGCCAAGGCGAGCCAAGCCAAACAGCTGTTTGTGGGCTCACAGACCCTCCAAGGATAAGGGTCTCTTCTGTGATGACCAGATTGCACCCTGATGCCAGCCAGCTCCTGGCGTCTGCTGCTGGCCCCCCCAAGATGGTAGCCTGGGGAGATACAGCCCAAACGCCTGATCCAGTCTCTTCCCAGTCTAGCTCTGTTGGCAAAATGAAACTCCCTGCCAAGGGAAAGCCAGTTTGGACTGTCCAAGGGGCACCCATGATAACTGGGCAAACCATCCATCCTGGGTTGGTCCGTGTGCTTTGAGACTTACACTAGGTGGGCCAGTTGAGGAAGGAGATAGGAGGAAGAAGTCCAAGGCAAATGTCAGATTTTTAGACAAGCCACTGCTGGCAACATGTTTTTATTTGGAAAATATTGCACAGGAACTTACAGTGAAAAAGAAGCTTTCAAAGCCCTACATAATGTAACCCTATCCTACCACATCTCCAGTTTGCTGTACCATGCCCTCCCCTATGTGGATTCACCTTGGCCAGACATACAAACCCACCCCCTATCCTCCTCCATCCCTGCTCTTTGTCCTTGCTCATTCCATTCCCTTTGCTTGAAATATCTGTCTAGACTGTGCCCATCTTCTAAGTGGTCCAGCTTCAACTCTGCTCTCTCCCCCAACACCCCGCCTCCGACAACCTCTGGGGAGCATGGAGTTAACATTGCCCCTCCTGTGCTCACTGCATTTTTTGCCTACCATAGACAGTTTAATTATTGAAAACCGCCTTGTATGTTCTGTTTCAGATATGTTGGCTTTAATGAATCTGTGTGTCCCCTAACCTTGTCTCAGAATTCCTTATATGCCCCAAGGATGCCTCCACAGTGCTCTGAACACTGTAGGGCCTTAGGAAATACTGATGGCTTTGACTGGTTATCAAAAAAAAAAAATGTAAGTGATCAAAAAGATGCATAACCAGGAAGAACTATAATGTTCAGCAAAAACTGCGAGAGTGGTTCCAGGTGCTGCCTTCTTGGGGTCAGTGGTATAATGGGTTTTCCTTTCCAGACAGTCCCTTGATAGTCCTAGAATCCCACAGGACAGTTGGGTGGACAGTGTCCAGCAGGCAAACAAGACCATAAACGCAAAGCCAGAGAAGCTAAACAATGTTCACTTTACAACTCCAGGTGATGATAATGGTATTTATAGACTCAGTGACATGTTTGAAGCTGTGAGTCCCAGAGGCTAATATTTTAAGCTGGATATCCTGAGACCCAGACGTTCTGTTTTTGTTCTCCTCCCCATCCTTCCCTCCTGTAACCCCTGGAACTTTCCATGCAATCTGGACAAAAGCATGAAACCTCTATTGTTTCTCAATCCTTACTAGTGCTAGGGAAGGATTTAAGAACTGCTTCATGGAAGGGTGACTTGTGATGAGTGGAAAACATTCTGAGGCCTTAAAATGACATTTGCCATTACACCAAAACTTCCATCAGAGAATTTCAAAATTCTAGGCAGAGACAAGGGCCTTTCTGCCGTCAGAGAACTCCAATGGTAAAGGAGCTGGGGTTTGGAAGAGTGAGGCCTTATTTATAGATGAACTCATCTTGGCCAGAGGTTCTGGAGAGTCTAGGTCCACCTATTTAAGAACTTTCTTTCTCTCAGGTCCATTTTTATATTGGATAATCATTCCTGAGGCAAATCTATAAACAAAGGGTGGGAACCTAAAACTTGGCTAGTTATATAGCCCAGAATAAAATGGGGAAATCAGTGTTTTCCTTCAAAGCAATCTAGAAAGCACTAGCCAAAGAACAAATTGCAAACAGCTACACAAGCATCAGGGAAATCCCATCGATCATAAGAGATGGAAAATAACCATGAGATCATTGCACTCATCTCCCCTGGGGCCTGGACATCCAGGATGCAGCTTCATGGTGTCCCTTCAGAGGGTGTTACAGGCATTACCTTTCTCTTGCTTTGCACTGTGAATCGTGCTCCTGATTAGTCTGCAATACATCCCCCTGAAGACAGGCAGCAACCACAGAACACAGTACCTCATGCATAGGAATTAAGTCCAGAACATTCTCTACTAGGTGGGTTTTTTGCTGTTTGTAAACAACTCTAGATGTTCATCCACAGTTCACTCAACTGTGCTGACTGGTTTCATGCACTAGCCAGAATTGGTCAAACTTAAACATGCACAAAATCCTGTAGTCACTTTAGGCCCAAGTCCAACATTTAGAAGCTATCAACACAGGAAAAAAGTTGTACCTGTTTTCACGCTGAGAAAAGCAGATAGCTAATCTGTACCAGGAAAACAAACAAGAAAAATGATCTGAAAATAACTTGGAAGGTTTTGTTTTCACCAAAGGAAGCATAAATAGTGAAACACATACACATAAGACATGCATGTACACACATATATATACATGCACACACATACACACATTGTATGCACACATATACATAAACACACATACATAAACACACTGTACACACAAATATATACATGCACACACATACACACACATACTGTATGCAAACATGTATACATGCACACACGTACACATACTGTATGCACACATATATACATGTACACACATGCACATACTGTACACACATGTATGTACACACATATGTACGCGCACACACATACACATACATATGTACACACATATGTATGCACACACATACACATACTGTACATACACATATGTACATGCACACACACACGTACACATACTGTGCACACACATATGTATACATGCACACACATACACATACTGTGCACACACATATGTATATGTGCACACACATACACATACTGTACACACATCTATACATGCACACGCATACACATACTGTACACACATATATATACATCCACACACGTACACATACACATACTATATGCACACATATATACATGTACACACATACACATACTGTACATACACATATGTACATGCACACTCATACATGTACACATACTGTGCACACACATGTATACATGCACACACATACTGTACACACACATATGTATATGTGCACACACACACATACTGTACACACACATCTATACATGCACACACATACACATACTGTACACACATATATATACATCCACACATGTACACATACACATACTGTATGCACACATATATACATCCACACACATATACACATAAACACACATACTGTACACAGGTATACGCACACTTGCATATATATACATGCATACACACATACACACACATATACAATACTGTACACACATATATACACACATACTGTATACACATATACATCACATACACACATATACATACATATATACGTGTACACACATATGTATACACACGTACACACTATATACACATATATGCACACATTTACGTATATACTTACATATACACACGTGTTTTCCTCCTAATTACAAAAATAAATACAGAAAAACACTACTAGAAAACAACATGTTATTGTGTTCCTTCCAGAATTTTTCTATGAGTAGTCACCTGTATTCTAATGTATCATACATATTATATGTTACATTATGTATCGTATAATATATAAATGAGGAGGTATATAGAAGTCTTTTTAGATATATTTAATGAATATATATTTTAATTAAAATTTTATATAACATATAATGTTACCAATTTTATTTTTTTATTTCTATCCTAAGGTAACATACTGGTTGTAGAAAGTCAGAAAATGTGTATGAGTAAAAGAAAAAGTGAAAATCATGCATATTCTCAGCATTCAGAAAAGAGTACTTTCATTTGTTGTATGCCCCCCTCACTTATTTAAATATACACCCCTAAGTATAAAATGGGAAGTCCCATTACACAGGGGTATGTGTGTAATGGGGCATATGTTCCATAAGTAGACCAGGGGTATCACCAATGAGCGTCTTAAACCACTGTTCCCTCTTTCCCTTGTAAGGCATGCCATGCTATGGTTTCCCAGCCACAGACCCACTTCTCCCTGTGGAAGGGGACGCCACCTGGACGATGGGCCGCTGCTCAGCCTTGGGGGTCCATGCTAACCCTCTTGAGTTGCTAGAGGCTTTGTGGAAAGACTTCTAAATTTTAAAATCTTCCTTTAAAGTGCCAAGTCAGATGGTCTGATAATGGGACTTTACCATAAGCCATAGTTCAGAAAAGACAGTCGACAGCCTAATAAAACTTCCCCTCAGATAGCAAGGGAAAGTAGACAGCTCTGCCCAGCCTGGAGGAGAAGCAAAGGAGAGAGAGGACAAAGGTAGCAGGTAGACAAGCAAGGCCTCTCCTGCCTCCCTTTCTTGGGATGATTATCTCAGGGACTAGGGTGTCAGTAACAAACACAGGGAGTTGGGGAGGGGTCTAAAACAATCTGGGTTAGGGCTCTGCTTTTCTGAGACATAGTTTGAGGAGAATCCAAGTCTCCTGAACTTATCTGGCACAGATCCAACATGGTGCCACAGGATGGTTTAGGAATGACAGAGGGAAGTGACTCAGTGTCCAGGCAAATGGGCATGAGACGGCCCTCCTATTCTCACAGCTTGCTTAGGCATCTAGGATATGCCTGATTCCTTTTTGGCCCCCAACACAGTAACACAAAGTGCTAAGAGAAGGCCTGGGGTTGAACAGGCCACAGTTCTTCTCAACCTTCCATTCTAAGTCAAAGGAGAAGAAATACAGCTAATACACTCACTTTCCAATGCTGTTCAATTCCATTTGATGGAGTTCCCACCTGCCTTGAGGAATAAACTGTCCTTCAAGTTTAATTCATTCTATTCCATTGTGGTACACACATCAGATTAAGGTAGATACTGGGGGACTCCAGAGATGGGGACAATTCCACAGACACTGTGCCATTGCCTTGGGCCTTCAGAGCTCCGAGAGGGTTAGCCCAGGCATTGTTCTCTCATCCTATTTCTAATGGTCTTTATCTTCTCCCTGCTCCTCCAGCCCAGCCACATCCTCTTCTCAATCCTCCATCTCCACCTGCTTCATTCAACCTCTCTTCCATCCCCTGCTTCTGTGAGCCTTGGAGTGCTTATGGCAGTAGTCAACCTAGGGCAGATAGGGCCAGGCCTTGAGGCTATGGTGAGAAAGTCAGAAAAATGGAACTAGAATGATAATTGGGGTGGAACATGAATAATAATACCTACTATCATTATTACTATTATTTCACTTATAATGATTCTTACTATGTGCCAGGCACTGGTTTAAGCATTTTACATGTATAGTATGAGCTCATACACTTGTGTTAACTCATATAATTAACTCAACTCAAACGCATGAGTTCATACTGCATATGTTACAGCCTATGGGGTAAGTGCAACTATGATCCCACTTTAGAGACGAGGAAACCTAGGCACAGAGAGGTTAAAGTGCCTTGCCCTGGGTCATTCAGCTGGTACATGGAAGCTAGAACCCCACCACAGCAAGCTGGCTGTAGACCCTCATAGTAAGCCACATTTGGGGACACCAAGCAAGCTAGACCAAGGCAAGTGGCTGCATTTGGTTTGGGAATGCAAGCTGACCCACGGAGGTCCCAGAGGATCAGAAACAATCCATAATAACTTTTAGGAGATTTGCTAGAAGGCAGGGAGTTTAGAGTGTCTGTGGCTCCTGCTTTGTAGTTCTGGAAACTAAAGCCGGGGAGTTAGGGCTACGTGACATGCCTGCAGTTGCAAGAAGTAGCTGCAAGAGAGTGGAATTTGCATCTGCACTGCACACTAGGTGGGGCAGAGCCAACGTTCAGGAAGGTGTACATGTCTACACCTGCACAGGCGCTTCTGGAGGAGGCAGGTGTGGCAAGCCCCCTGCTGAGGAATCCAGCCAGGGAAGGCATCCTTTGTCTTGCTCTGGTGGCTTTCAAGCAAAGAGCCCAGTGTGTTTTGCAGGCGTCCATTCATGAGCTTAGCTCCTGAGCTGCACTGACTGGATGACGGGCGTCCCCGCCCAGGAGCCAGAGACTGTGTCTCCACATGCAGGCAGGGCCAGCGTGAGGTCAGGATTAACCAGAGAAGCTGTGCTCTTCTTGCAGCGCCACACTAGGCTGGGCGGGGGGCCTGCTGAAGTGACTGGTCCTTGGAAGCACAAAGCGTGGAGCTCCCACAGCCAAAGGCCCCAGAGGTTCATCATGAGGGGCTTGTGAGGGGAGCCAGCTATGCTCCCCCCTGTCATAGATGAGGAAACTGAGGCTCAAAATTAAAGCTGGAAAATGATTTCTGGAACCTCAAATCAAGTCTACTGTCCCCTATTCCAGGTCTATCTTCCCATATACCATGCTGTTTTGGGTACCTATGCCATTTAAAATATCAAGCAGAATGGGGACTTCTTGAGCCTAAATCAGGCTCACCCTGGGGAACAAGTTCAGAGGACCCCATCAGTATCCAGGGCAGAATATTCATTTGCCCAGTGATGGATGCATTTGGGCCCCGCTTGGAGGCGGGAGAGATTCCTTGCGCACCCTGCTATTGCACTGCTGCTCCGGCCCGGGCCTCTTCACATTGGACATAACATTTTCATACGTGCTCCCTCCAGTATGTAGTGTCTCTTCTCTTCCAAGCCCCTCTCCTTTAGATGCCCACTGAAAACCCATCTCCTGTAATGAAACCACAACTATCTTCCTGGAAGTAAAATTACATCACCTCACCCGTTTGCCCTTTTGCTCCTCCTTGGTTCTAAACCCTGTAGTTCTCAACTCAGGGTATCTTGTGAAACCTTGTGTCCTTTATTCTTGGGCATGGCTTCAGCGTGGGTGTCCTCCCCCGTATATACTGTCTTACGTGTTGAGGCATGTTTGTGGTTATTTTGCCCAAGGGAAGACACCATCCGTGTAGTAAGGCATTGGCGTCATTCCAGTGGCTTCTGGATCTAGCTAGGGCCATGATGGTGTCAGTCCCCATGCTACAGCCAGGTCCTCTTGGGTAGGTGTTACTGCTGTAGGCCTCTTTGCAGGGCCCCATTGCAGGCTGATAAGATGCCATCCGAGTACACAGAGGTCTTCTGCAGGCTGGCCTTTTTCCCAGCTCTTCCAGCTGTGTTTTTCCCCCTACCCAAATGCTCCAGCTCCACCTCCACCTCCATAGTGCCATGAATACTGGCTCCCTTTCCCGTGCCAGGCTCCGTGCTAAGCATTCGCCATGCTTTATCTCGTTAACCTGCACTACAACTTTAAGAGGTGGATATTTTTATCCACATTTTACAGATAAGGAATATGAGACTCAGAGATAAAATAACTTGCCCAAGGTTACATAGCTAATAAATGGCGGGGCCTGGATTTGAACCACCACGTTCTTAACCGCTGAGCTCCACCACCTCGTTCAGTCCATGTCGGCTGGTCCATGGCCCATCCTCAGAGACGCCTGTTTTTGCAGTGAACACCCCCTCAAGTCTTTGACAACACCCTTACCTCCTCGGTTTACCCTTGTGTGCCCTGAGCCAAATCTGAACCTGTTGAGCTTGATCAAAGAATGAATTGTTATTTGAAAGAGAAAACAAAAGGTGAGGATGACTCACTTTACGCTCTTCTTTGAGCCACTATTTATTGAGAGCTTTCTGTGTCTCTAGCACTGTTCTAGGTCTCACATTAAATAAAAACCCCTGCCCTCACAGAGATTACAGTCTAGTGAATTAATAGCATGCCTAGTGCTGACAAGCTGTAAGAAGAAAGGCCCATCCAGAAGGAGGAGTGAGGGCCCTGGGAAGTAGGGGGGTGGCTGCCTCCCTGCCCTGGCAGCTGAGGGATGACCTGAGGCCTCAGCTTTTCATGGGGATGGGTCTTGTTCCAAGGCAGAGAGTGCTGGTGAGGCCGTGAGGGTTTCAGGGGCACAGAGGTCTCCAAGCCTTCTCATTTCTGCTGGTGGTGATATGGAGCCCTAGGTCTAGGCAGAGGCAGTCCATCTGGAACTCTAGCTTCTGTGGCATGAAATGGCCTTGTTGAACATGATAGTGTATACAGATTATCTCCAATTATCAGTGAGTGAAGGAGCCCTTTACGAAATTTTAATTCTTCCCCTGCCCAGATGCTCCAGCTCCACCTCCACCTTCACAGGAATCATAACCAGATTTCCTCTTCTGACCCACCTCTTCCCTTCTCCCTTCTCCCTCCTCCCTGCCCCTGCCCCCACCCCCTCAAATTGGTCTGGCCTAAGGCCATGCAGAGTAATTAACCTAAACCCAACAAATATAATTAGAAAAGTAAATATGTTAGCCAAAGCAGTCTTATACTATATTTCAAAATCAAATGTAAGTAATGTAAGTACACGGTGGGAGGTGCAAAGGCTTCCCGAGCACCAGGTCCTTTGCACCTATCATCTCCTTAAACTAACCCTCACTGCAAACTTATGATCTAGGCTTTATCCTCCCCATTTTGTAAGTTTAAACAAACAAACAAACAAACAAACAAACAAAAAACCCCAGGCTTAAAAAGGTAAAGTAACATTACCAACATTACATAAATGTCAAGGTTGAGTTTTTAACCAAAGTATGTCTGACCCACAAGTCTGTGGTAGTTCTGTTCCCATCTAGTCCCAGGGCAGCCATTTATGCAGAAACAGTAACCTTGGGCAAACTACTTTACCTTCCACTGCCTCAGTTTCCCATCTGTAAAATGGGCCCAATGCTGATAGCTAACTTTCCCCTCAACCTCAGTTCTGTTCTGGTGATCACATGAACTGGTGTCTAGGAAAGGCCACAGAACTTTCAGGTACTGTGAAAATACAGTATTAATCCTACCCTTGAATTTAGAAGTGATTATGGCTTTTCCACCATTTAACCTTGTTGGTATCCAGTTCAGCATATCTGGTTTATTTTTCACATTCCTGTTCTGAGGGTAGTCTCTGGCTGCTGACTGTAAAATCTGTGTTGCTCTCTCTCCAGGAATTAGCATCTCCTCTTCCACAGCTGTACTTCAGCTGTACCTCAGGCCCCTGATTGCCAAGTTGTAGGTGTTCTATAACGTTCTTTCTTCTGGAATCCCAAGCGAGTAGTCCATATGCACTTCTTTCCAGTAGTGTGCTGGTAAATGTTTAACAGCTGGGTTTCCAATTGTGAATCTGATGTGAATGTTGGTTAATAATTACATCTACAATAATAAGTAAGATAAAAGTGAAACAACAAAGACGCATTTTGGAACTTCACTGGTTTTTTTTCCATATGAGCCACTTTTTTGCTGAATCAGGTAATCGTTTTCAAAAACTAGAAAAATATTACCTCAATATATTATGTGATTCACAATGTCACTGCTACAGACACGGCACACTTTTACGTCTAATCTTACTGTATTAACATTTTCTCTAGCACTTCCATAAGTCTAGATAATCAACACAACAATAAATCAAGCCCTGAGTATAGAGTGTGCCAATTTCTGTGGTGTAAATATTCTCACCACGGCCAATTTCAAGCTACCAATGTGATGTTACTGACTGTGGAATTGGGAAGAGAGTCAGTAGTATACTACGCTACAGTCTTCCCACCATATGTGTAATAAACATAACTCAAGCACATAGATGATAGTAAACTGTAGTTTAAAAAAATTAGGATCTGATCTGTTGTTAGTATTTATTACCTTTTTAAAATATAATTAATTATATGTTTATATCATTTAATTTTTAACAATGGCTGTGTTCCACAGCCAGCTTGCAAAATTCCTGAAAATTTACCAATCAGCTTTCACAAGCCAATGCAAGCTTCAGCACACCACCGTCCCGTTCCTCTTCCCGTTAGCCCAGATGGGTCCCATGCTATCTGATGGCCACACCCTTTGTTAAATAGCTCCAGTTAGTCCTGATCCACGCAAATCAAGAGAACATTAGTCAATGCCCAGTTTCTCCAAATAAACAACGTCAACAGCTTCAGTCCAGTGGAGTGACTTAATGATCTGTTTCCTTCAATAAACTGTGATTTCTGAACTCAATTCAGATACCTGAGCGTCGCAGTAAGCTGAGAGTGAGGCCCAGAGGCGTTCATAATGTAATATACTAAGTTTAAACTTGGCAAGCAGATGACATTGTGAGAAATGGCTTTTTTTAGGCCGATTTTGGGAGTTTGGGGTGTTTTTTTAAGAGTTAAGCCAAGGCAAAAAAATAACCCTTGCAACACATCACTTCACAGCTGGTCAGCCCAGGAGAGGCTATTCTGGGATATTCAAGCTAAAGAACCTCTTTTTAAACTCCAGGCAAACTGGAATCAGGATGCAGGGTTTTTATTTTTGTCTGTCATGGATTTACTCTGTCCAGTAATCCTGTACAGTAATCTCTGTCCAGTTTGTTCCCTGGGTGGGCCTCAGTTTACCTTCTGGAGAAGTCAAGTCAGCTGCCTTTACCTAGGGCATTATTCGATTTTTGAATTGTGGAGACTGAAAAAAGATAGTTGCTAGGGTTTATCAGAGGGTTTGGAGTGTCTACTCGAGGTGTTCCAAATCAGCGGAGAGTCAGAGAGGGGTGAAGTTGAAGTAGGATCTTATAAGAAATGACAAATGAACAAGATGTAAGAGAGAGGAGGAGGAAGAGGAATAGGAAGGTGAAGGAGGAACAAGGGCCTCCAAGCAACGTACCATGAAAACATCGGGCAAGTGGCTAAACTGTGCGTCCAGTGTTCACTTTGCTAAGACGGAGAGTGAGGGCATAAGATGATT
Organism: Homo sapiens; assembly: GCF_000001405.40. Lineage (NCBI taxonomy): Eukaryota > Metazoa > Chordata > Mammalia > Primates > Hominidae > Homo > Homo sapiens. The sequence goes on from NC_000014.9 coordinate 68,681,514, forward strand.
TAGTTACAGAAGAAAAGGCAGGCAAGATGGAGCAGGCAGGTGCCTTTTGTCTGGGTTTGACAAGAGAGTTTCCTGGGTAGGGAAGGAATGTGATCAAAGTTATGATTCTAAGACCTGCCTGGAAGATGACCAGGGAGTGGGCAAACTTGGAAGCAAAACCAGCCTCCCAAACACCTGTGTAATATCGTGTCCTGGGCCACTGTATAAATAACCTCCCTCCTGTTCATCAGTAGGCTTTGTAGTTCTCAGCCTCTCTCCTCTGTTGAAAGTGTGAGCCAGCCCTTTGCATGAAGAAGCATTAGAAGGGATCACTGCATACTTCTTTAATTGTCAAGAATGCATACATGCCATGCATATGAAAGATATAGTGGACTTTGGGGACTGGGGAGTGGAGCAGGTTGGGAGTGGGGTGAGGGATAAAAGATTACACCTTGGGCACCGTGTACACTGCTTGGGTGATGGGAGCATCAAAATCGCAGAAATCACCACTGAAGAACTTATCCATGTAACCAAAAACCACTCGTACCCCCAAAAATATTAACATTAAAAAAAAGAATTCCCACCGTGCCTTAAACTTATGTCATCTCACTTTTTTTTTGTCAGCAGCCTAGAGGGAAGGGGACACAATCCCAATTTTAACACCAAAGCAACTGAGACCTACAGATATTAAATTACTTGCTCCAGATTACAACTGAGACTCAAACCCATCGCCTGGCCACAAGTCTGGTGCCCTATCTACACCAATCTGTCTCCGGTAAACCTAACTAGCTAGTCAACTTTTCCCATCCATAGGCCAGACACCTTTTGAAATAACAAACCATCTGATCTCTAGAAAAACTGAAAGGCCAGTTCCAGTTGTCAGACACACCAAGCTCGAGAGAGTCTCTCCCAAAAGTTCTCTGGAAAGCCCAGGGATTCCGAATTCCAAAGCCAGCCAAATTTGAATTTCCTCTATAAAGAGATAGTCCCTCCTGGTTTAGAACATAACCTTCCTCATTAGGCTGGTTCCATGTTTTGTAATAACTTTTGCTTACACCACAAAATTGTCATAGATTACGAAAACACAAAGGCCTTGGAAAAAAGGCCCAGAGCCCCCTGGAAGTCATTATTTCTTCCTTTAGCAATTGCTGAGTTAAGCACCATAAATATGGTTCCCATCCTGCTCCCCTTCCCCCGCCCTCCCCGCCCCCCACGATCAGCTGGACATATGTTAGGAAGAAAGCAGGGACGTGGGGGTGGAAGAAGATTCGCATGTCGTGAATCTTGAGCACTGAAAAGAAAAAGTGGGGAGAGGGCGGGGAGTTTGCAGCCCTGGAAATGGAATCTCTGAAGGATTTATTGCCTTTGAGTATCTCACAAGGCTTTTTTTTTTTTAATAAAAATCTGTAGCTTATGGCTTTTTTTTTTTTTTTTTTTTGTATAGGGCAGTAAACAAGAGCTCTGAAAGGGGAAGGAAGCCAGGAGAAAGCCAGCTCCATTAGTCACGCAGCAGCATATCCTGTCACAAAGGACCCCAGTTGAGTAATCGCCCAAAATATGCCTGTTATTTTTTTCTGTCAGAAAAAAAATGGGGCCTGCCAAAACGTACTGTAAAAAAAAAAAAAATCTGGTGTCTTAGGCCCAGAGAGGGAAAAGAAAATAAAGAAGAAAGAGTCATAATTTCACAGTGCTCTTCAAACCCTCTCCCCAGCTTACCTGGAAAAGAAAAAGCCTTCAGACTCTTCACCACGACAGAGCCTGCCAGGCTTGAAGAAAGCTACAGCCTTGGGATGGTCCAGTTCTCAGAGTCTTCATAGTTACTTGGTGCCAAGAGCTTAAAAAGAGGAGGGGTGGTCGGGGAAAGTTGAAGGAGGACAGCACGGGGGGAGAGAAAAAATGAACAGAAAGGGACCCAGGATATTGAACAAGTCCTTTGACGAGCTTTAAATGGGTGAGGCATTGCTCATAGGGAACCCGCAGGAGCCCACACCAGTTCCATGAGTATTGCATGAGCCCAGCAGGGGCTAGTGACTTCCAGCCAATGGCCGAGCCTGCTTCGTAAGCTTTTCTGATGGCCCCAGCAAAACCAGCACTGTCTCAGGCCTCCACCATGCCCTGTGGGTGTTTGGGCCACAGACTGGACAACAAGGACTTGTGCAGAAGGACATCGGACTCTGGAGAGGTCTGAAACAAGGGGTGGGGAGAGACAGGCTGGTCAGAGCTGCCTGCAACCTCCCGTATTCTCCTGGATTGGCCTTCCAAAACCCGGGCTGACAGGCTCTTGGTAGGAAAACAGGCCCAGCAAACAAAGGTGTTCTCAAGCCCAGTTCAGTCACTGCCTCTGTCCCATGCTCTTAGTCTCATGGCTCTCAGGAGCAGGACACAAGAGACGGTTATGCCCAAGCACAGAACACTCTTGGAAAGCCATCCTTTCCCTTCTGCTGACATTCTGACCCCCTCAAGGGTTGTCCATGGGGAACAGGCTTTCTGCACCCAATTGACCAAAAAATAACAGAAGCCTTCTCCTTAAGAAAGAGAGCAGGCCAGACACAGTGGCTCACGCCTATAATCCCAGTGCTTTGGGAGGCTGAGGTGGGAGAATTGCTTGAGCCCAGGAGTTCAAGACCAGCCTGGGCAACACAATGAGACCTCGTCTCTACAAAAAAACTTAAAAATTAGCCAGGCATGGTCTCAGCTACTCAGGAAGCTGAGGTGGGAGGATTGCTTGAGCCCAGGAGGCTGAGGCTGCAGTGAGCCGTGATCATGCCACTGCACTCCAACCTGGACAATAAAGCAAAAGATCCTGCCTCAAAAAAGAAGAAAGAGAACAGAGCCCTACAGAGAAGGAAGAAGGCAGGCACATTGTCACTTTTGCTCTCAAGCTCCCTGGATCTCTCCTAGAGGAGAGACCCCCAAACCTGCCTGCACTCCGCAGGAGCTGACTGGGGGAGGACCCTTTCCAGGGACACCTCCCTGGAGGTGCTCTAATATTTGGCTGCTTGGCCATTCTGGGCCAAGAAGACTCCTTCCCTAGCCCAGGACCATTAGTCTCCCTGATGATTGCTGCAGAAAGGCCCAATTTTCAGGGCCCTACCTAGCCCTTCAATACCTTTGAGCCACCCATCTTGTCTGAGCCAGAGTCCTAAAGCCAGTCCTGAGCTTCAAGACCCATGCTTGCCCTGGCCACTGCTTCCCCTGGGAGAGCTGCCTGGCTTCCTGCAGAGAGCTGGCCTGCAAGTTGGAAGGGCATATTCTCCTCCCGGCTCCCTGGCTAAATTGCTATAGAATTTCAGGTCACTCAAGTGAACTTTCTGTGACTATTTTTTCCTCCCTTCAAGATTTATCAACTATTAATTGGAGCCTCTAGATGCCTGCAATGTGGAGGTCCTGAGAATTCAATACAGAATAATACAAATGCAGTTCTTCCTGTGAAGCCTGGACAACCTTTCCCTTCCTTCCTTCCTTCTTTCCTTCCTTCCTTCCTTCCTTCCTTCCTTCCTTCCTTCTTTCTTGAGTTTCCTGATGCCAGCTCCTCAGATGGTGAGCCAGCGGTGGGAAGGTAGTGGTGGGGGTGATTATAAATACAATAAGAAATAAACCCACACACTGCAAAACTCCATGTTAATACTATTAATAGTATTTCCAAATTGCATACAGGTAGAAGACAGTTCCTTAGCAACATGATCGTAATGAGAATTCCACAAGGGCATCTGGAATTTACTCTGTCAGACATTCCAGCTTATCAGGAAATGAAAAGGACCAAGACTATCATATAATGTGCAAACTATGCTAATGCCTATCACTAGTGTATATCAGACCCCAGTTACAGGACTGACCCATGGGACTCCCCTTGTCTCAGCTTTAATCACATGAAGTACCTGAGGCCTGTTGTCCTCCTCGGGGCTCAATGCCTTCTTGCGGCCAGGTCCTTCGTATAATTCAAGAGTTGAAATCACTGTCAACACAGCCCTTTGACTAATGTTCCGGGGTGACAGGCCTGGCACGTGAACACATGAGTGATGCTATTATCCCCCAAATCACAGGTGAGTGAGGTCTCTGGAGATGTCCACCCCCACATGAATTTCCCTTTGTGGTAGCAGTAACATCTGAGTCACTAAGCATGGGGCCACAATTTAGGCTCACTCCCTCCCCTTCCTGTGCCCCAAAAGGGGGCTGAAGGCGGGTCCTCACAGCAGAAAAAGCTCCACTTCCTCCGAGCTCCAGACAGCACATCTCAGCTGTGTTGGGCCTTACAAGGCTGCGGTCAACAGGCACCCAGGTGATGAGGTCTTTCTCAGCCTGTTGTTCTCTTGTTAGCCCTTTGATGTTTCAAAGCTGACGAGGTCAGCATCTTCCAGGCTGCAGGAAACATGCCTGCCAGGTATACCTTTCAAGCAGCTGATTAATATGTCATGTGGTCTCTGGTCAGAGGAGAGTGTAAGGGCTGTTGAAATGACTCACCAGCTCAGCTCCCGTGTCTTTGGGAAACGCTACCCTGTCAGCAAGAGGCCTCCAGCTGAAAAGTAAAGACACAGATCTGAAAGGGTACAGTTCTAGCGTCCAACAAACTATTATACATCCTAAATGAAGTGAGAAATGGTAGGCTCTTCACCTGCCAGGGCCTGGCGGGGCCTGTGTCCCAGGACTGCTTAGGAATCCAAGCCTCGCACTGTTTATCCATTATACTGATGAGAAGCCTGTGAGACAGGGAGGCTTGCTGGGCCTCCAAAGTCCACTTGCTGGCTTGTTACTTGGCACCATCAGATCTACGCTAGGGATGGTGTAACTAGAGCCTTTGAGTGCATGAAAAGTCTGTGGCCTGACAAAGCACTTACTGACCAAGGAAAATCAACTTCAGGTGCAGCAGGAAAGGTCTGGTACCCAGAATGTCTGGGGTTTTGAGACACTGGAAAAGATTGCCTAATAATGTCATGGGCTCCCTTCCCTGGAAATAATCTGAAAATAGGATAAGTTCCCTCCAATCTTGGATGGGTCAACCTCGTCTTGAGGTAAGGAGACGGTTACATCAACCCATGGAGAGGGCCTGTCAGCAACTCTGAGTCTATTAGAGGGTATATTTTCAAACACAAAAAACTTTTTATCCTGGTAAAATATACCTAACGTAAAAGCTACCATTTTACCCATGTTTAAGTGTACAATTCAGTGGCATTAAGTACATTCACATCGTTGTATAAGCTTCCCCGTCATCTCTCTCCAGAACTTTTTCATCTTTCCAAACTGAAACTCTGTGCCCATTAAACACTGACTCCTCTTTCCCCTCCTCACAGCCCCTGGCAACTACCATTCTCCTTTTCATCTTTATGATTTTGACTACTCTAAGTACCTTGCATACGTGGAGTCACGCAGGGTTCTTGTGTGACGGGCTTGTTTCACTTAGCACAATGTCCTCAAGTTTCATCCATGTTGTAGCATGTGTCAAAATTTCATTCCTCTTGAAGGCTGAATACTATTCCATTGTGTGTGCATGTGCAGGTGCATGTGTGTGTGTGCGTGTGCAGGTGCATGCGTGCGTGTGTGTGTGTGTGTGTGCATGTAGCACGTTTTGTTCATCCATTCATCTGTGATGGACACTTGGTTGTTTCCGCCTTTTGGCTATTGTGGATAATGCTGCCGTGGACTTGGGGGTACAAATATCTGTCCCTCCTTTCAATACTATATCCAGAAGTGGAACTGCACAAAGAAAACTTTAAAGACAAAAGCATTGTGCCCCCAGAAGAAGGCATGTCGATGTCCTCACATCATGATTTCATATGGAGAAGAAACACCTAAAAAAAGTTGGGCGGGAGGCCGAGATGGGTGGATCACAAGGTCAGGAGATCGAGACCATCCCGGCTAACGCAGTGAAACCCCGTCTCTATTAAAAATACAAAAAAATTAGCCGGGCGTGGTGGCGGGCGCCTGTAGTCCCAGCTACTCGGGAGGCTGAGGCAGGAGAATGGCGTGAACCTGGGAGGCGGAGCTTGCAGTGAGCCGAGATCTCGCCACTGCACTCCAGCCTGGGCGACAGAGCGAGACTCCATCTCAACAACAACAAAAAAGAACGTTGGGCTACAGTAAGACTTGGTAAGAGGGACCAAGGAAGCATGGAAGAAGGAGCTGGTTGGTTCCCAGAGCAACCAGAGAAGGCTTCACAGAGATGAAATTGGAGCTGGATTCTGATGGGTAAGTAGGAGTTTGCCTGGTAGAAAAAAAAATAGAGAAGGGCAGGAAAAGAAACAGCCCTTTTCAAAAAAGAGGAGACCAAACATTGCATGCACATATCCTTTGACTCGGCAATTGCACTGGCAGGAATTCTGCTGTTATCCTCACACACATACGGCTCCAGGCATATGTCTAAGGATCCTCATAGCAGCAATGTCTGCAAGACTTAGTCACTGGGAGTGGCCTGTGGTCCCTCACTAGGACACTGCTGAAATAAACTATGGTACAGCCATACCGTGAATTCCCACACAACCATTAAAAAGAATGAAGGAGGGCCAGGTGCGGTGGCTCATGCCTGTAATCCCAGCACTCTGGGAGGCCGAGCGGGTGAATCACCTGAGGTCAGGCGTTTGAGACGAGCCTGGCCAACATGATGAAACCCCGTTTTTACTAAAAATACAAAAAATTAGCCGGGTATGGTGGCAGGCGCCTGTAGTCCCAGCTACTGGGGAGGCTGAGGCAGGAGAATCACTTGAACCCTGGAGACGGAGGTTGCCATGAGCAGAGAGAGCGCCATTGACCTCCAGCCTGGGTGACAAGAGTGAGACTCTGTCTCAAGAAAAAAAAAAAAAAAAAGCAAAGAATAGAGGCGATCTCCATGTGCTGATATGACAAGAATTCCAGACTTATTTTTAATTAAAAAAAGAAGATGTCACTGTATGCCCAAGTTATTTCCCTGGAAGGAAAGAACACACAAGAAACTCTTAATAGTCATTACCTTTGACAGGAGCAACTGTAACTTGAGGGGAGAGAAATTAAATTTTCGTGTTATGCTTTCTAATGTGTATGTATTGCGTTTAAAAACAAAGTTAACAAAGCTGCCAGGTTGATGAGATTACGGTCCACTTTTACATTCTTTGTGCTTTTTCTAATTTAAAATATTTTTTTAAAGAAAAGCAGCTATTTTTCTGGAATTGTTTAGTCCCAATGGCTCCTAAAGGCAGAGAGATGAGATGTTTACAGGGCCATCCTTTCGGAGTTTCTCTTACAGCTTCGCAAGGATTCCTTTCAAGACAGAATGGTATCCTCATCTCCTCGAGAGAAAAGTTTTGGGGCCAAACAAGAATTCGGCCAAAAGCTCGGGGCCAGGCATGTGTGGTGCCAGGGCAGTGCGGGGGTTCCCACAATGTCTGTCCAACTGTCCTGGGGACAGGACCCCTCTTCTGCACTTTTCTGTACCCCTCGTGGGGACTACGTCTCTGGGACAAAAACCCAGCTACACAGGGTTAACCCCTGCGTTTTGCTTCGCTGAGCATGGCTGAGGAGGAGGGGGTGCGGTGAGAGCAGAGGGGGCTCCATCCCGCCCCAGCTCCAGGCAGCATTAATAAAATGCAGGTGTTTTGTGTATGTATAGCTGCTTGAGGGAGGAGGGAGAAAGAGCCTTGACTGCAGCAGCGCATAGAAACAAGAGCCGAGTGCAGTAGAGGAAAATGTGCCTGCAAGTAATGAGAAAGCATTTTGCAAAGACAGCCTTGGCTTTAGGGTTGAGAAGAATGCAGCAGTTTCTGGCACAGGCCTACCCTGTAGCTCCCCCTGGGTGTGTGTGTATGTGTGCGTGTGTGTGTGTGTGTGTATCTGGACACAGGATCCTATGCATGCATGTGCACATACACACACCCCACCACCACCACAGATTTTTTTCCCAGCAACATCTCACACAACCTAAGTTTGACCCTCACTTGCTTTGACCAGGAGTTGGTTCTGACACTCCCTTCCCTCCCTGCCAACCGCCCTCCATCTTTTCTCTCCTGTCTTCCTCTCTGTGGACCCCACACCCTGCAATTCCTCCTTTCCCCCATCACTTCCTTCTCTCTGGGGCCTTGGGTTGACGGTATCTCCCCTTGGCCAGCCCCTTTTTCGTAATGCCACTTGGCTCTGCTTTCAAGCAGGCACCTTGTGAACCCGACTCCCACCCTCCTTTCCAAAGCCCACCTCCCTTGCAGTCGGGAATGGAGCTCAGGAGGTTGGCCAGCCCCTGCTGCTTTAGCTTGATGACGTGCTCCAGCACTGTGGAGGTTCAAAGTGAGGGGGGAGTAAAGCACAGAGCAAGCCCCCTCCTCCTGGCCACCCCAAGGGCAGGAGAGCAAGGAGGAGGCATCAGAGATGACTGCAAAGTGGGCAGCAGATCTGAGGGCCACTGGGCCCTGCTGAGGGTCCTCTGTCCCCACCTCCCCACATCCCCCAGGGAGGTGGGAAGTGACAGCCCCCCAACTTCTAGAGGGTCGCCCTCCATTACGCCAAGTTAAAGAAGCCTAAAAGCAAGTGATTTCTGTGATTTCTTTAGTTTGCCTCCTTGCCTGAGACCTGCTGAGGAGTGCAGTTGTAGGTGAGTTGTTCTGACACCGGAAAGGCTTCAGGAGACCAGGGTGGACCCCTGAGGCCCTGCTCGGTCCCAGGCAGGCCAGGGTCTGAGTGGAAGTCACAAGTGGAGGAGCTCCTCCAGAGGACATGGGCTCCTGATTCCATGAGGAGGGGGTAGGGAGAGGTGCTGGGGGGCTCAGGAAGCACCCCTGTCCCAGGCTACCAAGCTGATCCTGAGTGTTTGTGTCTGAAACCACTGAGCCAGAACCCATGCCAGGCAAAGGCCAGCCCAACAGCATAGTAAATATGTTCCCCGGAATTTAGCACTCCTGAGTCAGAGGGGAGCAGGGGCTGGCAAGGACCCTCTCCTCTGGCCTGTCTGAAATGGGAGGACCAAGCTCTAGAGAATCAAGTTTTTACTTTCTCAACTCCTATCCTCTACTCCCTACCTGCCTCCCCATTCCTCTGCAAATAAAAGACAGAGCAGGGGTGGACAGGCAGCAGCCCAACCATCCCGCCACTCATCCGCTCATCCCTGCCCGCAGCTCACAGGCTGGCTGGCAGCAGCTGTGTCAGGAGGCAGGACCCACATTCGGAAACTCTGAGGAATCTCCTTGGAGAGTAGTTACTGGGGCCGCTTGTCCCAGACCCCGAATTGGAACACCGTCTCTGACAACTCCAAGACTGGGACTTGTCACTTGCGGGAATAACAGTGGGAACCACCCTGGAAAATCCAGGATGCAGGGTCCCCTTACTAGCACAAAGCAGCCTTGGGGCCCCTGTGCCCCCACACCCAGCCCTTCCTCCCTTCTGGGAGCGGAACGCGGGAGAAAGCCTTGCATCCTCAGTGGCCCCCCACCCTCTGAAAGGCATGTAGTGGCCTCAAGGCCTTATTCCCCCCTCCACTCTGTTATATGGAGCCTATGAGGAGCAGATGTTTCTAATGAAGGGCCCAGGCCAGGGCTCTGGAGGTAACAGGCCCGCCATAGAGCGCTGGCTCCCATGGAGGGGCCGCAGCCCCCAGACCTCTGAAAGCACAAGCCGCCCAGTGAATGGGACACACACTCTCTTGAATTCTCAGCTCCTTTCAGGAAATTGCCAAGTTAGCCCTTGGCTTTCTCCTTTCCAGTGCCCGCCCCGTTTCCATGGCAACCGCCTCCCCATCTTCCAGAGCCTCTCTCCGGTCCTGCCCGCCCCCTCCTCTCCACCACCCTCCGCGTCTCATCTGTCTGGGTGGGAACCGGGATTAGAGTTCATCGGGCCGGGATGCTTTTCCCAGGGCCGCTTTGCCTTCGTGATCCCTTTGCGGCAGCCCGGCCCCTGCCCCGGGCTTTTCAAGTCCCCCAGACTTAATGACCAGCCCTGGGTTTCCTCCTCTTCTCTTTCTCTGCCTCCAATAAAGCCGGAGAATTAACCCAGGTTTTAAGTGCCCCGGTTCCAAGCTGAATATCAAAGGGGGCTTCCCCAAGCTGCTTCTGCATTTCAAAGGGGCTGATTTATCACTTTCACTTAAACCGGCACATTTTGGGGAAAGAGTTTTACCCAGAGGTCAAACTCTGGAAAAACAAATGGATCCCCGTTCACCCCCTCCTGGGGTGCTGTGGGCTATTAGTGTATAAACTGCTGGCGGGTAGGTGGGAAACAGGCTACCCGCACTCCTCATCAGCCTGGGCCCAAACTGTTCCTGTGCCCCCGGGGCGATTGTGAGGAAGAGGGGGAAATGCATGGAACCATGGCTGAGAAGCTCCCACACTGCTCCTCCTGGTCTCTGTGCCTGGCACCGGGCAAGTCGTCAGCTCTGTTTCTGCTTCCTGGGCCTCTTGTGGAGGCCCTAACCTGAACCTGCATTAACACTTCCAAGCTAAGGGTGCTCCCTGCCCCAGGGACTCTGCCCCTTCAATACAGCCAGGGCCTGTGAGTCCAGATTCTGCCTTTTCTTCCATTCTGCCTGCGAAGCTTTTGCAGGCACTTACTATTCAGGGGCTGCAGAGCTGGGCCCCTGAGCCACCCTCACTCCCCAGCTCTCTCCTGCCCTCACAGTCAGGCCTTGTCCATACCCTTCTTTCCCACATTCCCTCCCCACAAAACATGCACACACACATTCACCCACCCTCTCCCAGACCCCTGCCGCCGCCCCCAGTCTCCCTCTCATCCAACCTCAACCCAATAAATTATCTCTATTATTGCCCCTTCCTCAAGGACTTCCTCATACCCCCACAAAGAATGCTGGAACCCCGGACCCTGGAAACTTTTCTCCCTCTCTGTGAAGCATCTGTCTAGCTGCCCCCAAGCAGACTCCAGCCTCACTGCAGAGCGTGAGGTCCTTCGTCTGATTTAGCCCAGATCTGATTGATTCCCAGGCTTTCTCAGGCATTAACCCCCAAGGAGAGATGTGCACATCTCTCCTTGAAGTGACCAGAAAAGCCAGGAGCCAGCAGCCAATGAAGCAATCCTTGGAAGAGGCCAGGCAGACAGCACAGCGTTATCGAGGAACTTCTTACTTAGCACGAAGGGGCAAAAGCGGGCGAGGCAGCACCCCAAAGCCAGCTTCCAGAGAGGACATCCTGAATGAGGTCTTGAGAGGCACCAATCACAAGGCAGGTTTTCCCTTAATGGACACATCTGTTTCCTTTTCTTACCCTGCCACCAGCTCATTCATTCTTTCACACATTCATTCACTCCTAGGACCATTTACTGAGTGCCTATCTCGTGTCAGGGGCATTAGAGAGTAAGGCTACTGTTGATTACAGTGCAATGAGATAAACCCTCTCTCCCGTAAAGTGGCCGGCAACATTCATGGTCTTTGCCTAACCCTCTCCATGGGGATCCGGGAAATACTCTAGACAGGGGGATTTGATTCCAGCTTGAAAAGATGGGCAGGAGTTTAGCTGAGAGAAATATATTCCAGGCAGAGTGAGCAGCAGGTCCAGAGGCACCCAAGCCCACCATAGGTGGTGACGATAGGCAGATATGTCTGGCACATAGGAATGTGGAGGGAGGTGCTAGGAGATGAGCCTGGAAGGGCATGTGAATGACGTTGTGAATGGCAGGCCAGGAAACCCACCACCTCTGCCATGTCACCCAAGTTCAACCCCAACAAGATCAAAGTCGTATACCTGAGGTGCACGAGTGGGGAAGTCAGTACTACATCTGCTCTGGTTCCTAAGATCAGCCCCCTGGGTCTGTCTCCAAAAAAGGCCAATGAGGACATCACCAAGACAAGTGACTGGAAGGGCCAGAGGATCCCAGTGAAACTGACGGTGCAGAACACACAGGCCAGATTCAAGTGGCATCTTCTGCCTCTGCAGTGATCATGAAAGCCCTTGAGGAACCACCAAGAGACAGAAACAAGCAGAAAAACATTAAGTACAGTGGAAATATCATTTGTGGTGAGATCATCAACATTGCCCAACAGATGCAGCACTGATCTTTAGCCAGAGAACTCTCTGGAATCATTAAAGAGATCGTGAGGACTGCCTAGTCTGTGGGCTGTAGTGTTGATGGCGCCACCCTCACGACATCACAGATGGCTTTGATAGTGGTGCGGGTGGAGTGGCCAGCTAGTTAAGGGCTACATATAGAAATATTTCAATAAAGGATCATTTGACGACCAAAAAAAATTTAAAGAGAGAACTGTACTGAAGAAGGTGGGGAATGACAGAGGGAGCCAGTCAGGGCCCGGGAACAAGAGCAAGTCAAAGACTGTGTTCTAGCACTCGTCCGCCTGCTGAACCTCATCACGAGCTTCTTTGCTGCATGTGCTCAGATTCTGTCTCTGTTTACCCTTTCCACCTGGGGAAGCACGGAGCTCATTGACTCTTCCGCAGGAGCCCTTGCTGAAGAAATCATTTGTCATTCTATCTATCCGCTTAGATTAGCTGGGAGGTTCAGTAGAACCTGCAAGCTTCTCTCTCCCTGGAGGGAGGCAAGGGACACAGGGGAACTTTGGGACAACTACACAGGGCCTGGCAATATTTGCAGACAAGGGGATGGGAGGGAGCAGGGGTGGCAAGAGTGCCAGCAATGCTCCCAGGGCCCCACACCAGCCACAATGCAGCCTTTGGAATTTTAGAGAAGGAGCTCCCAGGGGAGAGTTGGACTAGAGTTTCAGAGTCTCTCTCAGTGCCCACATTTTGTGATGCCACTGCTGATGCTCCAAAGCAGAGATGCCCATCCAGTTGCATTTTTAAGCTGCTGCAATGCAGTAAACTTCCCTGGCCAAGCCTTGGCAAACCGTCTGTAGCAGGACTCCCATTTCTTCCAGGCTGTCCGCAGAGCAGATTTTCCTAGGCATGGGACTTTGAAAGCCACAGAAGGAAATGGAAGACAAAAGAAAGAGCAGAGCAGGGGAGCCAATGGTCCCCTGAGTCTTCATGTTTATGAGGCTACTTGGGACCTAGGAGTTCAATAACCTGCCATCCACACATTTCACACAATACAATTGACTCCGTGCAATAGATGTGTTCCCAGAAGCTGTCTGGGAACAGCTAAAATTTGAGTAATAATTTTATGTGGTGTTTTCATACAATTTGGATAATCTGGATAATTGTTACATATCGTGGTTTGGCTTAAAGCCAGGGTTACCCCTAACAATAACAGAAGTGTTGACTGCTTGGGGCCTGGCACCTCCCACTTGGACCTGCGGTTTGTGAAAGGCTCCTCCTAGGTCTTGGCCCCCTACTTGTCTTCCCTGGAGTCTTCTGTCCTGGTAACTGCTCCAGAGTCATCCTCACAGCGTCTTCCTCCACACCCTCTGTTGAGCACCCAAAGCTCAGGATGTGCCACAGGAAGCAGGGAGAGAAGACGCCACCCTGCCTTCAAGGAGCTCCCCTGGGAGCTGGGTCTCCCCAGATGCATTTCTGGGGATGTCTGTGAAGCCCATAGCTGGGCAGCCCAGACCGCCCCACACAGGAGGCGCTGGGCTCACCAGCTAAGGGTGGGAGCTCCACCTGGTCAGATCTTGCTCCAGGTCACTTTTAAGATTGCAGTGCAGGCACTGGGCACTGGCCTGCCCGAAGCCTGCCTTATCCAGGGACTCATTTCCTGGCTTTGCTTCTCCTCTACCCAGCTTATGAGAGGAGTGCTAGGAGAGGGAGGGAAAACAGAAATCTAAACTTGCTCAGGGGTCCTATTTTGTATCTTCCCTCTGAGCTTTTTTGGTTTCAACCAAAGCATATTCCCCCTCTTTTCTGTGGACTCAAAACCCATGCCCCTCACTTGGACCGGGCCTTCCTCTTCCCGCTTTGTCCACCAGCCTCAAGTCCCATGATAGAATCTCCTGGATAGTGTTTCTTTAACTGGGCTCGAGCCCCACAGTAAAGTCTTGGTCCTCCGCCGGCCAGAGCCCACATCTCTGATTCAGCAACAGGGGCAGGTGTTCAGGGCAATCTGGGTTAGGTCCACTGAAAACCAAAGGAAATAACATTGGTCTGATTCAAGGCCTTCAGAAATGAGTCAGCCCCCGAGCCCATCAACCATCACTGTTACTCAACATCACACCCACGTTATTCATGAAGTATTGTCTTCAGCTTACTAGACAACAGAGCCCCACCAGACTCTGGGAGGCTGAGGATGACTTATTGGTCTGCTGTGGGCTCAACATCAAGTACATACCTTACCTCTGTCCAAAAACTGGAGTGGAAGAGCGCTGAGTCAGGAAGGCTCATGCCCCGAGGCGTCTTCCCACAAGCCTCTGGTCACCCTGAACAGTCTGTTCTGGATTTCACACCTTGGAAAAAAGTCCTCTATGAGTACAATGAGTGGAAAGAGTCTTAGAGGAAGAGTTGGGGCCAGGTGGCCAGGTATGTGCAGCACCTCTGCCCAGCCCTCCTTGGCCCACAGTCTTAGGCTGGTAGCCTGCATCCTATGCAATAGCCAATGTTACTCTTGTTTTTCATTCCTTCTAAATGATCCAACTGAGGACCTGCCAAGTTGAAGTTGGATGTGACTTTCCTTCCTATGGGGTAGAGGGGGACTTTTCTGGGTGTAGTGGGAAAACACTGTGGCCAAACACATGACTCTGGAGTCCCAGAGGCTTGGACTCAAAGTTCCAACCCTGCCATGTACCAGCTCAGCAAGTGACTTATCCTCTCTCAGCCTGTTTCCTCTTTGATAAAATGGGGATAATAACACTGTCCATCTGTAAGACTGTTGTGAGTTTTCAATGTCATAGTGCACATAAATGCCTGGCACCTCGTGAGTGCTCCCTCAACGGCCCTGCCAGTGTTGTTGCCACTGTTATTATTATTTTAGTTAGTACCACTCTCACTACCATTCTCCCTAGGCCGGAGTCTTCTTTCACATGAGACCCTTGTCTTCCTGATTCTGGTATCCTCAGCACACAGGCACAGTCGGGTGCAGTGAGTGGTAGTCCAACATAACTTCTGAAGGGGAGGAGCCCCAGAGAGAGGGAATGGCATGTTCAAAGGTCCTGCGGTGGGAAGGTGCATGGAAAATTTGAAGAAAATGGTATAGAAAAAAGTCCAATCATTAGCTACAGGCCCCCAGCAGCTGCTTTAGCCAATCCTCCAACCTCCTCATTGGCATGGCAAGACCACAGAAGCCTGGAGCCCTGATACCTACTCCAGCCCTCTGCTCCTCTCACTGACCAGGAAACTTCCCTTAAGACAGAAGCCCTAAGGTCATCTGAACCCCAGAAGACCCAAGGAAGCAGAAATATACCAAATGAAGATCCTGAGGCCTTTGTGTTTAGTTACCATAAAAAAATAAGTCCCCAAACCTGGCTATTTGTACTTGGCATTGGATAATTCGAAGGTGATTGAGGAAGGTACTGGGGAAGGAAGCCCAGGCAGGGGCTGTGGTTGCCAGGTGGGGAGGGAAGACTTTGCAAACTAACCCAAAAGCAAGCATGGGGTGCGTGCCTGTCTTCCATGTAGTTCCTAACCCCCTGCCCCCAACACGCCCATGATGCATGGGAGCAGCCCAGTGCCACCAACCACACTGAAGGCTTATCCTCCACTCCATCCCGCTCTTCTCCAACCTCCTAGAAAACTGTCTCTGTTCCCATCCTTCCTCTGCAAGAGCCTCCCTCAACTTAAGCTATTAGCCCTCCCAGGAGCACTTGCATTTAATAAAAACGAGGACCTTAACACTTCACAGGAGGGGCTTATTAATGGTTCCCTTTCTGGCTTTTGGAAACTGCAGGGAGCAAGGTTTCTGTAGCAGTTGGCTGAGCCCTCAGGGATGGGAAGACAGGGTCTGATGAGGCAGAATGCCAGTTAGGGACCAGGCCCAAGGTGGGTCTCCCCAACTCTGTCTTATGCCCTATAACCTAGCTACCCTCTGTTGGTGGTGGTGGCGGTGTTGGTGGTGGTGGTCAGGTTTGTTGAAATTAAGTGTACATACAATGAAATTCATCCATTTTAAAATACAGTTCTTTGAGTTTTAGCAAATGCATGCAGTTGTGTAACCATCACCACAATCAAGATACAGAACAGTTCCATCACCCCCTAAAATTCTGCAGGGCTTCATTATAGTCAACCCCTTCCCCCAGCCCTAGCCATTGAAAACTGCTCATCAGGTATTTTGACCCATTAGTTTTGCCTTTTCCAAAAGGCCATATAAATGGAATCATAAGGGGCATAGCACGGAATCTGCCTTCTTTCATTTAGCCTAATGCACTTGAGATTCGTCCATGCTACCTGTATCAGAAGTTCGTTTTCATTAACCCCGTTAAATAGTGGGCAAAGGACATGAACAGACACTTCTCAAGAGAAGACATGCATGTGGCCAACAAGCATATGAAAAAAAGCTCAACATCACTGGTCATTAGAGAAATGCAAATCAAAACCACAGTGAGATACCATCTCATGCCCATCAGAACAGCAATTATTAAAAAGTCAAAAACAACAGATTCTGGCAAGGTTGTGAAGAAAAAGGAACGCTTTTACACTGTTGGTGGGAGTGTAAATTAGTTCAACCATTGTGGAAGACAGTGTGGCAATTTTTCAAAGACCTAGAGGCAGGAATATCATTTGACCCAGGAATGCCATTACTGGGTATATACCCAAAAAGAATATAAATCATTCTATTGTAAAGACACATGCACATGTATGTTCATTGCAGCACTATTCACAATAGCAAGGACAAGGAATTAACCTAAATGCCCATCGATGATAGATAAAGAAAATGTGATACATATACACCGTGGAATTCTATGCAGTCATTAAAAAGGAACAAGATCACATCCTTTGCAGTTACATGAATGAAGCTGGAAGCCATTTTCCTCAGCAAACTAACACAGGAACAGAAAACCAAACACTGCATGTTCTCACTTATAAGTGGGAACAGAACAGTGAGAACACATGGACACATCAGGGGGAACAACATACACTGGGGTCTGTCAGAGGTGGAGTTGGGGGAGGGAGAGCATCAGGAAGAATAGCTAATAGATGCTGGGCTTCATACCTAGGTGATGGGATGATCTGTGCAGCAAACCACCATGGCACATGGTTTGTTGTTGTTGTTGTCATTGTTGTTTTGAGACGGAGTCTCACTCTATTGCTTAGGCTGGAGTGCAGTGGCGTGATCTCAGCTCACTGCAACCTCTGCCACCTGGGTTCAAGTGATTCTCCTGCTTCAACCTCCCGAGTAGCTGGGATTACACGTGCCTGCCACTGTGCCTGGCTAATTTTTGTATTTTTAGTAGAGACGGGTTTCACCATCTTGGCCAGGCTGGTCTTGAACTCCTGACCTCATGATCCACCCGCCTCAGCCTCCCAAAGGGCTGGGATTACAGGCGTGAGCCACCGCGCCCAGCCCATGGCACACGTTTACCTGTGTAACAAACCTGCACATCCTACACATGTACTCCTGAACTTGAAATAAAAGTTGAAGAAAAAAAGAAGTTCGTTTTTGGCCAGGCACGGTGGCTCATGCTTGTAATCCCAGCACTTCGGGAGGCTGAAGCGGGCAGATTGCCTGAGGTCAATGGTTCAAGACCAGTCTGGCCAACATGGTGAAACCCCATCTCTACTAAAAATACAAAAATATTAGCCGGATGCGGTGGCGTGTGCCTGTAATCACAGCTACTTGGAAGACTAAGGCAGGGGAATTGCTTGAACCAGGGAGGTGGAGGTTGCAGTGAGCAGAGATCGCGCCACTGCACTGCAGCCTGGGCGACAGAGTGAGACTCTGTCTCAGATAAAAAGAAGAAGTTCGTTTCCATTGATAAGTAGTGTTACAGTACATAGATGTGTAACAGTTTATTCATTCAGTAATAGAAGGACATTTGAGTTGTTCCCAGTTCTGGGCCACCATGAATAAAGCCACTATAAATATTTGTCCACAGGTTTTTTTGTGGACAGAAGTTTGTATTTCTCCAGTTAAATACCTTAAAGTTATATTCCTCACTTATATAATAAGTATATGCTTAACTTCATATCAAACTGCCAAATTGTTTTCCAAAGTGGCTGTTCTGTTTTGCATTCTCACCAGCATGTCTGAGAGTTCCAGTTGCTCCACATCCCCCGCCCCAGTACTTAATATTGTCAGTTTTGTGTTTTGAATGTTTTTTTTTATTTTATCCATTCCAAAATAATAATAGTGGTTTCTCATTATGATTTAAATTTAGTGATTAATTATGTTAAACACCTTTTATGTGTTTATTTGCTATTCATATTTCTTTTCTGGTGAAGTATATGTTCAAGTATTCTGCCATTTTTTAAAAAATGGATTGTTTGTTTTCTTCTTACTGAGTTTTGAGAATTTTTAATATATTCTAGACACAAGTCCTCTGTCAGATACAGATTTTGCAATATTCCTCCCAGTCTGCATAGAAGATTTGTCTTCTTACTTTGTTATCAGTGCCATTCTAAAAACAGAAGGTTTTAATTTTGATGAAATCCAATTTATAAATTTTTCTTTTCTGGATTGTGTTTTCAATGTCATATCCAAGAAATCTTTGCCTAATCCAAATCAGAAAGATTTTCTCCTGTTTTCTTCTTTCATGCTTTTAGGCTTTTTCTTTTGTACTTTCACTTATGTTTCTGTATTTCACATTTTAACATTTTACATTTAGGTCTATGATCCATTTTGAGTTATAGGTCAACATTCAATCTTTTTTCCTCTCTCTCCTCTTTTCTTTCTTTTCTTTTTTTCTTTTTTTGCATGGATGTGTAGATGCTCTAGCATCATTTTTTAAAGAGACTATCTGCCATGCTCTGAATGTATCCCCACAAAATTCATATGTTGAAACTTCATTGCCAGTGTGATAGTATTAAGACTTATGGCCTAGGCCAGGCACAGTGGCTCATGCCTATAATCCCAGCACTTTGGGAGGCCAAGGCAAGTGGATCATTTGAGACCAGCCTGGCCAACATGGTGAAACCCCTATCTCTAACAAAAAATACAAAAATTAGCCGGGCATAGTAGTACACACCTGTAATCCCAGCAACTTGGGAGGCTGAGGCGGGAGAATCACTTGAACCCAGGAAGTGGAGGTTGCAGTGAGCTGAGATCGTGCCACTGCACTCCAGCCTGGGCAACAGAGTGACACTCTATCTCAAATAAATAAATAAATAAATAAATAAATAAATAAATAAATAAATAAAAGAGTTAGGGCCTTTAGGAGGTGATTAACTCATGAGAACAGAGCCCTCACAGATGGGATTAGCACCCTTACAACAGAGGTGTGAGGGAGCTGTTGGTCCCTGTTGCCATGTGAGGATGCATCAAGAGGCACCATCTTGGAAGCAGACAACAGCCCTTACCAGACACCGAATCCACCAGTGCCTTGATCTTGGACTTCCCAGCCTCCAGAACCATGAGAAAATAAATCACTGTTTTTATAAATGACCCAGTCTCAGGTATTTTGTTACAGCAGCAGGAACAAACTAAGACCCCATCTGTCTCCAGTGAATTCCCTCTGTACTTTGTCAGAAATCAACTGACTATGCATGTGTATTTCTGCGGTCTCCATTCGGTTCTTCTGTTACAAATGTGTATCCTTTCACCAATTCCACTGCCTTGTTCACTCTAGCTTTATGGTAACTCTTGAAACCAGGTAGTGCGTGTCCACCTGGTCTCACTGTTGTCAGCCCCTGCTCTATGAGGCTCTCCTCTTTCCTGTGGTCTTTCAGGCCGGGCGGCAGAGGCTGGACAAAGCTCAGGGCCCTAGCATGGCCTTGCAGGCCCTTATGATGCAAACCTCACCAGCTCATCTTCTGTCACACCTGCCTCCTAGGAATACTGATGTGCTGATAGTTCTCTGCTTTTGTCTAGCACCATCAGGCCTCCAAGCTTTTGCCTGCCCTGTCACCTCTGCCTGGAAGGCCCCGTCTTTGGGCCCCGCACCACCCCTTTTTCTCTTCCTGGTTAGCTTGGATCATTCTTCAAGGTTCTAAAAAATAGATGCCTCATGAGAGACATCCAGGGGAACCCATATGACCTTCTCAAAAGTGTCCTTACCCAGGCAATATAGTACAGTGGCCAGAGAGCAGACCTGGAAACCAGCTGCCCAGGCCTGAACTCAGAATGTCAGAACCCACTACTATCACTACTACTAGGGCAAGTTACTTCCCTTCTCTGAGCCTCAGTTTCGCATCTATAAAACAGACATCATCAAAGTATCTCTTTTTTGGGGTGTGGTAGGGATTAAATGAGTCAATATATGTATAAATAAATACATGTACTTAAACATAAACTTACTATAAATGAATATAATAGAGACCCAATAAACTTGGGTTGTTATCATTTTTTTTTTTTAAGACAAAGTCTCACTCTATCGCCCAGGCTGGAGTGCAGTGGCGCGAACTTGGCTCTGCCTCCCGGGTTCACGCAATTCTCCTGCCTCAGCCTCCTGAGTAGCTGGGACTACAGGCACCTGCCACCACGCCTGGCTAATTTTTTGTATTTTTAGTAGAGACGGGGTTTCACTGTGTTAGCCAGGATGGTCTCCATCTCCTGACCTCATGATCTGTCCGCCTTGGCCTCCCAAAGTGCTGGGATTACAAGGGTGAGCCACTGCGCCCAGCCGGGTTGTTATCATTATTTAAGGATTGAGACCCCTTTTGATGTTTGCTGCTGTCAAGAAAATATGTGAGCACAGCTTCTTCCCCCACTTTGTTACCGCCCCACACACACTCAGGCAGGGGTCAAGGCCACCTGAGCAGCTAGATGCAGCCACTGAGGCCCCAGCCCCCATTGTAGAGCTGCTGCTTCTAGGAGCCACATGCCAGGGAGCAAGCAGCAGTCAGCACTGGAAACAGGCTACCCCAGCCTCAGTCTCCGTGGGTACCACTCAGGTGCCCAGCACTGCGGGAATCCCTGCCTGAGGCAGCCTGGGCTGGGAGTTCACACCTTGATGCCCCAGGGTCCTTGGATAGTGATGTGTCAGTAACACTTCAAGCAACCAGACGAGCTGCTCTGCAGGGAAGAAGCCCACTTGCAAGGGAGCTGGACATTCCCCCAGCCCTGGGAAACACAGTCCTGCTTGCTCTTGAGGTTGGGTCCCCATGAGAAGGGGGTCAAGAAAGGACCAAGAGCATCACGGGTTTTTTCTAGAGCAGAGGAGAGCCCTTAAAGCAAAGAGACTATCTGTACACGAGAGCCACTGAAGTGCAGAAGGAAGGCCAGGGGAGGGGCATGG